>NC_000002.12:47766109-48069140 GCF_000001405.40 Homo sapiens
GGCTAGGGAGCAGGCTGATACAAAGTTGTTTGTGGGCCAGGCCCAGTGGCTCATGCCTGTAATCCCAGCACTTTGGGAGGCCGAGGAGGGCAGAACATCAGGTCAAGAGATCGAGACCATCCTGGCCAACACGGTGAAACCCCGTCTCTACTAAAAATACAAAAATTAGCTGGGCGTGCTGGTGCGCACCTGTAGCCCCAGCTACTCGGGGGGCCTGAGGCAGGAGAATCACCTGAACCCAGGAGGCGGAGGTTGCAGTGAGCCAAGATCACACCACTGCACTCTAGCCTGGTGACAGAGCAAGACACCGTCTCAAAAAAACAAAACAAAACAAAACAAAAAAACCCACAAAGTTGTTTGTCAGGAATTCTTCTCATTGGTTGACAGAAATAGCATTGATTAATGATTGGCTATACATTGTTAAGCTATAGGGCGTGGTAACAATGTCTAGGACGGCATTATTAGGTTAATTTATAGCTACTTATGGCAATAGCAAGCCGTTTCAAGAGATGAAGGCATAGCTCAAAGAGGGTAGTTAGGGCATGATTGCTTGTCTCATTTTAGAGTCTCTCTGGGAGTGATAATTTAAAAGAACTCACCTCCTAAAATAAAAGTGATCAGGGTCGGGCGCCGTGGCTCATGCCTGTAATTCCAGTACTTTGGGAGGCCGAGGCGGGTGGATCACCTGAGGTCAGGAGTTCGAGACCAGCGTGGCCAACATGGTGAAACCCCGTCTCTCCTAAAAATACAAAAATATTAACTGGGCCTGGTGGCGTGTGCCTGTAATCCCAGCTACTCGGAAGGCTGAGGCAGGAGAATCACTTGAACCTGGCAGGCGGAGGTTGCGGTGAGCCGAGATCTCGCCATTGCACTCCAGCCTGTGTGCAAAGAGGGAGATGCCATATCAAAAAAAATAAAAGTGATCAGATATTGGCCGGGCGCGGTGGTTTGTGCCTGTAATCCCAGCACTTTGGGAGGCTGAGGCAGGAGGATCACCTAAGGTTGGGAATTCCAGACCAGCATGGCCAACATGGTGAAATTCCATCTCTACTAAAAAAAAAAAAAAAAAAAATACAAAAATTAGCCTGGAATGGTGGCGCACGCCTGTAAACCCAGCTACTTCAGAGGCTGAGGCAGAATTGCTTGAGCCCCAGAGGTGGAGGTTGCAGTGAGCCAAGATCATGCCACTGCACTCCAGCCTGGGCAACAGAAGCGAAACTCTGTCTGAAAAAAAAAAAAAGTGATCAGATATCAAAGGTAGGGAATTCTTGCTCAACTGACTTAGGATTCTTGTAAAAATTGGATGATGCAAGCCGGGCACCATGGCCAAAGCAGAAGGATCATTTGAGGCCAGGAGTTTAAAACCAGCTTGGGCAACATAGTGAGACTCCCATCTCTACCAAAAAAAATATATTTTTTTAATTAGCTAGATGTAGTAATGTGAGCATTAGTCCTAGCTATTCGGGAGGCTGGGGTGGGAGGATCCCTTGAGCCCAGGGGTTTGAGGTTGCAGAGATAACACAGAAACCCAAAAGTCAAGCCTAGCTGGAAAAGAGCTCAGAAGTGCCTGAGTAGAGTTTGGTCAAGTAGAGAATTTTTGTCAAAAGTGAGGCTGGAATCCCAATGCAAAGGTCTGATTCCAAAATAGGGTCGCCAAATTTAGCAAAACTATTGCGCTGGACATAAGCTAAAAAAAAGTATACCTTTCCACAAAAGATGGTGGCCTAGGGAAAAAAATACTATTTGTTTATCTGAAATTCAAATTTAAGTACATGTCTCTTTTCAATACTCCTTCTCTGACCTTGCGTGGTGCTTGCCTTTGGGATTAGGGCGAGGGGTGTGGGGGTGCCGGCCACTGAACTGGAAGACCAGGGGCCAGACCCTGGAGCCCAGGGACAGTGGGAAGATGAAAGAGGGGCTGCAAAGCCCAGTCGCGCGAGCTTGTTCCGGCGCCTGGTCAAGAGTGCCCTCTGGTGGCCACACGGCGCCCTGCACCCGCAACCAGCGCAGCCCAAGCAGTGGGGACCCGGCCTCTGAGGCGGACACCTGTTCTTGGTTCTGACCTCTACTAAGAGCACAAGTCCGCCCCGGGACTGTAGAGAAGGAAGCCGGGAGGACAGGACAAGTTCAGAGCCACCTGGGATAGACTTTTCAAACCAGTTGTCTTAACTGGAGGCTCTGATCCGCTCCCTGCCAAGGGTCAGCCACTGTCTTGCCGGGGCGGCTGATCTGCAAGATCCTCATACCCCTGAATTTTCAAGGCCCGAAGGAGCAAACGGCTGATATCTGCTCTTCCTCAAACCTCTCGCTGCCCACCACCCTCCTGGCCCCTCTGCTCACTTCCAGGGTGTGGGAAGTCAAATCAAAACTGAGGGCAAGCCGCCGCAGTGGCACGTGCCTGTAGTCCCAGCCACACAGGAAGGAGTGGGAAAGAGGTGGGAATCGCTTGACCCCAGGACTTCCAGACTGCCCAGCGCTGTGATCAGGCCTGTGAACAGCTACTGTACTCCAGCCTGGGCAAAGCAGCAGGACCCTGTTTCTAAACAGGTGAATAAGTGAATTAATACAATTAAGAAAGAAAAAACGGCCAGGCGAGGTGGCTCACACCTGTAATCCCAGCACTTTGGGAAGCCTAGGTGGGCAGATCACAAGGTCAGGAGTTTGAGACCAGCCTGCACAACATAGCAAAACCCTGTCTCTACTAAAAATACGAAAATTAGCCTGGTGTGTTGGCATGCGCCTGTAGTCCCAGCTACCCGGGAAGCTGAGGCAGAAGAATCATTTGAATCCAGGAGGTGGAGGTTGCAGTGAGCCGAGATCGCGCCACTGCACTCCACCCTGGGCGACAGAGTGAGACTCTGTCTCAAAAAACACACACACACACAAAAACAGTCACATAGAAATGTGATTGGACAAAAGGGGGTGTGACCTAAGAGTAATAGATTAGGAGGAGCTCAGCTAGGCCTGTTTGTTCAAATTCTTTTGTGTCTCTGTATGATATTCCTTCTCTCTAGGTATGGGGTAGGACACCTGTCACAGGAGGATCTTCAAGGGAGAAGGGAGGAGGTCAGAGAGTGACCTTGCTAGTTTTTAGGGTTTGTTTCCAGGAAGAGGAGTTCTAGTTTCTCTGACCCACTTTAGGAGAGAAAGGCGAATGGGAGAAAGGAAGTCAGGAGTTCAGAGAAAACTTATTGCTTCTGCAGCCCTCTCAATCTCCTGAAGCTCAAAATACCCTGCATTCCAAGGTGCCATACTTTGGGGCATCATGTTCTGAGCCCAGTGGCAAACATGATCCACATGGGCCCTGTTTTCTTGGGGCTGTTGAGGAGACAGGGGTGGACATAAATCGTCACACAGGGCCGGGCACGGTGGCTCATGCCCGTAATCCTGGCACTTTGGGAGGCCGAGGTGGGCAGATTGCGTAAGCTCAGGAGTTCAAGACCAGCTTTGGGCAACATGGCAAAAACCCATCTCTACAAAAAATACAAAAATTAGTTCGGCATGGTGACGGGTCCCTGTAATTCCAGCTGCTCAGGAGGCTGAGGAAGAATTGCTTGAAACTGGGAGGCAGAGGTTGCAGTGAGCCAAGATCGCACCACTGCATTCCACTGGGTGACAAAGTGAGACCCTGTCTCAAATCAAAAACAAAAACAGTTACACAGCACAGAGTGCCAAAGAGGCATGTCCCACCTCCCACCCCAGGGCCTAAGGAAACCCACCTGCTGGCCCTTTCCTCTGAGAACTGCAGAGCCCAGAATCCTGTGGGATGCGCAGGCAGTCTTCCCAAGGGCCCTCCTGTATCAGCCGGCTTTTCACACTCTTTGTCTGTGTACTTGGTGCTAGACGCCTCACTGCCCATGCCAGCTTGGTTAGAACTCACCCTGCAGTCTCTGTGTATGGCCCAGGGCCCTGTAGAACTCTGAAGGCCCCACACGTGGTCCCTAGGATGCTCACCTCCCTTCTGCCCTCCCATATCCACTCACCCTGCAATGGTGTTGGGAAGTGGGACCTTTTGGGAGGCGTTTAGGCCATGAGGGCTTGGCCCTCCTGGATGGATCAATGATGATTGGATTTTTTTTTTTTTTTTGAGACGGAGTCTCACTCTGTCGCCCAGGCTGGAGAGCAGTGGCGTGATCTCGGCTCACTGCAAGCTCTGCCTCCTGGGTTCATGCCATTCTCCTGCCTCAGCCTCCCGAGTAGCTGGGACTACAGGCGCCCGCCACCATGCCCAGCTAATTTTTTGTATTTTTAGTAGAGACGGGGTTTCACCCTGTTAGCCAGGATGGTCTTGATCTCCTGACCTCATGATCCACCTGCCTCGACCTCCCAAAGTGCTGGGATTACAGGTGTGAGCCACTGCACCCAGCTATGATTGGATTATAAAAGGGCTTGACAGAGGGAATTCATCTCTTTTTGCTCTTCCACATTCCTTCATGTGAGGACAGTGTTCCTCCCTTGTGGAGGATGCAGTGTTCCAGGCACCATCTCAGAAGCAGAGATTGGACCTTCACCACACAATAAACCTGCTGCTGCCTTGACTTTGAACTTACCAGCCTCCAGAACTGTGAGGGATACATTTTAGCTCTTTATAAATTACTTAGTCTGTGGTATTCTGTCACAGTAGCATAAAATGGACTAAGACATAGTGGCCTAAAATAATAATATTTATTGTTGTGCATAATTCTGTAGGTTGGCTTTACGGTTCCTCTGGTCTCAGGTTGGTTTGTTTGTTTTTTTGAGATGGAGTCTCCCTCTGTCACCCAGGCCGGAGTGCAGTGGCGTGGTCTCGGCTCACTGCAACCTCCGCCTCCCAAGCTCAGGTGATTCTTGTTCCTCAGGCTCCCTAGTAGCTGGGACTACAGGTGCCTGCCACCACACCTGACTAATTTTTTGTTTTTGTTTTTTTGATACAGAGTCTCATTCTGTCACCCAGGCTGGAGTGCAGTGGTGCAATCTCAGCTCACTGCAACCTCCGCCTCCAAGGTTCAGGCGATTCTGGTAATTTTTGTATTTTTTAGTAGAGACGGGGTTTTGCCATGTTGGCCAGGCTGGTCTGGAACTCCTGGCCTCAAGTGATCCTCCTTCTTCAGCTTCCCAAAGTGCTGGGATCACAGGTGTGAGCTACCACACCCAGCTGTCAGGTTTCTTATTTATGTGTCTCAGCTGCAGGTCAGGCAGATGGCTCTGCTGATCTTGGTTGGGCTCCTTCACACATCTGAGGGTCAGCTACTCTGGATGTGCTCTGCTAGGCTGACTCAGATCTCCTCCACATTCCTCTCCCATTCCTCATCCTTCCAGCAGACTAGCTGGTGTGCTCTCATGACAGTGGCAGGAGGCCAAGAAAAAACAAGCCCAATTGTGTGGGAAGGCAAGAGGAAGCTCCCATGTGCTTTTCAAACCTCTGCTAACATCTTATTGGCCAAAGCAAGTCACATGGTGAGCCAGAGACAAAGTGGGAGGGACTTACAAAATTACAGGAAGAAAGAAGGCTATTGAATTGGGGGCCATTAAGGCGATGAGCTTGCCATAAGGGCTAAATATACACAGGCATTGTTCTTGAGTGTTGAGTGTACAGTGGTAAACAAGCCTTTAACACCTGAAGTGCAGTGGAGAAGAGCAATACATAAATAACTAAGCAAAATTAGGAAGTTGATTCCATGAACTTGTGGACCAAGTGATTGGTGCACAGATGAGAGTAACAAGTGAGGCTGGGCCGGGTAGCTCACGCCTGTATTCCCAGCACTTTGGGAGGCCAAGGCGGTGGATCACATGAGGTCAGGATTTGCAGACCAGCCTGGCCAACATGGTGAAACCCCGTCTCTACTACAAATAGAAAAATTAGCTGGGCATAGTGGTGGGTGCCTGTAATCCCAGCTACTAGGGAGGCTTAGGCAGGAGAATCACTTTAACCCAGGAGGCGGAGGTTGCAGTGAGCCAAGATTGTGCCACTGCACTCCAGCCTGGTCGACAGAGTGAGACTGTGCCTCAAAAAAAAAAAAAAAAAAAAAAAAAGGGAGCAACAAGGGAGACTTACTTTAGATTGCCGAAGACGTGAAGGATGAGAAGGAGCCAGCAATGTAAAGTCGGGGACAGAGAGCACTGGACAGAGGGCAAAGCCAGTGCAGAGGCTCTGAGATGGGAAAGAGGCTCTGAGCCTGGCCAGAGTACCATGAATGAGGAAAGTGAAGGCATAAAATAAGACTGGAGAAGTAACAGGGACCAGCAGTAAGGCGTTTGGATTGTATTCCTTATGTGATGGGTGGGAATCCACTGGGAAGTTCTAATGGGAGAGGCAAGTGACACCATCTGATGTGTGCTCTGGCTGTTGTACAGAAGATGGATGAAGGCTGGGTGTGGTGGCTCATACTTGTAATCCTAGCACTTTGGAAGGCCAAGGTTGGAGGATCGCTTGAGCCCAGGAGTTCGAGATCAGCCTGGGCAACATAGTGAGACCCTGCTTCTACAAAGAATTTAAAACCTAGCCAGGCATGGTGGCTTGTGCCTGTAGTGCCACTACTTGGGAGGCTGAGACAGGAGGAATGCTTGAGCCAGGAGTTTGAGGCTATAGTGAGCTATGATTGCACCAGCCTAGGCAACAGAGTGTGACCACATCTCTAAAAAAAATTAAAGATTAAAAAAAGAGCCAGGCGTGGTGGCTCATGCCTGTAATCCCAGCACTTGGGGAGGCCGAAGTGGGTGGATCACTTAAGGTCAGGAGTTCGAGACCATCCTGGTGAAACCAACATGGTGAAACCCCATCTCTACTAAAAATAGAAAAATACAATCCCAGCTACTTGGGAGGCTGAGGCAGAAGAACTGCTTGAACCCAGGAGGCAGAAGTTGTAGTGAGCCGAGATCGCGCCATTGCAATCCAGCCTGGGCAACAAGAGCAAAACTTAGTCTCAAGAGGAAAAAAAAAAAAAGGAAATGGAGGAATGTTAGGAAGATGATAGCAAAAGCAGAGATCCATATTAGGAGGATTCTGTGAGTAATGGGGAGAAGAAGAGGAGACAGTTTTGTTCCATGTGTGGAGGTGGAACTGGCAGACATTGCTGAGGCTTTGCATGTGAAGGGCAAGGGAGAGGAGGTATCAAGTCTGACTACTTGAGCAACTGGATGAATAGAGGTGTGTCACTCCCTAAAATGGAGAAGATGGTGGAGGACAGATTAGAGGAGGGGAGATCAAGAGTTCATCTTAAGGGCAGGTGCAGTAGCTCACACCTGTAATCCTAGCACTTTGGGAGACCTAGGTGGGTGGATGGCTTGAGCCCAGAAATTTGAGACCAGCCTGGGCAACCTGATGAAACCCTGTCTCTACAAAAAATATAAAAACTAGCCAGGAGTGGTGGCATGCAGCTGTGGTCCCAGCTACTTGGGAGGTTGTGGTGGGAGGATTGCTTGAGCCTGGGAGGCAGAGATTGCAGTGCACTGAGATTTTGCCAATGCACTCCAGCCTGGATGACAGAGTGAGACCCTGCCTCAAAAAAAAAAAAAAAAAAAAAGAGTTCAGCTTAGAATATGTTAAGTTTGAGATGCCAGAGAGATAACCAGGCATTGGATCTAGGGGGGTCTGGAACTACCTTCCCCGTCCATGTCATTTGACGTTGGGTCTTGCAAAGAAGGAAACTAGTTGGGTGGGGCAGAATTCATGACATAATGGATTGGTGGGGGTAGTCCAGCAAGGTAAGGGCTTGAAAACGTCTTGATGAGCTGTTAGTCTTGATAGGTAAACTGTTTAGTTAGTTTACAAACTTCTCTTTCAGGAGCAGATATTTCCTGGAGCAAGCAGGCAAATTATTTTTGTTTGGTCTTAAGTGTTATTTAACACAGGGAGAAGAAAGTTTGTTCATTTCAGTTCTTTTTTTTTTTTTTTTTTTTTTTTTGAGACAGAGTCTCGCTCTGTTGCCCAGGCTAGAGTGCAATGGCGTGATCTCGGCTCACTGCAACCTCTGCCTCTGGGGTTCAAGCAATTCTCATGCCTCAGCCTCCTGAGTAGCTGGGATTACAGGTGCGCACCACCACGTCTGGCTAATTTTTGTATTTTTTTTTTTTTTAATAGAAATGGGGTTTCGCCATGTTGGCCAGGCTGGTCTTGAACTCCTGACCTCAAGCGACCCACCCACCTTGGCCTCCCAAAGTGCTGGGATTACAGGCCTGAGCCAACGTGCCCGGCCTCATTTCAGTTCCAAGCTTCATTAACTAAGTGTTCTCAGGCAAGAATCTTTCCTTCAGGCAAGCACCCTTTAATAATAAAAATAATGATTATACAGTGCTTACTCTATGTCCAACAGCTCTGAGCACTTTATGGGCATTATCTCATTTAATTCACACAACAACTCCGTGAGATGAGTACTATTATGTGCCCAATGTCATAGATGTGCCTAAGCACAGACAGGTTAAGTAATCCACTCAAGGTCACACAACTAGTAAGTGGGAAATCTGGGCCCCTACATCCAAACTCTGAATCCCTCCCTCCCTCACTTAGCTGCTTAACTTCTCATTTTCTCCTTATATTGAAGGGGTTGGCCCAGAGGATAAGGGATGTTGGGGAAAAGCTTTTCCTCTATCCTCTTAAGTTCAAGTACTGGATATTTGCAAATTGAAGTGACAAAAGACAGATTTGCAAATTTGTTTATGCATGCAATGCCCATATGCACAGGAGTGCTCTGTGATGCACAGCTCAAAGGGCTGGTTAAAATTTGTGGCTTATACACTGTAGTAGGAGAAGTTGAAGGGGCAAGACAAGGCTCCTATGGGAAGAATGCATAGGTTTCTTTATGAAACACAAGTGAGTTTTTAGGAAAACAAACTGGAGATAAAGTTTGTGATAACATTTGCTTATGCAGGGGCCTGTGGTCTTTCTATTATATCTTCATAGCCATGAAACTCCCCTGGAGAGGGAATCTGAAGTAGGTTTACTCTTGGTCTCTTTCCTGGTAGCTTCTGGAAGAAGAAATACATAGCAGTCTTCATTTCTCAAAGGTTTCTGCTTTTCTTATAAAAATTAGCCTGCACTTGGCTGGGCATGGTGAATCACTCCTGTAATCCCAGCACTTGGCAGGCCGAGGCAGGTGGATCACTTGAGGCCAGGAGTTTGAGACCAGCCTGACCAACATGGCAAAATTCCATCTCTACTAAAAATACCAAAAATGAGATGGGTGTGGTGGTGGGCGCCTATAATCCCAGCTGCTCGGGAGGCTGAGGCAGGAGAATCGCTTGATCCTGGGAGGCAGAGGTTGCAGTGAGCCGAGATCACACCACTGCACTCCAGCCTGGGTGATGGAGTGAGACTCTCTCTCAAATAAACAAACAAACAAAAATTAGTCTGCACCTGTACCTCTGGCTATTGGGGGTGGAGGTGGGGTGCCGAAGTGGGAGGATGGCTTGAGCCTAGGAAGTCGAGACTGCAATGAGCAATGATTGTGCCACTGCACTCTAGCCTGGATGATGGCAAGACCCTGTCTCAAAAAAAAAAAAAAGTTTCTTCTGCTTTTAGTCAGATTTAGGAAGCTCTGAGAAGGCTTCTTTCTGCATCTGTTGAATCTCAAATGTCTTCAGCCTAAAATAATCTTTATACACCAAATCAGGGATTCTGAGTGGTTCCCCACAGGGCTTATCCAGTTCCATCATACTTTGGCTCATTGTGAAATGGCAAAGGGGGCAAAAGCAGCCTGAGGGGAAGGGAAAGATTTATATTTATAGTGCATACATTAGACGCCTGGCAGCAGTTTTCACTTCATCTCATTCCATCCTCCCAATACCTCCATAAGCAAATATTAGTGAATCCCCATTTATCAGATTAGGAGACCAAGGCTCAAGTGCAAAAAATTTACCCAGGGTGCCCAACCTGTACCTGAGGTTGCCAGGATTGAGAACAGGTCTGCGTGGCCTCAGAGCAGGGCTGATCCCAGAACAGTGAATGCAGAGGGCAGGAATGGCCAGTCAGTTGGGAAGCAAGACTGGGGCCAGACTTTGGAGATCAGAGGCTGAGACCATATTAGAAAAGTACCTGGCAATTCCACCTAGGATGGCTTTGGAGAGCTAGAGAAATACTGGTGCTAGCCCTCCCCATCTCTCTATCCCCCAGGGCCATTTGTGGTCTGAGATAATGAAAGTTTCCAGCCAGTTAGTCGAGGTGGCTCATGTCTGTATTCCCAGCATTTTGGGAGGCTGAGGTGGGAGGACTGCTTGAGCTCAGGAGTTTGAGACCAGCTTGGGCAACATAGGGAGACCCCATCTCTACAAAAAAAATTTTAAAAATTAGCCAGGCATGGTAGTAGCATGCCTGTAGTCCCAGCTATTCTAGAGGCTGAGGCAGGAGGACTGCTTGAGACCAGGAGGTTGAGACTGCAATGAGCCATGTTCGCACCACTGGTGACAGAGCCAGACCCTGGCTCAAAAAATAAAATAATAATGGATGTTAGTCACAGGATGGAGAAGATAGCTGGAGTGGGGGAAGGGAGTGCCTCCAGGCTATGGAAGCCCTCAGGCCCATCTTTCCTCTCTCCAAGTGGACTCTGGGTCTGTCTTCCCCAGCCATCCTCCCAGAGCCTCCACCACACCTTTGGTACTTAGGGGAGTACACAAGAGGCTTTGATTTCTGTACCCTTGCTGACCAAAGGCAGAGTGCAAGTGCTATTTCTTTCCACCTGACTTGCACAAAGTTTCTCCCCTCCTTTTTCCTGAGAATTGAGAAAGTTAAAATAAGCAAGGAATGAGAAATCTGAAACATTCCAGGCCATTCATCTGGCTGGGATAACAAAGATAAAGTCAGCTACAAAGTTAAACAGGAAACACAATCTGTCCCAAGGATAAACTGCCATCCCAAAGTAGCATAAGGAAAACTTTTTTTTACTCTTGACAATCTCAGAAATCTTGTTCTCTAAAGTCATAGGCTTTCAGAAACTTTGCTGGCTGAAATTATTGTTATTATTTATTTATTTAGAGACAGGGTCTCAGTCTGTCACCCAAGCTGGAATGCAATGGTGCGATCACGGTTCACTGCAGCCTCGGCCTCACGGGTTCAAGTGATTCTTCCACAACATCGCCAGTAGTTGAGACTATAGGCATGCATCACCATGCCCAGCTGGTTTATTTTTAATTTTTGTGTTTTTTTTTTTTGTAGAGAAAGGGTCTCACTCTGCTGCCTAGGCTGGTCTTGTACTCCTGGGCTCAAGGAATCCTCCCACCTCGGCCTCCCAAACTGTTGAGATTACAGGCGTAAGCCACCTCCCCTTGCCTTGCTGTTTGAAATTATATCAGCAAAAATGAAACATCCCACTCTTGCCTGGAGCGTCTTACTTTGACACAGAAACAGCTTTGATTTACAACCCAGGTGTGTAACTTTAGATACGGGATTTGTGGACGCTATTCCACATCTATCTTAACTTTGCTGTTTCCAAGGAAATGCGACCTTGGGTGGACTTTGTAGTTTAGCTTTGTCTTTACACACAGCTAGATTTGAGCTTTCAAAACACTGTTTCAGGTAAATTTATCCTAAACTCCACCCTCTCCCTCCCTTTTGTAGTTTGGTGAGACACCCCCATGGTTCGTCTGCTGTGGAGGCTCCCCCGTTGCAACCAGCAAAACAAACCCTGACTTTGGCAGACTACAGGCTTGTCCCTGGTGATCGTGAGCTGCTTGGGCTAGGACGGAACCCTCACAAAACATGCCCCTCCTTTCTTCATCCTTGACTTTATCTCCCAAGGCCCAGGACAAAGACGTAGATTGCTGGGTCACGCTGTTCCTTGGACGGGCAAAGGGGGGAACACAGGGCACTGTATTCTTCTGGAGAATACTTGTTTTCTTCTTCTGTTTTGTGTGTGTGTGTGTGTTGTTTTTGTTTTTTTTTTCTGAGACAGGGTCTCAAGGTAGGAGTGCAGTGGCCTGATCATAGCTCACTGCAACCTCAAGCTCCTGGGATCAAGCAATCTTCCTGCCTTGAGCCTCCCGAGTAGAGAGTAGTTAGGACTATAGGCACGTGCCACCACTCCTGGCTAAATTTTTTAAATGTTTTTGTAGAGAAGGAGGCGGTTCTCACTATGTTGCTAGCTGGTCTTGAACTCCTGGCCTCAAGTCATCCTTCTGTCTTGGCCTCCCAAAGTGTTGGGATTGTAAGTGTGAGCCACTGTCCCTGGCCAGTTGGTGATTTATTTGTATAACTGTCCAATTTATTGAATACGTATGGCGTGCCAAGCACTGGGCTGAGGGCTTCATAATGCCCTTTCACTCAATGCTTAGCACAACCCATGAAGAAGGTAGTGTTAATATCATCCCTGTTTTACAGATGTAGAAACTGAGGCACAGGCTAAATAACTTGCCCAACAAGCTCGTGCAGTTTAGTAAGCAGCTCAGCTGGGATGTGAACACAAACTTTGAATACAGAGCTCTTAACCAGTAGGCCAGAGGTTCCCAAACACCTAGTATATTTACTACCTTAGTACTTTCCTGCCACATCTCCTAGGCCAAAACAACTCCATTGATTGTTATGCAATTTACTAAGTGTAGCCATTTGAAAAAAAAATACATATAAAAGAAAAATATTTTTATTCAGTTTTCAAAATAACCCATATATAGTCATGGAATGTATGTGTTGGTTGGGCACTGCAGACTAAAGACAGTTTAGGGCCGGGCACGGTGGCTCAGGCCTGTAATCCTAGCACTTTGGGAGGCCAAGTAGAGAGAAGGGCTTGAGCCCAAGAGTTGGAGACCGGCCTGGGCAACATAGCAAGACCCAGTCTCTACAGAAAATAAAATTATCAGGGTGTGAGGACGCACACCTGCAGTCTTAGCTGCTTGGGAGGCTGAGGCTGGAGGATCAGCCTGGGCAACAGAGTGAGACCCTGTCTCAGAAAAAAAAAAAAAAAAAGACAGACTTTTATTCAGATATGCATGCAGGAGTTCACAGAAAAAAAAAGTGAGTCCAGGAGGCTGTTATTTGGCATTTATACAACTTTTTTTTTCTTGAATCTCGAAATCTACTTTATATATACCATTTAATAGGGGAAGAGGAGGGAGAAAAAGCCTTCCATGGGAAGAACAAATAGGTTTCTGGGGGAACAAAAGGGAGATAAGAATGTTTGTTTTTGCAGGTGCAAGTGGTCTTTGTCTTTTTTTCTGGCCACTAAAACTCCCCTAGAGAGGAGATTTACGGCAGCTTCACTCCCAGAAATTTCTGCTGTTAGTCGCATAAGGGAAGCTTTGAAACGGCATCTTTCTGCATCTGTTGGCTCTCAAATGTCTTCAGTTCCAAGTAACATTCATGCCAATTCTGGGGGTCTGAGTGTCCCCACATAATACATGTGTTCTCTTGTCTTTTAATGAAGTTTGTGGGAGGCATCTAACTGTAGCCTCCAAAATTTGGCCCATAGGTACTACTGTCCTTATCAAAGACGAGGAAACAAGTTCAGAAAAGTATTAATTGCTCCGAGTTATCTGCTTGGCTAGCTAGGATCAGAGCTCAGTTCTCCATTTAACCCAAAGCCCAGGCTCTTAACCTCTTACAACTGGCGCATCCCCTCTGAACCTCCATTTCCTCCCTGTAAAAGAATAACATCGGCCGGGCGCAGTGGCTCACATCTATAATCCCAGCACTTTGGGAGGCAGAGATGGGCGGATCACGAGGTCAGGAGTTTGAGACCAGCCTGGCCAACATGGTGAAACCCCATCTCTACTAAAAATACAAAACTTAGCTGGGTGTGTTGGTGCCTGTAACCCCAGCTACTCAGGAGACTGAGGCAGGAGAATTGCCTTAACCTGGGAGGCGGAGGTTGTGGTGAGCCAAGATCGTGCCATTGCACTCCAGCCTCGGTGACAGAGCAAGACTCCATCCCCAAAAAAACAAACAACAACAACAAAAAGAGAATAACGTTATATTCAGTTGAACCAAAATGAATTAAATATTAATATTTGTACTTCAAAAACGGTCCAGCTTGGCTGGGCGCAGTGGCTCCCGCCTGTAATCCCAACATTTTGGGAGGCCGAGGCAGGAGGATCATTTGAGGTCAGGAGTTTGAGACCAGCCTGGCCAACATGGTGAAATCCTGTCTCTACTAAAAATACAAAAATTAGCTGGGCAGTAGTAGCGCGTGCCGGTAATCCCAGCTATTCAGGAGGCTGAGGAAGGAGAATTGCTTGAGCTTGGGAGGTGAAAGTTGTGGTGAGCTGAGACTGCACTACTGCACACCAGTCTGGGAGACAGAGTAAGACCCTGTCTCAAAACAAAACAACCAAAAAACCAAAAAGGTCCAGCTTGGGCAACATAGTGAAACTTCGTCTCTACAGAAAATTTTTAAAATACTAGCAGGGCACCGGGCACAGTGGCTCATACCTGTAATCCCAGCACTTTGGGAGGCTGAGGCAGGCGGGTCACTTGTGGTCAGGAGTTTGGGATCAGGCAGGCCAACATGGTGAAACCGTGTCTCTACTAAAAAACAAAAATTAGCTGGGCATGGTGGTAGGCACCAGTAATCCTAGCACTCAGGAGGCTGAGGCATGAGAATTGCCTGAACCCGCAAAGCAGGGGTTGCAGTGAACCAAGATGGCGTCACTGTACTCCAGCCTGGGTGACAGAATAAGACTCCTCAATTAAAAAAAAAAAAAATTAGCTGGGCATGGTGTTGCGGGCCTGTGGTCCCAGGTACTCAGGAGGCTGAGGTGAGAGGATTACTTAAGCCTGGGAGGTTGAGGCTACAGTAAGCCAAGATCACGCCACTATACTCCAGCCTCTGTGACAGAGCCAGACCCTGTCTCAAAAAAATTTTAAAAAGGGCAAATTTTGGCAATTTCACATAGTTCAACCTAGTATAAGGTGGTTGTAATAACTAAATGAGATAAAATGGTGTTAAATTGGAAGTATTATAGTATTTCTGTTAACAACATAGGGCTCCAGAACCAGCTTCCTTGAGTTTAAATCCAGGCTCCACCACTTCCTAGCTATGCAGTCATGGGCAAGTTACTTGACCCAACTGTGCCTCAGCTTCATCCATGATATGGAGATACAGGATAACCAGCCTCTTACGTGCAATTCTGAAATCCAAAAAGCTCTGTAAACCAAAAGTTTGGGGGTAAACTCATTTGGTAGCAAATTTTGACCTGAGGCTATTTATAGTCTATATTCTGTATTCTTTCTACTTAGTATGAATAAGCATGTAAGTTTTACTGCATGTTTGATTTCAGCATGTTCCCCCAGACTCTCTGGGGGTGTTTACGTATGCCGGTGGGGGAAAGAGACCAACTCTCAAATATTATCTCAAACAGTTGGTTTCACTGTGCTTGCTTGGGTAGCACATATACCAAAATTGGAATGACCCCTGCACAGGGATGAAATGCAAATTCGTGAAGCATACTGTATTTTTCTTAGCACATACCACCTTTGGCAATATTCTTTTTTTTTTTTTGAGAGGGAGTCTTGCTCTGTCGCCCAGGCTGGAGTGCAGAGGCGCGATCTCGGCTCACTGCAAGCTCCGCCTCCCGGGTTCACACCATTCTCCTACCTCAGCCTCCCCAGTAGCTGGGACTACAGGCGTGTGCTACCACGCCAGGCTAATTTTTTGTATTTTTAGTAGAGGCGGGGTTTCACTGTGTTAGCCAGGATGGTCTCGATCTCCTGACCTCGTGATCCGCCCACCTCCGCCCCCCCCCCGAAGTGCCGAGTGCTGGGACTACAGGCGTGAGCCACTGCGCCCGGCCCCCGCCTTTTTTTTTTAGATTGATTTTATTACTTGCCTAGCAAAGGAGAACCTTCTGGCAGAACAGTCTCCAAGAACAAGGCAAACAACTAATTTTACATAGGTTTTTACCAATGTACAGCTGTTGATTGTGACTGGTTTCCGGCAATCTGGATTTCACAATCTGGATAAGGGGACAAACAATTGTCTGTCTTCCACTATCTTTCTTGAATTTGAATAGAACCTTTTTATTCTCATAGCCTCTTAGCTTTCTTTCTTTTTTTTTTGAGACGGAGTTTCGCTCTTGTCGCCCAGGCTGGAGTGCAGTGGCGCGACCTTGGCTCACTGCAAACGCTGCCTCCCAGGTTCAAGTTATTCTCCTGCCTCAGCCTCCCAAGTAGCTGGGATTACAGGCGCATGCCACCACGCCCGGCTAATTTTTGGATTTTTAGTAGAGACGGGGGTTTCACCATGTTGACTAGGCTGGTCTTCAACGCCTGACCTCAGGTGATCCGCCCGCCTCGGCATCCCAAAGTGCTGGGATTACAGGCGTGAGCCACTGCGCCCGGCCTCTCATAGTCTCTTAGCTTTCTAAAATTTGAAAAATCCTGTAAAGACACACCTGGGTCAAAGGGCTCAGATAACGGACTGTGGCCCTTAAGTACTTACGTCACAGGTTATTGAGAGGATCGATTTAGTTACCAGATGTAAAATGCTGGGATCAGTGCCTGGCAAAGGAAAACTTTGTACAGCTGCAGGCTTTCACCATACACAACAGCATCGCTAACGAATGCTATTACAATATTCATTTAGCGTTTACCAAGTGCCTACTCTATACAAATCTTGAGAATACAACGTGAAGGTGAACTGCTGACTAAAGTTTGGTCCCTTTCGCTCCGTCTCCTTGCGAAAATGCTCTAACGGCAGGAGGTCACGCGAGCGCTGGACGCGTTTCTCCCCGCGAGCCCCTTTCCGAGGCCTTTCGGGTCCCCCCGGTTATCCCCGCCCGGGCGGTGCGCGCCCCCGCTGTTCCCGCTTCCGCTCCAGAGAGGCAGGGCTTTCCGAGCCTGCTAGCCCCGCGGCCGCAACTAACCCCGGGTCGGAGTGTTCCGGCCCGGCCAGCCCCGCGGCGTGAGGGAAGGGGAGCTCAGCAGTTCCCCGCGCGGGGCCCAGGCGTCGGCGGCAGGGCGGGCCCCTCACCGCCAGCGTGCCAGCCCCGCCCCTACCCACCAGTGTGCCAGCCCCGCCCTTCCCCACGTCGCCGCGCGCCCGGGGGCGGGGCCTGGCGCGCACCGCCCGCGCACGGCGAGGCGCCTGTTGATTGGCCACTGGGGCCCGGGTTCCTCCGGCGGAGCGCGCCTCCCCCCAGATTTCCCGCCAGCAGGAGCCGCGCGGTAGATGCGGTGCTTTTAGGAGCTCCGTCCGACAGAACGGTTGGGCCTTGCCGGCTGTCGGTATGTCGCGACAGAGCACCCTGTACAGCTTCTTCCCCAAGTCTCCGGCGCTGAGTGATGCCAACAAGGCCTCGGCCAGGGCCTCACGCGAAGGCGGCCGTGCCGCCGCTGCCCCCGGGGCCTCTCCTTCCCCAGGCGGGGATGCGGCCTGGAGCGAGGCTGGGCCTGGGCCCAGGCCCTTGGCGCGCTCCGCGTCACCGCCCAAGGCGAAGAACCTCAACGGAGGGCTGCGGAGATCGGTAGCGCCTGCTGCCCCCACCAGGTAGCGGGGTGGGGGTGGGGTCGAAGGCGGGGGCATAGCGGCGGGGCGCTTGGAACCCGGCGAGGGGAGGCTCGCACAGGGGGTTGGGGGGGTGCACGGCCTGGCCCTGGGCTCGGAGGAGGCGGGGCCGCAGAGTTGGCTTGAATGAGTGCAGGGGTCGAGTCTGGAGCATTTGGGGGTGTAGCTTGTAAACAGGGTCGGAGGAGAGAGGCTGTGCAGGAAGAGGGCTGCAGGGGAGACGCGGAGAGTTCGGGCCTTTTGGAGGGAGGAGACGCGTCCCGCCAGGTGGGGGTGCTGGGCTAAGGAAGGGGCGACGCGCGCAGCTCCGGGTGGGGAGGGGGCCTGGGAGGTGGGAGCACTGGGGGTGGGGCGAGAAGGGGAAGGCGCCCGGCCCACTTGGTGGGCGGGGCGGGGGGCGGGGTGGCGGGAAGGAGGAATGCCTGCGGGAGGCCGAACGGGGAGAGTCCGGTGGTGTGGGGTGCGAAAGGAGGTTCCTCGGCCGGCGCGGAGATAGTGAGTTGGGGCTCCAGTAGTCGATCGAGGTAGACACTTAGAGGTAGTTAAGAGCCGCGGTCGCCGAGACGCCTTGGGGACGGTGGGCCTTCGGCCTAGGTGAGGGGCCGCCGAGGGGGTGGGCCACGAGCTGCGAGCGCGGGGGGGTGTGTCACCATGGGGACCGCGGGGCCTAATTGGGCGGGGCGGGGCCGTGGGGAGCCGAAGTGCTGGGATCCGGCTGGGTCCTTCGGTAGGTAGGCTGCACGTGCACCGAGACGAAGATAGAATATTTTGACGTATGTGGAAATTCGTGTCGAGTGGAAAATATTTTATTTTATGAAATAGTGTAATTTTTATGGGGCACCACTGGGCTTTTAGAGGCCTTAATCGGGCGCTGGACAAAGATGTGTGGACGTGAGTGACTCCGGGGAAGCCTGTCGGGAGTTGTCCTCACTTTATGGGCAGTTAAGTGCTTTTTTTTTTTTTTCCTTTTTGAGAGAGAGTTTCGCTCAAGTCCAGGCTGGAGTGCAATGGCGCGATCTCAGCTCACCGCAATCTCCGCGTCCCGGCTTCAAGCGATTCCCCAGCTTCAGCCTCCCGAGTAGTCGGGATTACAGGAATGCGCCCCCACACCCCGCCAATTTTGTATTTTTAGTAGAGACGGGGTTTCTCCATGTTGGTCAGGCTAGTCTCGGAATTCCCGACCTCAGGTGATCCACCCGCCTCGGCCTCAAAGTGCTGGGATTACAGGCGCTAGCCACCGCGCCCGGTCTGTTTAGGGCTTTTTATCCGGGCAGCTGGCGACATTTTGAAAAGCTTGCTTTTGCTGTTTGCCAGATACATATATATGTATTTTGAGACAGAGTCTTGCTCTTTTGTCCAGGCTAGAGTGCAGTGGCGCGTTCTTGGCTCACCACAACCTCTGTCTCTGGATCAAGAGATTATCCTGCCTCAGCCTCCCAAGTAGCTGGGACTACAGGTGCGCCCCACCACGCCTGGCTAATTTTTGTATTTTTAGTAGAGACGGGTTTCACTATGTTGGCCAGGCTGGTATCGAACTCCTGACCTCTTGATCGGCCCGCATTGGCCTACCAAAGTGCTGGGATTACAGGCATGAACCACCGAGCCCGGCCGTTTGTCAGATACTAAACACAAAGTTTAATGGTCGCTATTTGAACAAACGAAGAAATAAAGGCTCAGAAAAAATAACTCATTCAAGATAAGAGCCAGTTCGTGTTTTTTGTTTGGTTTTGTTTTGAAATGGAGTCTCGCTCTGTCGCCCAGGCTGGAGTGCTGTGGCGCTTTCTCGGCTCACTGCAACCTCTGCCCGCCGGGTTCAAGTGATTCTCCTGCCTCAGCTTCCCGAGTAGCTGGGATTACGGGTGTGCCCACCGCGGTCCGGCTGATTTTTCACCATGGAGTTTCACCATGTTGGCCAGGCTGGTCTTGAAACTGCTGACCTCAAGTGGTCCACCCACTTCAGCCTCCCAAAGTGCTGGGATTACAGGTGTGAGCCACCGTGCCCGGCCGCTAGTTAGTGGTTTTGAGTAATGGATTTCAAATCCATTTAAATCCAGTTTAAAGTGTCCTAAAGGAATTCTGAGATTTTTCTAAGTGTAATTATAGTGTTACCCTTGTTTAAGCGACCCTTTCCCGCAGTTTAAATATATATAGTTGTGCATTAGTAGAATATGCTTGTGGGGAACAGAGCCAGCATCCGCAATAACAAACTCCTGGTTAGAAAAGCATGACGTATTGTTTACTTGAGCATGAATTGATTGTTGAATCCAAACCAAACGGGTGTATTTATTGTAAGGATGTACTTTACATTCATATTGAATAGCGTATGTTATTTGTTTCTTGAGGTTGAGTTTAAGAGACTTGTAAAAATAAAACGTATACATTTCACCTCCCGTTATGGAGAGGATTCCAGGGTATTCAAGAAAGATGGGCATTTGATACTAGGTTTCTAAAGAAACTGCAGTGTCTAGATCACTCTGCCGAGCACAGCATTAGGCATTATGGATCCTGGATACAACCATGAACAGGACAAAGCAAAGAGGCAATTGTAGACTCCAAGTGGAAAGGGGACGGAGAGGATGCGGGTCAGGCTAGGCTCTCAGCTCTGTAAACCGAAACCAGAAGGACAAATAAGCTTAGACAGATTATAGTGAGAGTGGGAAGCTGGTTCAGGAAGAGGAAGGTCTGCAAATTGTGGGTAGGATGAAAGGAGGAGGAGGGAGCATTGGAGAAGTTAAGCAGAGATCCAATCATGAACAGTCTGATGAGCTACAGAGACATTCGGACTTACTCCATGAATCATTTAAGCCTTAAAACATGTTGAGCGTATTTTTTTTTTTTTTGAGACGGAATTTCACTCTTGTTGCCCAAGCTGGAGTGCAGTGGTGTGGTCTCAGCTCACTGCAACCTCCGCCTCCTGGGTTCCAGCGATTCTCCTGCCTCATCCTCTCAAGTACCTGGTATTACAGGTGCCTGCCACCACGCCCAGCTAATTTTTGTGTTTATAGTAGAGACGGGTTTCACCATGTTGGTCAGGCCAGTCGTGAACTCCTGACCTCAGGTGATCCACCCACCTCAGCCTCCCAAAGTGTTGGGATTACAGGCGTGAACCACCGCACCTGGCCGTGAGCCACCGTGTCTGTCCGAGCATCTTTTAATGTTTGTCATTTAGATTTCTTCTTGTGCTGAAGTGTTTGTCTTTTGCTGTTTCTTTTTTTTTTCCTAGTTCTTTGTCATTTGTGTGTGATATAAATGTCTTCTTTCACAATGAGTTCTTTCATTTAGTTTATGGCTTTGTTGTTGTTGTTGAATAATAGAGGTCTCACTTTGTTGCCCAGGCTGGTGTTGAACTCTTGCTCTCAAGCGATCCTCCCACTTCAGCCTCCCAACCTGTTGGGATTACAAGTGTGAGCCACCACACCCAGCCTTATGGCATCTTTCGATGAACAAATTATTGATTATAATGTGGAATTTGTCCTTTTATTTTCTCTGTGGTTAGTGTTTCTATAGGTTTTATTTAAGAAATCCACAGGGAGGCTGGGTGCAGTGGCTCATGCCTGTAAACCCAACACTTTGGGAGGCCAAGGCAGGCCAACATGGCTAGACCCTGTCTCTCCAAAAAATAAGAAAATTAGCCAGGCATGGTGGCGTGTGCCTGTAGTCCCAGCTTCTTGGGAGACTGAGATGGGAGGATCGCTTGAGTCCAGGAGGTTGAGGCTGCAGTAAGCCAAGAGATCATGCCATGCACTCCAGCCTGGGTGGCAGAGTCAGACCCTGTCTGCCAAAAAATAAAATAAAAGTTGGTGAAAATGTTGATTATATATTTTAGGAACAACTAGTAATTGACATCAAAATTATGGGCTAAAGAGAAAGCAAAAATAATGTGATTTTAAACCAGAATTCAAAAGATCTGTTTAGCGTATGTTTAGACAAAGCCATTACTTATTATATCAAAGTTTTAACATTTATTTTGTGAGCTGTCAGCTTTTCCTCTTAACATTTTTCCCCACCGTCTTAAAAAACCCCAAGAATACCGGACATTTAAGACTCACTTAAAGCTTTAAAAGCACTTGCAAAATCCTAAAATCATAATTTAAGGTGTTTTTGGAGGGCAGGAGCAATGGTGGCAGGCAGTGTTTTGCTTTGTTGCCCAGGCTGAAGTACAGTGGCAGATCTCGGTTCACTGCACCCTCGACCTATTCGGCTCAAGTGATCCTCCCACCTCAGCTTTCTGAGTAGCTGGGACCCCAAGTGCACACCACCCCATGCCTGGCTAATTTTTAAATTTTTTTGTAGAAACAAGGTCTCACTGTGTAGCCCAGATGGTCTCGAATTCCTGGGCTCTTAAGAGATCCTCCCAAAGTGCTGGGATCATAGGTGTGAGCCACCACACCTGGCCTATTTTGGCATTCTTGAAAACCGCAGGATTACCACGGATAAAATTTTAAAATTACCTTTAAAGAATTCAGGTTTACACACAAAAAAAATTTGGTTTGTTAGCAGTGAGTGAAGAAAAATTTTGAGAAATGTTTAAAATTTTTAGTTTTGTTACACAATACATTTTACTACCTGTTTAATTATCTTTTTTGACTCAGAAACCAGTTTCCTGGGTCCAGGATGTTTAGTGGTACTCTTTTTCTTCAAGCTTTTTAGCATTGGAGGAACTGCATATTAGTAAAATTTTTAGTCTTAGCATTTTATAGCTTACTGCTATTTCTTTTCTTTCATTCTTTCTTTCTTTTTTTTTTTTTTTTTTTTTTTTTTGAGATGGAGTCTCGCCCTGTCACCCAGGCTGGAGTGCAGTGGCACGATCTCGGCTTACTGCAACCTCTGCCTTCCAGGTTCAAATGATTCTCCTGCTTCAGCCTCCCGAGTAGCTGGGATTACAGATGCCCGCCACCATGCCCAGCTAATTTTTATTTTTTTAGTAGAGATGGGGTTTCACCATGTTGGCCAGGCCAGTCTCGAACTCCTGACCTCGTGATCAACCCGCCTTGGCCTTTCAAAGTGCTGGGATTACAGGCGTGAGCCACCGTGCCCAGCCTTTTTCTTTTTCTTTTTCTTTTTTTTTTTTTTTTTGAGACGGAGTCTTGCTCTGTTACCCAGGCTGGAGTGTAGTGGCATGATCTGGGCTCACTGCAACCTCCACCTCCCGGGTTCAAGGGAGTCTCCTGCTTCAGCCTCCCGAGTAGCTGGGATTACAGGCGCCTGCCACCATGCCCAGCTAATTTTTGTATTTTTTTAGTAGAGATGGGGTTTCGCCATGTTGGCCAGGCTGGTCTTGAACTCCTGACCTCAGGTGATCTGCCTGCCTCGTCCTCCCAAAATGCTGGGATTATAGGAGTGAGCCACTGCGCCCGGCCCAGCATACTGCTATTTCTTTCTTTCTTTCTTCTTCCTTTTTTTTTTTTTTGTTTTTTTTTTTTTTTTTTTTTTTTTGTGAGACGGAGTCTGTCGTCCAGGCTGGAATGCAGTGGCGTTTTCTTGGCTCACTGCAACCTCTGCTGCCCGGGTTCAAGTGATTCTCCTGCTTCAGGCTCCCAAGTAGCTGGGATTATAGGCCTCTGCCACTGCACTTGGCTAATTTTTGTATTTTTGGTAGAGACGGGGTTTCACCATCTTGGCCAGGCTGGTCTTGAACTCCTGACCTCGTGATCCACCTGCCTTGGCCTCCCAAAGTGCTGGGATTACAGACCTGAGCCACCGCACCCGGCCCATACTGCTATTTCTTAACAGCAGAGAAATTATGTGTCAGATTCTGTAAGTGTAATGGTATATAAAGGATAAAATGATGTTGAAAAACAAAATTTTTTGTTTAAATGCTTATGTTTCTAATATTTTATTTCAGAAAGGAATTTATTTCAAAACTGATAATGGTTGGATCCAGCTTTTCACACAAACTTTTTTTTCCTAGTGAGGATGCACATTTATCCTGTAAACAAATGGAAGACATTATTTTTTTAATTGCTTGCTTAGAAATGAAATAATTCTTTTCTAATGATCTTTTAAAGCATGAGACCTCATACATCATTTAAAACAATTTATACTGTATTTTACACATGACAAAGTTCTAAGGTAACAGCCCTTTTCTAAGACTAAAGTTACAGTCCTCCCTTTGTATCTGAGGGGGATTGGTTGCAGGACCCCCCTGTGAATACCCAAATCCTTGGATGTCCAAGTCCCTTATGAGATGTAGTATTTGCATATAACCTATACACATCTTCCCCTGTACTTTATCTCTAGATTACGTACAATACCTAATAGAATGTAAATGCTTTGAAATTAGTTGTTCAGCTGTATTTTAAATTTTGTATTTTTTTTCCTTTTTTTTTGAGACAGAGTCTTGCTCTGTTGCCCAGGCTGGAGTACAGTACAGTGATCACAGCTCACTGCACCTTTAACCTCCCAGGCTCAAGCTGTCCTGCCTCGGCCTCCCCAAGTGTTGGGATTACAGGTGTGAGCCATCATACCTGGTCACTGTTTTTTATTGGTTTTAAATTTTTGATTTAAAATTTTTAATCTAGGTTGGTTGAATCTGGACTGGAACCCAAGGATATGTTTGTTGAGCATACTGTATTTACTTTGGAATACAACTAGAATGCTTAACTTGTATGTTAAAAATACTTTATTTGGCCAGGCGCGGTGGCTCACGCCTGTAATCCCAGCACTTTGAGAGGCCAAGGCGGGTGAATCATTTGAGGTCAGGAGTTTAAGACGAGCCTGGCCAACATGGCAAAACCCTGACTCTACAAAAAAAAGGTAAAAATAAGCCAGGTGTGATGGCGTGTGCCTGTAGTCTTGGCTATTCAGGAGGCTGAGACACAAGAATCGCTTGAACCGGGGAGGCACGTTACGCCCTCAGTTGTTGACTTGAGTTTTTCCGTAGTTTGTAGGGGGAGGGTAATAGAGTATTAGGTAGCTTTTGGAATACATAGGAGTGTAACTGGAAAAAGATTCCAAGCAAGTCTAATGAATTAGATAATTTACCTAATTAGTAAATTATGTAATCAGTATGCTTTATAATAATATTGTGAGTTAGATCCTGTTTCTGATATGTACATACCATATTGTATAGGTGCTACTAATTTGGAGAGCATATACAGTGAGTCCATGCCTTTTTCCTGCCATCAGCATTATACCAAAATTCTGCCATGGTTTTTAAACTTTGATTCTGAGAAAGTTTCTCACCCTAATAACATAACTATATTTGTGTTTGTCTTCATAGTTAAATATGCATTATGATATCAGCTTGCATACATTTTTTAAATGACTTGAATATCTGACTTTAAAAATTATTCTAGAATTTCTGTGCTTCAATATTAATGCCAGAAGACTTGGAATTGTTTATTTGTAGGTAACTGCCTTTAAGGAAACTTGACCAAATATTAACTAAGTTATGTATTTCCTTTTGGCAACAGTTGTGACTTCTCACCAGGAGATTTGGTTTGGGCCAAGATGGAGGGTTACCCCTGGTGGCCTTGTCTGGTTTACAACCACCCCTTTGATGGAACATTCATCCGCGAGAAAGGGAAATCAGTCCGTGTTCATGTACAGTTTTTTGATGACAGCCCAACAAGGGGCTGGGTTAGCAAAAGGCTTTTAAAGCCATATACAGGTAAGAGTCACTACTGCCATGTGTGTGTGTTTGTGTGTGTGTGTGTGTGTGTGAGAGAAACAGACAGACAGGCAGACTTTTTTCTATATGATGAAATTAAGTGTATTTTACCCCAGTAAATTGCAAGGGGTGGCAGTTGTGAAAGCTTCTGGCATGGGAAAGGGATGTAACATGGTCTTTAGCTGGTTTGTTTTGTGGAATGGAATTTTTATTTCTGTCCTTTGAGTGACTTACAGCAATATTATACCCTTAATAAGGGTAAACTAAACTGTCCCCCCATCTTGAAGGGTCCAAGAGAAAGTTAATGTCATCAGGATACATAGCCTATAGATAGCGACATTCTCTAGGGAAAGATGGAGATGCGCACTACCTGGCCTTCAAACTACTCACTAATGAACACATCTGAGTTGAGTTTCACACCAAACTCCTGGAACCATAACTTTCTTTTCCCAGATCTAGTCTTGTTTATCACAGACATCAACAGCCTGGCATGTTTAGCCTCACTTGGGCTAGGTGCACCCCATCGTCTCTTGTACAAGTTCTCTTTCTTTCTTTTTTTTTTTTTTTTTTCTGGAGACAGAGTCTCACTCTGTTGCCTAGGCTGGAGTGCAGTGGCGCAATCTCGGCCCACTGCAACCTCCGTCTCCTGGGTTCAAGAGTTTCCTACCTCAGCCTCCCGAGTAGCTTGGGATTATAGGCACACGCCACGTTGCCTGGCTATATATATATATTTTTTTTTTGAGACGGAGTTTTGCTCTTTTGGCCCAGGCTGGAGTGCAATGGCGCAATCTCAGCTCACTGCAACCGCCACCTCCCGGGTTCAGGTGATTCTCCTTCCTCAGCCTCTAAAGTAGCTGGGATTACAGGTGCACACCACCAAGCCCAGCTAATTTTTTATTTCTAGTAGAGATGGGGTTTCACCATGTTGGCCAAGCTGGTCTTGAACTGCTGACCTCCAGTAATCCACCCACCTCCCCCTACCAAAGTGCTGGGATTATAGGCGTGAGCCACTGTGCCCAGCCGCCCAGCTAATTTTTGTATTTTTAGTAGAGACGGGGTTTCACCATGTTGGCCAGGCTGGTCTCCAACTTCTGACCTCAGGTGATCTGCCCATTTCGGCCTCCCAAGAGTCTCCAGTCTAGTACGTTGTCGT
The DNA here is from genome assembly GCF_000001405.40 of Homo sapiens. NCBI lineage: Eukaryota > Metazoa > Chordata > Mammalia > Primates > Hominidae > Homo > Homo sapiens. Next base: position 47,792,277 of record NC_000002.12, read on the forward strand.
ACTCGGTGTTGTAAAATCCAAACAAGGGTCAGTTTCCCAGGTAACTGGGAAATTCCCAGAATCACACTCTTTCGTCATAGTGCTCATCCTACAAAAAAGGATTGGGGGCATTTTGTCTAAAATTAAATGTAAATGGTGATCTGACATACAGGTGGAAAGAGAATTGGGAAGTTTTGTTCTCTCTTCTACCAACTTGCCACATAATCTTGGCCAAGCAAAGTAACTTGTTTTTTCTTTTAATCTTTTTAAAAGAAATAGAGACACAGTTTTGCCATGTTGCCCAAGCTGGTCTCAAACTCCTGCCTGAGCTCAAGCAGTCTGCCCACTTCGGCCTCCCAAAGTGCTGAGACTACAGGCATAAGCCACCATGCCCCTGGGCTCGGCCAACTTTTTCGTTTTCTTTTCAAGAGATGGGGGTCTCACTCTGTCACCCAGCCTGGAGTATAGTGTTGGGATCATAGCTCACTGGAGCCTTGAACTCCTGGGCTCAAGTGATTCCCCCCTGTTTTAGCCTCCTCAGTAACCGGGACTAGAGGTGTCTGCCACCACACCTGGCTAATTTTTATATAGTTTTTTTTTTTTTTTTTTTTTTTTAAAGAGATGACGGTCTTGCTATGTTGCCCCCAGGGTGGTCTTGAATTCTTGGCCTCCAGTGATCCTTCTGCATCAGGCTCCCAAGTAGTTGGGTGATCTGGCTAAAGTAACTTATTTTCTGATACTGTTTACTTATATTTAGAATGAATCTCATTGGGGTTGCACTGGGGCCGGGCATGGTGGCTCACACCTGTAATCCCAGCGCTTTGGAAGGCCAAGGCAGGTGGATCACCTGAGGTCAGGAGTTCCAGACTAGCCTGGCAAACATGGTGAAATCCCGTCTCTACTAAAAATACAAAAATTAGCTGGGCATGGTGGCACATGCCTGTAATCCCAGCTACTTGGGAGGCTGAGGCAAGAGAATCGCTTGAATCTAGGAGGCGGAGGTTGCAGTGAGTCAAGATCATGCCACCGCACTCCAACCTGGGTGACAGAGCGAGACTGTCTCAAAAAAAAAAAAAAAAAAAAAAAAAAAAAGGCTGGGCACGGTGGCTCGCGCCTGTAATCCCAACACTTTGGGAGGCCCAGGCGGGTGGATCACGAGGTCAGGCGTTCGAGACCAGCCTGACCAAGATGGTGAAACACTGTCTCTACTAAAAATACAAAAATAAGCTGAAATCCCAGCTACTCGTGAAGCTGAGGCAGAGAATTGCTTAAACCTGGTAGGCGGAGGTTGCAGTGAGCCGAGATCGCGCCACTGCACTCCAGCCTGGGGAACGGAGTGAGACTTCATCTCAAAAATAAATAAATAAATAAATAAATAAAATAAAATAATAAATAAAGTAAAAAGATCTCTCATTGAACCAGATGATATATGAAGTCTCTTTTAGGACCAATTTCGAGATTTAAAAAATTTGGCAGAATTACTTTTTTTTTTTGCAGCGGAGTCCAGCTTTATCACCCAGGCTGGAGTGGAATGGCACAATCTCAGCTCACTGCAACCTCTGCCTCCTGGGTTCAAGCGATTCTCCTGCCTCTGCCTCCCAAGTAGCTGTGATTATAGGCGCCCACCACCAGGCCCAGCTGATTTTTGTATTTTTCAGTAGAGTTGAGGTTTCACCACGTTGTCCAGGCTGGTCTCAAACTCCTGACCTTAAGTGATCCGTCCACCTTGGCCTCCCAAAGTGCTGGGATTAGGTGTGAGCCACTGGGCTGGCCCAGAATGATTTTTAAAAAGAGATCAGTAAGGCCAGGCAGTGGTGGCTCACGCCTGTAATCCCAGCACTTTGGGAGACTAAGGTAGGTGGATCACCTGAGGTCAGGAGTTGCAGACAAGCCTGGCCAACATGGTGAAACCCTGTCTCTACTAAAAATACAAAAATTAGCCAGGCATGGTGACACATGCCTGTAATCTCAGCTACTCAGGAGGGTGAGGCAGAATTGCTTGAACCCGGGAGTCAGTTTCTTTTTTCTTTTTTTGAGATGGAGACCCACTTTGTCACCCAGGCTGGAGTGCAATGGTGCAGTCTTGGCTCACTGCAATCTCTGTCTCCGGGGTTCAAGTGATCCTCCTGCCTCAGTCTCCTTAGTAGCTGAGACTACAGGTGTGCACCACCACACCTGGCTAATTTTTGTATTTTTAGGAGAGATGGATGTCACCATGTTGGCCAGGCTGATCTTTAAACTCGTGACCTGAAGTGATCCACCCGCCTTGGCCTCCCAAAATGCTGGGATTACAGGTGTGAGCCACCACGCCCAGCCCTAAAGTTGTATTTTGATGGAACGAACTGTTTTGAGAAATAAATTTTAACGCGTTGAGTCTGAACTGGGCTGCCCTTTCAAAATGTGAAGGCCCCTTAAAGTAGCACATTGGTTGGTTATTCTTTTATTTATTTAGATATATCTGATCTAGTTGTCTTTGGGACAAACTCATATTTAATATCATAGCTGCATGTAACTGACAGTGTAGTCTTTGTCTTCCTGAAGTGTTTGTTTGTTTTTTGAGATGGAGTCTTGCTCTGTCGCCCAGGCTGAAGTGCAGTGGTGCGATCTTGGCTCACTGCAACCTCTGCCTCCCGGGTTCAAGTGATTCTCCTTCCTCAGCCTCCCGAGTAGCTAGGACTACAGGCATGTGCCACCACACCCAGCTAATTTTTGTATTTTTAGTAGAGATGGGGTTTCACCATATTGGTCAGGTTGGTCTTGAACTCCTGACCTCGTGATCTGCCTGCTTCTGCCTCCCAGAGTGCTGGGATTACAGGTGCGAGCCATTGTGCCCAGCTAGTAAGTTTTTAAGAAAGATTCTCAAACCTCTTTTAAATCGTCTGCCTCACTTGAAGAGGTATGCCCTACCTGTTTAGGGCTGTAGACCCAGGTCATTAGAAGACAGACTAAGTAGTCCTGGGTGAACCCATAGGGCACCTTCAAGGAGGTAAAATTGGTGATTTTAGTTTCACCAGTAGTTTTTCCCTGAATATTTATTCCTTTTGTGCTTTATTGATCTATCTATATCAATAAAAAGTAATGGGGCATAACAAATTATACTTGTCATTCTTGTTCATTAGGGCAAATGTTGTAGGTTGAGTCAAGTGTCCAGCCAACAAGTTATTTTATGTGTGTGTGTGTGTGTGTGTGTGTGTATACATATATACATTTTTTTTTTTTTTTTTCATCGAGACAGGGTCTTGCACTGTCGCCCAGGCTGGAGTGAAGTGGTGCAATCTCGGCTCACTGCAACCTCTGCCTCCCAGGTTTAAGTGATCTTCCCACCTCAGCCTCCCAAGTAGCTGGGACTACAGGCGCACACCACCACCCTTGGCTAATTTTTGTATTTTTTTTTTGGTAGAGATGGGGTTTCACCACATTGCCCAGGCTGGTCTTGAATTCCTGACCTCAAGTAGTCCGCCCACCTAAGCCTCCCAAAATGCTGGGATTACAGGCGTGAGCCACCACACCTGGCATATATATATTTTAAGATAGAGATGGGGTTTGCTATGTTGCCCAGGCTGGTCTTGAACTGCTGGGATTACAGGCGTGAGCCTCTGCACCCGGCCCTTATTGTTTATAAATACATTTCTTTCTAGGTTCAAAATCAAAGGAAGCCCAGAAGGGAGGTCATTTTTACAGTGCAAAGCCTGAAATACTGAGAGCAATGCAACGTGCAGATGAAGCCTTAAATAAAGACAAGATTAAGAGGCTTGAATTGGCAGTTTGTGATGAGCCCTCAGAGCCAGAAGAGGAAGAAGAGATGGAGGTGGGACACGGCAAGCATTCAGTTGTTATTTATGTTAGGGTGATGGGGGAAGAAAGGGGGAGGGTGTATTAACAAGATACCTTGTTTTATATATGTGTGTGTATATGTATTATTTTATTATACATACATGCATACTTCTGTAGTTCCCTGGACTGTAGGATAAGTTAGGTTACTTAGAATCTCAACAGCTAGCATCGTTTTTACTTAGGTTTTCAAGCCTACTGGCAGGGTAAGCAAGAGGTAGTACCATTTTGGTAAGAAGTAGAGAGCTAGGGACAGTAAAGATGGAGTAATATATATATGAGGGTATAGTCAGGCCCTAGAAATTAATTATCCAGTTTTATGCTTTTTATAAAAAAACTGAGATGGGGTCTTGCTATGTTGCCCAGGCTGGTCTCAAACTCCTGAGTTCAAGGGATCTGCCCACCTGGGCCTCCCAAAGTGTTGGGATTACAGGCATGAGCCACAGCACCCAGCCCCAGCTTTATGCTTTTAATTCTAAAACTTTTTTTGTTGTATTTTGCATTCATAAGAATAGATGTTAAATAAACCTTGAAATACAACCTTGGCTCAAACGTTAATGGTCATGGATAAAGTGAATTAAAACTTGTTAGGGGCCAGGTGTGGTGGTTAATGCCTATAATCCCAGCACTTTAGGAAGCTGAGGCAGTTGGATGTCCTGAGGACAGGAGTTCAAGACCAGCCTGGCCAACACAGTGAAACCCTGTTTCTATAAAAAATACAAAAATTAGCTGGGCGTGGTGGCACACACCTGTAGTCCCAACCACTTGGGAGGCTGAGGCATGAGAATTGCTTGAACTTGGGAGGCAGAGGGACTTGGGAGGCAGAGGGTGTAGTGAGCCAAGATCGCACCACTGCATTCCAGCCAGGGTGACAGAGCAAGAAGACTGTCAACAACAACAAAAAATGTTATAGAAGTGAAAAAAATTGATTAATTTAGAACAAGCTTGTCCAGTCTGTGGCCCAGGATGGCGTTTAAATCAGCCCAACACAAATTTGTAAACTTTCTTAAAACATTTTGTGATTTGTTGTTGTTGTTTAGCTCATCAGCTATCATTAGCATTAGTGTATTTTATGTGTGGCCTAAGACAATTCTTCCAGTGTGGCCCAGGGAAGCTGAAAGATCATTATCCTCTGATCTATCATATTAATGAGCTGCATCCTAAAAGACATTCATCTATAACTAAGCTCAGTTTCATGTTTTGTTCCTTTTTCAATAGATAAGATAGGGAATGAGCAAGTTAATAAAGTGGGTATTTTAATTTTAAGGTTGAAACTAAGGATCATAACATTATCAGAGGTCTAGAACTGGATGGCAGCTACAGAGATCATTTAGCCTAATACTGGTTTAACAAATAATCCGGGAGATCCGTGATATGTGAATGTGCTAGGCCTGAGATGAGACAGCCAATTGTGGAAGAGCAAACACTAGAACCAGTATAAGTTGCTTACTGCTTTCTTATGCTATTAATGAGCATATCGCCTCCTGATATTTATGATATATGGTCATGCCAACAGCTTTGTCATAAATAGAACTCCCATGGCAGCAATCACTTAATCTTGTAGTTAGAGGTGGGGTCTCACCATGTTGCCGAGCTGGCCTTGAACTTCTGGGCTCAGCGATTTTCTCCACAGGCACCTGCTACTGTGCTCGGTGCAGCACTTTGTGTTTTTGAACATAACCTCAAGATGTTATTGTCTTCATAGTAAAACAAAAGATGAGGCTTAGAACTGGATCACTTTGCCTGTCTCTTCTTACCTCCTCCCAGTTCAAAATGCTTGCATCTCTTAATAGCTAGCATTCCCTTGGATTTTGCACATGAGCTCAAACTCAAGCCTCAGCACAATCTTTTTTATAGTTTTAGTCTTTTAGCCAGAGTCGACTTACCCCCCATACCCACTCTGCTTCCTTCATAATGCTGCTTTCCCTGGGCAGAGAATCCTTGCCCTTCTTGTATTATGTCACTTTGTGGGGTTGGTGTCTGCTACACTTACAGCAAGTCCAGAGATTTTTTTTCCACCACGTTTGCAGGAGAACTATTGGCATGGAAAATGACAATTGTTTTAATGTCAAGTGAAACTGAAGTTGATGTTCATTGAGAGGTTTCTAATTTCTAGAGGTGGGTTCTTTTTTTGGCATATGAAGTTGCAGCATATTAAGAGAATTTACAGTAGTACAGATGGGGTTATCCCATCCACAACTTATGATGGGGTTACATAAACTAAAAACGTGTTTAATACACCTACCCCACCGAATATTGTAGCTTGGGCGTAGCCTAACCTATCTCAGACGTGCTCAGAACACTTAAATGTTAGCCTAAAGTTGGGCAAGATCATCTAACACAAAGCCTATTTTATAATAAGGAATTGCCTATCTCATGTAATTCATCGAATACTGTACTAAAAATGAAAAACAGTGGCTGCACGGGTACCATTATAAAGTCAAAAAATCATAAGTTGAACTGTCTTACATTATGGTTTTCCAAATTTTGATTTGTTTTTAAATACTCTTTCCTTGCCTGGCAGGTAGGCACAACTTACGTAACAGATAAGAGTGAAGAAGATAATGAAATTGAGAGTGAAGAGGAAGTACAGCCTAAGACACAAGGATCTAGGCGAAGTAGCCGCCAAATAAAAAAACGAAGGGTCATATCAGATTCTGAGAGTGACATTGGTGGCTCTGATGTGGAATTTAAGCCAGACACTAAGGAGGAAGGAAGCAGTGATGAAATAAGCAGTGGAGTGGGGGATAGTGAGAGTGAAGGCCTGAACAGCCCTGTCAAAGTTGCTCGAAAGCGGAAGAGAATGGTGACTGGAAATGGCTCTCTTAAAAGGAAAAGCTCTAGGAAGGAAACGCCCTCAGCCACCAAACAAGCAACTAGCATTTCATCAGAAACCAAGAATACTTTGAGAGCTTTCTCTGCCCCTCAAAATTCTGAATCCCAAGCCCACGTTAGTGGAGGTGGTGATGACAGTAGTCGCCCTACTGTTTGGTATCATGAAACTTTAGAATGGCTTAAGGAGGAAAAGAGAAGAGATGAGCACAGGAGGAGGCCTGATCACCCCGATTTTGATGCATCTACACTCTATGTGCCTGAGGATTTCCTCAATTCTTGTACTCCTGGGATGAGGAAGTGGTGGCAGATTAAGTCTCAGAACTTTGATCTTGTCATCTGTTACAAGGTGGGGAAATTTTATGAGCTGTACCACATGGATGCTCTTATTGGAGTCAGTGAACTGGGGCTGGTATTCATGAAAGGCAACTGGGCCCATTCTGGCTTTCCTGAAATTGCATTTGGCCGTTATTCAGATTCCCTGGTGCAGAAGGGCTATAAAGTAGCACGAGTGGAACAGACTGAGACTCCAGAAATGATGGAGGCACGATGTAGAAAGATGGCACATATATCCAAGTATGATAGAGTGGTGAGGAGGGAGATCTGTAGGATCATTACCAAGGGTACACAGACTTACAGTGTGCTGGAAGGTGATCCCTCTGAGAACTACAGTAAGTATCTTCTTAGCCTCAAAGAAAAAGAGGAAGATTCTTCTGGCCATACTCGTGCATATGGTGTGTGCTTTGTTGATACTTCACTGGGAAAGTTTTTCATAGGTCAGTTTTCAGATGATCGCCATTGTTCGAGATTTAGGACTCTAGTGGCACACTATCCCCCAGTACAAGTTTTATTTGAAAAAGGAAATCTCTCAAAGGAAACTAAAACAATTCTAAAGAGTTCATTGTCCTGTTCTCTTCAGGAAGGTCTGATACCCGGCTCCCAGTTTTGGGATGCATCCAAAACTTTGAGAACTCTCCTTGAGGAAGAATATTTTAGGGAAAAGCTAAGTGATGGCATTGGGGTGATGTTACCCCAGGTGCTTAAAGGTATGACTTCAGAGTCTGATTCCATTGGGTTGACACCAGGAGAGAAAAGTGAATTGGCCCTCTCTGCTCTAGGTGGTTGTGTCTTCTACCTCAAAAAATGCCTTATTGATCAGGAGCTTTTATCAATGGCTAATTTTGAAGAATATATTCCCTTGGATTCTGACACAGTCAGCACTACAAGATCTGGTGCTATCTTCACCAAAGCCTATCAACGAATGGTGCTAGATGCAGTGACATTAAACAACTTGGAGATTTTTCTGAATGGAACAAATGGTTCTACTGAAGGAACCCTACTAGAGAGGGTTGATACTTGCCATACTCCTTTTGGTAAGCGGCTCCTAAAGCAATGGCTTTGTGCCCCACTCTGTAACCATTATGCTATTAATGATCGTCTAGATGCCATAGAAGACCTCATGGTTGTGCCTGACAAAATCTCCGAAGTTGTAGAGCTTCTAAAGAAGCTTCCAGATCTTGAGAGGCTACTCAGTAAAATTCATAATGTTGGGTCTCCCCTGAAGAGTCAGAACCACCCAGACAGCAGGGCTATAATGTATGAAGAAACTACATACAGCAAGAAGAAGATTATTGATTTTCTTTCTGCTCTGGAAGGATTCAAAGTAATGTGTAAAATTATAGGGATCATGGAAGAAGTTGCTGATGGTTTTAAGTCTAAAATCCTTAAGCAGGTCATCTCTCTGCAGACAAAAAATCCTGAAGGTCGTTTTCCTGATTTGACTGTAGAATTGAACCGATGGGATACAGCCTTTGACCATGAAAAGGCTCGAAAGACTGGACTTATTACTCCCAAAGCAGGCTTTGACTCTGATTATGACCAAGCTCTTGCTGACATAAGAGAAAATGAACAGAGCCTCCTGGAATACCTAGAGAAACAGCGCAACAGAATTGGCTGTAGGACCATAGTCTATTGGGGGATTGGTAGGAACCGTTACCAGCTGGAAATTCCTGAGAATTTCACCACTCGCAATTTGCCAGAAGAATACGAGTTGAAATCTACCAAGAAGGGCTGTAAACGATACTGGACCAAAACTATTGAAAAGAAGTTGGCTAATCTCATAAATGCTGAAGAACGGAGGGATGTATCATTGAAGGACTGCATGCGGCGACTGTTCTATAACTTTGATAAAAATTACAAGGACTGGCAGTCTGCTGTAGAGTGTATCGCAGTGTTGGGTAAGACTTTGAACAAGCTTGTTCTCAGGCTTTGATAAGTAGTGCTGTTTGCCAGCTGTATATTATCCCTAAAAATAAGTAATAAGGTATATATGGTACATATTTTGACATGCATATACATATTTGCATCCTGACTAGGCTGCCCACAGCAATTTAAGTTACTTGAAACTCGCTTTTATCTTAGTAGCCCTTTGGCCTTTCTTCAGTTTTTTTTTTTTTTTTTTTTTTTTTGAGACATGGTCTTGCTCTGTTGCCCAGGCTAGAATATGGTGACACAACCATGGCTACTGCAGCCTCGACCTCCCAGGCTTAAGTGATCTTTCCACCTCAGCCTCCCAAGTAGCTGAGATTACAGATATGCACCACCATGCATGGCTAATATTTAAATGTTTGTAGAGAGATGGGGTCTCACTGTGTTGCCAGGACTGGTCTTGAACTCCTGGGCTCAAGTGATCCTCCTGCCTCGGCTTCCCAAAGTGCTGAGGTTACAGGCATGACCCATTGCGCCTGGCCCTTTCTTCAGTCTTTAATAATCGAACAAAAGGTTTTTGTTTTTAGACAGTGTCTTGCTCTGTTACCCAGGACAGACCTCTCGTGTCAGCCTCTTAGGTAGCTAGGATTTACAGGTAAGCACCGGCGTGCCCTGCTTTATTTTTTTGGTGGGGGAAGGGGGAAGGGAGTTGAAGCTTCCCTATGTTGCCCAGGCTGGTCTTGAACTCCTGGCCTCAAGTGATCCTCCAGTCTCCCAAAAGTGCTGGGATTACAGGCATGAGCCACCGCTCCCGGCCCAAAAGATTTTTAAATGTGTTATACTTCATGAGACAGGCTTTATTTTAGATCGAATTTTATTTATCAATAAAAAGTTGAGCTTTTTATTATTTGGTGAATACTGTTTCAAGGTGCTTTGTTACACTATCTGTTGATCCAACATTTAAAAATTGTTTTATTACAACCTTTGCATTTCAGTGAATCCATCTGCATACAATTTTAAAAGAATCATTCCTTTTTTCTGTAGCCAAATTGTCAAAGATTCTTTCCTACAATTGATTTTTCAAAGCCCTGAGTTAGGAATTTACAATTTGGCAACCATCTCAACTTCATAAGCAATTTTGTTCTTTAAATGTCACGGCCAACATTACCTGGAACCATTGCTGTTTTATAGTTTAGGTTTATGTTGTATATTTTTTTTAATTTTTTAGAGACGGGGTCTTGCTGTTTTCAGACTGGAGTACAATGGGATGACTAGCTCACTGCAGCCTCAAACTGCTGGGTTCAAGTGATTCTCCTTCCTCAGCCTCCTGAGTAGCTGGGACTACAGGTGGTCACCATCACACCTGGCTAATTTTTGTATTTTTGGTAGAGACAGGGTTTTTCCCGTGTTGGCCAGGCTGTTCTTGAATTCCTGACCTCAAAGCGATCTGCCCGCCTTGATCTCCGAAAGAGCTGGGATTACACGCATGAGCCACTGCGCCCAGCCCTGTTTTTTTTTTTTTTTTTTTTTTAAATAATGGTAGTTTACTTGAATTTGTAACACAGTAACACAAAACTATTTTGATCTGAACGCAAGTATCTAATGGAACAGAATAATATACTTCCTTTTAGTGTGCTGCATTTGGTTACTGGGTAATTTAAAATTCTTCCTCAGCACAGGTGTTCAAAAACCAGTCTTCAGAGATTGTTTTCATATCAGTGTGCCAACTTTGGCACATTCTGCTAAGTAAGAGGCTTAAGTGTAGCATGTTTCTGCTGTTTTGTGTTTGTTTTGTTTTGTTTTTTGAGACAGAGTCTCTCTGTCGCCCAGGCTGGAGTGCATTGGTGCGATCTTGGCTCATTGCAACCTCTGCCTCCCAGGTTCAAGTGATTCTCCTGCCTCAGCCTCCTGCGTAGCTGGGATTACAGGCATATGCCACGTGTATTAGGCACTGCTAATTTCTGTATTTTTAGTAGAGACGAGGTTTCACCATGTTGGTCAGGCTGGTCCTGAACTGCTGACCTCGTGAACTCTGCCCGCCTAGGCCTCCTGAAGTGCTGGGATTACAGGCGTGAGCCACCGTGCCTGGCCTCTGCTCTATCTTTTAGCTTTCCCTTGGCACTTCTATGGTCCAGATGTTAGAGGGTAAGTATTTTGATGGGGGAGATCGTTGGACTGTAATTGAAAGTTATGTCTTATAATGAAATGTGTTATATAAAGAAGACCTATAAAACACTTAGGCTGATAAAACCCCCAAACGATGAAGCCTCACTTTTACCCTCTCTTTTAACAGATGTTTTACTGTGCCTGGCTAACTATAGTCGAGGGGGTGATGGTCCTATGTGTCGCCCAGTAATTCTGTTGCCGGAAGATACCCCCCCCTTCTTAGAGCTTAAAGGATCACGCCATCCTTGCATTACGAAGACTTTTTTTGGAGATGATTTTATTCCTAATGACATTCTAATAGGCTGTGAGGAAGAGGAGCAGGAAAATGGCAAAGCCTATTGTGTGCTTGTTACTGGACCAAATATGGGGGGCAAGTCTACGCTTATGAGACAGGTAACTGATTCTTAAAGTTTTGTTATCAGAAAGTCATTTGTGACATTAGGAATAACATACTTAGGTGATCATTTTCCAAACACAGTTACATAAAAGTCAGCCAGTGACTTAATAGGAAGCAAAGGGAAATTACTCCCTGTGTTATAAAATTGAGAATTATATTTAGCTGAAACATCGATGCTTAATGTTAAGGGGAATATATGTTAAAAAGGGGAAGGAGGTCAGTCATTCAGGTCATGAGGCCCTTTGACTTGAATTCATTTCCTCAGAAGGTAGGTATATTCATAGTGAACAAAAATACAAAGGCTGTATGAAAAGATGAAAATGTTACAGGTTTATCCTTAAATTAGACTCATTTGCAGAAATGCAAATGAGGTAAGAAAGCAAATATAGTTCATGACCTCTAGCAACTGTTGAAAACTGCTCTTTAGGGATGACATGCTGGCCCTTTTTTTTTTGTTGTTGCCAAGGCTGAAGTGCAGTGGCACCATCACAGCTCACTGCAGCCTCGAACTCCCAGGTTCAACCCTTCCTCCTGCCTCAGCCTCCCCAGTAGCTGGGACTACAGATGTACACCATCATGCCTAGCTCATTTTTAAAAAAATTTTTTATGGCATTGTATTTATCTTCTCTTTATAACCAGGGGTTGACCAGCCACAGAACTTGTAAAGTTTTTTATATTTTTAAAAGGTTGTAAGAAATAGTAGTAGTTGGCTGGTCCCCGCTGCTCTCCTGCATTATAGTATACTTCTGTTCACCTAGTTTGCTAGAGAGAGGCAGTATAGTGTGTATAGTGATTTCCAAACTTTTTCTTTAAATCAGAATCACCTGAAAGAATGTGACAACGTGTAAAAAAAAAAAAAAAGGTGCAGAGATTCCATCCTGACATGGATTCACTTGATTGGAATTGATTCTAGGCATCTCAGTAGTTTTAAAGAGCTCCTAGGTGATTCTATTCTGGCCAGCGTTGAGAATCACTAGGGTAGTGGGTTGGTAAGCAGGCTCTGATGTTTTAAAGGCCAGGTGAGGCCCTATGCCTCTTGTCTCTCTTAGCCTCAACTTTCTCCATGTTAGCAAATGGATTTCAGAACAGAACCAACGTACATGTGATTGTGAAAGTTGTTTTAGAGTGCCTAGCTCTTACGTAAGGGTTCATAAGAAAGACAAAAGTTTATGAAACTGTTACTACCAGTCATAAAAGACCTTTTCCTCCCTCATTCACAGGCTGGCTTATTAGCTGTAATGGCCCAGATGGGTTGTTACGTCCCTGCTGAAGTGTGCAGGCTCACACCAATTGATAGAGTGTTTACTAGACTTGGTGCCTCAGACAGAATAATGTCAGGTGAGTTTTTTGTTTCCCACTTAAGTTCTCATTCAGTCATTTAGATGTGATAAAAGATATTTGCTTCTTGTATATGAGCCTTTTAAATCTAATATTTGATTTTTCTGGTGTTACTTTAAAAACATCACTTTTTAAGAACTGCATAGTCTCTCTCTCTTTTTTTTTTTTTTGAGATGGAGTTTCCCTCTTGTTGCCCAAGCTGGAGTGCAATGGCACGATCTTGGCTCACTGCAACCTCTGCTTCCAGGTTCAAGTGATTCTCCTGCCTCAGCCTCTCGAGTAGCTGGGATTACAGGCGCATGCCATCACGCCCAGCTAATTTTTTGTATTTTTAGTAGAAGCGGGGTTTCACCATGTTAGGCTGGTCTCTTAACTCCTGACCTCAGGTGATCTGCTTGCCTCGGCCTCCCAAAGTGCTGGGATTACAGGCGTGAGCCACCGTGCCCGGCCAATAATTGCATAGTCTCTTAATGAGATTTAATCTTTTATACCAATATGTGTAGCTCATGATAGCTATATAACCTAGAAGATGAATTTATGTAATATGATTTGCAAAATGAGTATTCATTTGTGATTTTTTTTTTTTTAAGGTGAAAGTACATTTTTTGTTGAATTAAGTGAAACTGCCAGCATACTCATGCATGCAACAGCACATTCTCTGGTGCTTGTGGATGAATTAGGTAAGACATTAAACTTCTCATTTGAAGACTATCTATCTTAAAAACATTTGTACAAATAACTATTTTTATAGAAGATTATCTGAAGTACATTTAAACAATATGAATGTTTTTAGAGCACGCACTCACCATTGTGGCACAGACCGATAGTTGGAGATAAAAGGTGATATTGTGAAAGGTTTTTGATTACCCATTAATTATTAGGCCTTACACTGTTTAGTTGTAATAAAACATTTGTTATACTACGGGGATGAGAACACTAATAGGAGGACTCAGGAAGTTTATGACCTTGAGCGATACTGTATTTTCTTTAAAAGAAACCTCACTCCCCATGGGCTGCTAAGCAGACTCGTGTAGCTAAACAAGGCCTATTTATAGAATGCTTTTAGACGTGGATGTACTAACCGATGTTGCTTTTCTGTCCTAGCATTTTTGTTTTAATTCCTTTTTTGTTTTAATTCCTTTGAGTTACTTCCTTATGCATATTTTACTTTAACAGGAAGAGGTACTGCAACATTTGATGGGACGGCAATAGCAAATGCAGTTGTTAAAGAACTTGCTGAGACTATAAAATGTCGTACATTATTTTCAACTCACTACCATTCATTAGTAGAAGATTATTCTCAAAATGTTGCTGTGCGCCTAGGACATATGGTATGTGCAAATTGTTTTTTTCCACAAATTCGGTTTTTTGAGAGGGCACTTCTCTTGCTAGCACATGTATCGCTAATATTTTTCTTTCTTAAGGCATGCATGGTAGAAAATGAATGTGAAGACCCCAGCCAGGAGACTATTACGTTCCTCTATAAATTCATTAAGGGAGCTTGTCCTAAAAGCTATGGCTTTAATGCAGCAAGGCTTGCTAATCTCCCAGAGGAAGTTATTCAAAAGGGACATAGAAAAGCAAGAGAATTTGAGAAGATGAATCAGTCACTACGATTATTTCGGTAACTAACTAACTATAATGGAATTATAACTAACTGACCTTAAGTTTCAAAGAAACAGTAAAAGGGGAAGGGATGATGCACTATGAAAAAACAAAAAAACTTTTTTTTTTTTTTTTTTAATTTTAAGGGAAGTTTGCCTGGCTAGTGAAAGGTCAACTGTAGATGCTGAAGCTGTCCATAAATTGCTGACTTTGATTAAGGAATTATAGACTGACTACATTGGAAGCTTTGAGTTGACTTCTGACAAAGGTGGTAAATTCAGACAACATTATGATCTAATAAACTTTATTTTTTAAAAATGACCATTTTTCCATTTTCTTTCTAGGAAATTAAACCCTTTTAATTCTTATCTACCTTCTACATAATGGTTATTGAATACTCCACAATATATTAAGTCTAGATGTTATGGTACATGCATACACTTTCAGGCTGTTTTATACCCACTGTCACCAATACACATAAATGGGGGAGGAAAAGCTATGAAACTGTATAGGGCTGTATATATACTTGTCTCAGCTTAATGCAGGAAATTGGTTTAATTTCCAGCAGTTTTGTCTAAACTGTTCAAAAAAAAACTATGAACAGAGTTCAAATACAGGACTGTTTGTTTTGAAGAGACTTTCTAAAGTGTACTTAAAACATAGTAGTTTTTTACCTTTCACAAAACTGAGTTACAAGAATACTTTTGTTTTACAGTGCATCCCTTCCTAGGAAGTCTCATTAAAACACTCACTTTTTCTAGGGGTGATTTTGAATGCTGCACAGGGAAGGGAAGGAAATAATAGTCTTAACTTTTCTTAAAGGATACCAGAAACATTGCTGGATATAATTTAAGATTAGTGTTTTCTCTTTCATAGAAAGAACGTACATACTGGGACATGAGTACAGTTACAGCAAGTCTAGGTGTGCTAACAAAACAGGGCACATTCAAGTACAGTAAGATTTTGCTTGAAATTAAAAACAAACTACATGAGATTAAAGCATTAAAATCATATTTCTCAATCTGAATACATGTTAAAAAAAAAAAATCAAAAGGAACGCAGAAGTGCTAGCTCACATTTTTACCATATTACAAAAGCAATTGGTACCCATGTCCATAAAGGCAGCAACAAAGCTGCTTGTCTATTGAAGATTACTACTGCAAATTGGACTGCATTCAATGCTAGTTGTAAAAACACCAGCTTTTCAGAAGTTGGTATCTGTACAAAATTGCAGCTTATTTTCTTCACTTCTGTCCCTTCAAGTCTTTACACAGTAATGCTAAAACACCCAGCTTTGAGATCCTGAGTCAATATATTGCCACTTTCTTTTTGGTAGCTTGAGCTTCATAGTGTCAACTGACCTTGTGTATCCATTTTTAATACAGTCTCTTCCTGTAGCATGGGCAAATATTTTAAATCTTCTTCCAAAAAAGTGTTTTAAGTTATGATGTTACAATGGCAGGACTTTTTCTTTAGGGAAGGAATTCAGTTGTGCTGCAATGTATTAGATTCTATAGGTGGAGCAGAGTCATATAGTGTATCTGTATCATGTGTAGGCTCACCAGCTAATGTACAAGGATTAGACAGTGTTCCAGCACCACAGTCACAGAAAAACCTAAAGCAAAATGAAACCCAAATATTAGAAAAGTGAGGGGGAAAGTAATTGGGTAATATATCAAGCAAGTGTGCTACATACCTATCATGTCTAATAAACTCTACATCATGTCCCTGATGGCACTTCTTAATGCAGTTCACACATATGGCATTTCGATCTGTGGTGTTACAAGTATGACATCTAAAAAGCAAAAGCTTAAATTACTTTTCTCAAACATGTCATTAATGCAAAACATTCCATTCTGTTTATATATTACTATGACCTTTGGCTTTAAGAGGACCAAAACAAAATTCTTTGTGGCTCCAGCCCAGATTAATTCTGAAAAGGAACTTTAATGGAGTAAGTGATTTTCCTGTCATCTGTGTCTTCGGAGGGAAGAGAAATGATTTGTAAATTGTATAAAGGCAGTTCTTTCCACTTTAAAAGCCTCTCAAATGTTTCTGGGCTGAAAACAATTTTTGGAGGCGTGAAGAGTCAAAACTGTCACAGTGACTGGGATATATCAAACACTTAACCCCGACATCTTTACCTTGAAATTTCTAGGAAAACATTACACAACATGAGTTACATGAATGACATCAGTTACTGTAGCATTAGGTTTTTCCATAGTTATGGTCTTTGTTTTGTTTTGTAGAGACAGGGTCTCCCTATGTTGCCCAGGCTGGTTTAGAACTCCTGGGCTCCAGTGATCCTCCCACTTCAGCCTCCCAAAGTGCTAGGATTACAGGCATAAGCCACCACGCCTACCCACAGTTACAGTCTTAAACACGATCTTCAAGTAGATTGATGATAAAATTTTCAGTTAGTTATAGTCTCAACACCGGCAAATAGCCAAAAATGCTAGGCATTGCTAATTTAAAAAGGAAATCAGTCTTCCTCTTTTCAGGACTCAAATATATTTCTAAGTTACCTGTAGAAATCATGCATGGGATAGCTGGTATAACTTGATATTTTATATAAACATTGGCCTCTACTAACAGCCTTTTCTATGGCATCTTGATTGTTCATTATTTTGTTATCTGTAATAAAAGAAAGAATAAGTAAAAATTCAGAGGAATGTTAATATTTTAAAAACCAAAGATTATAGGATTATTCTAACAGAAGAGCCACTATTTTTAAGAGCTTTAAATGAAGCTAACCAATGAAGTAATTGTAAGAAATCAGCTAAGAATAGAATTTTCCTTGTATAAGATACTCCAACCATTTAGAACCAAAGCTCTGTTTCTTTCAAAATCTATCTTAAACTGTTGCTAACTTGGAGAGTGACATAAGGAATCAAGTTATAAAACGGCTTCTGATTATCTTTCATGGCATATTGCATATATTTATAGGTATAGCAGACTCCAACATACCTTTCATTGTCACATTAACACCAGATGCTAAAAATAAGCCTCCAAACCGGTTGTTAAAAATCTGATTGCCTTCTAGTGTTGCAGTTGCGTGATTTGTAATTTCAATACCTGAAGTAAAATTTACAAACAAGTAGATACATCACTTTATACTGCTTCTTAAAAACCTGAAATTAGCAAGCAAATGTAAACTGCTTCTTTTATAGAAGTACATTAACCCTCTTAATGTCTACTGAATAAAATGTAGATACCTATTTCAACCACCAACAGTAACATTCACTTATCAATGACTATGGTCAAAACTGCAATTAACTTTCGCACCAACCTAACTGTCTTAAAGTTTAAATACATGATACTTGGATTTCATTTGCATCCATTTTAACATCTCTTTTTCTGTTGCAGATTTAAACTGGTAAATTCATCTGAGGAATTGAATCTATCTGTATTCCTAGTGGTAATACAAGCCTGCATTTATTCTATCCCAATAAATGTTTCATAATCACGACTAAGCAATAAGAGCAATATTTCTTAGGAGTCTGGCTTAGAGTAGAAGAATCCAGAACTTGATTAGGTGCTCTTGTAAGTGAATGAACAGGCATTCAGCCACTTCAGCACACTTTGCACATTTTAGTTAATAAGCAAAACAAAATGAATATACTCCACATCAAACACTTTGCAGAACTATATATAAGCCACAGGTAAGAAAAGAAAATACAAACCTGCGGCAAATCCATCAAATATTCTGTTTTTCCTTAAGATTGGATGACTATTAGTGCTGATGAGAACACCTGCTTGAGCATTCCTGAAAATATCATTTTCTTCAAGGAGACCTATAATAAAATATTTCCTTAGATTAAGGCTAATGCATATAACAGACTACTAACCTTTTTGGTGGTATTTAGGTTTGCTTTTAGTTTCTTATTTAACTGCATGGTAAAATTCACAGGACTATTTTTTCAGCCAAAACAAGTTTATTAGCAATTCAGAGGTATTAAGGATCTAACAAAATTGCTACAATGACAGGTAAGAGCATTCTGACCAATAATCTGCCATCTCCATGATAGCAGGGTCCATGTCTAAGTTTACTCAGCACTTCATCTTCAGAGCCAGGTGCATAGGTGATTCTCAATGAGTATTGCTGAATTAAAGCTAATTCCTTTGAAATATTTCTAGAACCTTTGTATCCTCTTTGTTTTTAGTTCAGGCAAGCAAGCCCTTATTTCTGGCCCTTATTACTATAATCATTTCCTGATGAGTTTCCTTTATTCCAGTTTCATCTGCTGCATAGTTTCCAATCAGTTAACTGCAACTCTTATCATGCCTCTTTCTCTAACAAACTACTTTCAGAATAAAGTTTAATATCACCTTGCCTTTCAAAATATCCCTCCAACCTACTTGTTTGTCTTAATGTGAGACATGGTTTTATTTCTGTAGACATTTAATCCCTCTGGTATTTCACATTATTGACCTAAACTTTCACCTGGATGAGTGGGAAAAATCTGACTCAGTAACTTCTTGGGGTCCTCCTCCTGTTCACTCCCTGGGTATTAATATTTCTGGGTTCTGTCCCTCATTTCCCTCTGCATACTCTTTGGGTGATCTTACATCTTGCAACTATTGCATATACACTGTTGCTTTTTAATTTTTGAGACAGAGTCTCACTCTGCCACCCAGGCTGGAGTGCAATGGTGTGATCTTGGCTCACTGCAACCCCTGCCTCCGGGTTCAAGCAATTCTCCTGCTTCAGCCTCCCAAGCAGCTGGGATTACAAGCACCTGCCACCACACCTGGCTAATTTTTGTATTTTTAGGTTTCACCATGTTGGCCAGGCTGGTCTCAAACTCCTGACCTCAAATGATCCACCCACCTGGGCCTCCCCCAAAGTGCTGGGGTTACAGGCATGAGCCACTGCACCCGGCCACTGTTGCTAATTCTTTAATCTATTCCTTTAGCTTAGTATAATGAATCACATTCTGGTCATAACCAATTTGGATATTCCAGAAGACAACCTTGGATTCAGTGTTTAAAAACTGACCTTACTAATGTTTTCCAGAAACCATTTCCTATATAACTTACCTCAGTGAAAGGTAGTCACCCACCCAAATCAGAATCCTGAGCACCCATCATATTTCACTTTACTTTCAACCCCCATATTAAATCAATGACCCAGTCCTGTTGGTTCCACCCTTTTTATAGAGATACGGTCTTACTACATTGCCTAGGCTGGTTTCCAACTCCAGACTCAAGTGATACTCCTGCCTTAGCCTCCAGAGCAGCTGGAAGTACAGGTGTGAGCCACTGTGCCCAGTTGGTTCTGTCCTTTTAAGTATCATTAACATGTCCCACCCCCTGCCCCCCCAACCTTTTCACACCCTTATGCTATCATTTTAGTTTAGGCTCTCATTATTTATTGCCTGAGTTATTCCAAGTCCCTGTCTCTAATCTTGATTATTTCCACTACACCTCAAGTGCTATTGCTAAGATGGATTCCAAACTCCTTACTGCATATGGAAAACCTCATGATTTGGGCCTTGCCCCTTCTGTAGCCTCAATTTTCTGTACCTCTTCCCTTACTTTCAGTTTCCTCTAGACTTTTGTTTACGATGTGCTCCACTCCATCACACTATACATTTTATGGATGTGCTGTTTCATTTAGCATATCTCTAGCATCTGTATCATAGTAGTTGGTACAGAGGTGTTAAATCAGTATCTAAAGAATAAAAGTGAAATAACATCTGGAATGGTCTGTTCGCCTCTCCCAAACCCAATTGCCAGTAAATATCTACTCATTTTTCAAAACACGGCTCAAAAGTGATTTGACTTGCGTGAACCATTTCTCAACACCTTGCAAATAAACCATTCTGTATTGTGTGTCTTCACTATATTTTGTGAAAACTATCTGAGATACGTCACTTTACTGAATTACTAGATTATAAGCTCCTGGAGAGTCTGTCAATGGAATCATCACTGCTTGGCTGTGGTATTAAATTTTGTTCATTAAATCTTGGCATGTTAGAGTAATAACTAGCTATTCTATGTAAGATATGTACAAATGTTGGGTTATTGACATTTCAGGAACAGCGATAGATTTGCATTTGGCAGCTCTGTGAATCTCTGTATACATGCATCTGTAAGGGGCAGGCACTATGGAACTTTTGCCTCAATGCAAAGTGAGTTGACCTTTATGAATACCAAACCAGGCACATCTTGGCTTCATTAATTCCACTCTCCAACAAACACAGTTGAAAACAGTTACAAAAGCAATACCCGTTTACTAAAGACATTTTCAGATATTTACAGATCAATTTCTCACATCTATTTCTATAACTTGACTTTGAAGTTTATTATAATCATATTACTATTCTGAATTTTAAAAGGTCCAGAGAATGTAAACAAATTCTATCTTTAAAAAGGCTTACTGACAACTGCAGACTCAAAGTGGCTACAAAAGGAAAAGTATTGTAAACATTTGTCTCTTAACTCTAGGCACTAATCTCCTAAACCAGTTCAACTTGATAAGGAAAAAGACTTGAGATTCACTCATTTATAACTTAGTTAGCAATGTCATTGATCATTAAAGATATGGAAGAATAATGGAAAACTGGATTTTTCACTAATGCAAAATTAACAACAATACCTCGACCCCCATTAAATATACAGATGCCACCATCTCTTCCATCATGGATTTTATTTCTTCTTAGTGTAGGATTACTATCTGTCTTAATCCAGACTCCAGCCATTGCATTGTCAAATATTTCATTGTCTTCTATACAGCCTAGACCTATAAATGCAAAAATGTAGGTTATCTAGAAGGTATATTTCTTTTTAATTTTTTTTTTTTTTTTTTTTTTTGAGACAGAGTCTCGCTCTGTTGCCAGGCTGGAGTGTGCAGTGGCGCGATCTTGGCTCACTGCAACCTCCACCTCCCGGGTTCAAGTGATTCTCCTGCCTCAGCCTCCCAAGTAGCTGGGAATACAGGCGTGTGCCACCATGTCCAACTAATTTTTGTAATATTTAGTAGAGACAGGGTTTCACCATGTTGGCCAGGCTGGTCTTAAACTCCTGACCTCGGGTGATCCACCCATCTCGGCCTCCCAAAGTGCTGGGATTACAGGCGTGAGCCACCGTGCCCGGCCTAGAAGGTGTATTTCTAAAGTTTATTAACACAGAAAAAAGATGACAGATTAAACATACCAGAATTATAAACTAGAATTCCACCATTCTGTCCTCCCCAGATTTTGTTGCGTCTAATTTTGGGGTTGCTTCCAGTCCTGTAAACAGAATAGACAATAATACCATTTCAATAGCTTCTACTCCCATATCTTCATGTTACGTGAGGTAAACAGTGGAGAAATCCACATAAGTCACTTAGTAAGAATTAACTATACAATGGAGTCCAAGATGCCCTGAGAAGAAAGTGGTTTAATTTTGCTTAATCCTGTATTTCCCACAGAACATACTTTACTACAGATTATTATTGTAGAGTTTCCTAACATGTAAACTAAATGGGGTTATATTAAGTGACATATATTCCCCTCATATGTAAAATGAAGGACTGAATTACAGGCATGCCTTGGAGATAACTGCAGGTTCCGTTCCAGACCACCATAATAAAGCGAGTATTGCAATAAAGAGAGTCGCATCAATTTTTTGGTTTACATTATACTGTAGTCTATTAAGTATGCAATAGCATTTCATAAAAAAAAGCACATACCCTAACTTAAAAATACTTTATCGCTAAAAAAATGCTCATAACAATCTAAGCCTTCAGGGAGTCTTTTTTTTTTTTTTTTTTTAAAGACATGGGGTCTTGCTCTGTCACCCAGGCTGGAGTTGCAGTGGCATGATCATAGCTCACTGCAGCCTCGAACTCTTGGGCTCAAGCAATCCTCCTGCCTAAGCCTCCCGAGTAGCTGGGACTACAGGTGCACACCACCATGCCCAGTTAATTTTTGTATTTTTTGTAGAGATGGAGTTTTGCCATGTTGCCCAGGCTGTTCTCAAACTCCTGGGCTCAAGTGATCCACCTGTCTCAGTCTCCCAAAGTGCTGGGATTACAGGCATGATCTACTGCACCTGACCAACTGGCAATCTCTTAAAATAAGACAATTAAGTTTGCCACATAGACTGACTCTTCCTTTCACGGAAGATTTCTCTGTAGCATGCAATGTTGTTATAGCATTTTGCTCACAGTAGAATTTCTTTCAAAATTGTTGTCAATCCTTGCCAACCCTGCTACTACTTTATTAACAGGCTTATGTAATATTCTAAATCCTTTGTCTTCATTTCAACTATGTTCACAGCATCTTCAACAGGAACAGACCCCACCTCAAGAAAAACCACTCTTTGCTCATCCGTAAGAAGCAACTCCTCATCTGTCCAAGTTTTATCATGAGGTTGCAGCAATTCAGTCACATCTTCATGTTCCATTTTCTAATTCTACTTCTCTTGCAATTTCTACCACGTCTGGAATTAGTTCCTCCACCAAAGTCTTATACCCCTAAAGTCATCCATGAGGGTTGGAAGCAACTTCTTCCAAACTCCTGTTAATTTTTTTTTGTCCTGGCCATAAAAACGTTTATTTTTGTATTTAGGTTTGATGAATGAACATCCACGCAGAAATGTGATTGGACACAAAGGATCTGGCCTAACGGTGATGGACAGAGTCGGGAAACCCAGCAAAGCCGCTCTGTACAATTCCCCTTCCCCTGGGTATCCCCCTCGGGAATGAGGATCTTCCAGGGAGAAGGGAGAGAGTGACCTAGCTAGGTTTTATGGCTGGGTTTGAGAGAAAGGAATTCTAGTTTCTAAGACCTGCTTTGAGGAAAAGGAATTCTGGTTTCTGGGACTCAATTTGGGGGAGAAAAGGAGGCAGGAACCAGGAGGGAAGGACAAAGACCTGGCTTCTGAGGCCTTCCAGTCTCCTCTGGGTCAGAGTAGTCCGCATGCCAAGGTGCCATACTTCGGGGTTTAATGAGCCCTGACAGCAGGTCCTTGCAGATTTCACAGGTAACTTGTGATCCAAGTAACTGGCTTTCAGACCCCCAATTTCAGAGGACTTTAGCAAAGCCTGGTTGAAATTGGCCAAGTGTTAGAAGAACCTCTTCAAAGCTGAAATTCATAGAGTTCTTCAGCTGAGGGCGTAAGAATCCCAGATGTAAGGTTAGCGAGAGTTAGAAGTTCTGGAGTCTTCCCCGCATGCCCCAGCTCTTGAGCATCAACGGGCCAGAAGCTCACAATATCTGATCCTCCTGTGGCTCAGCAGGGATGTGTTTTAGAGCAGCATGTTCAGAATGAAACTGGCGCACTTAGTCAAGCCTCGAGGGCCTTTTGAAGCCATGCATGGCCCACGCTGGCCTCATGGGAACACAGGTGCTCCAGCACCCGATGTGTTCACGACTAGGTAGGGGGAACCTTCAGCCCTGAAAACATCCCCCTGCTGTCTAGATCAGCCTGCCCCATGGCCAAGGGCGGTGAGAACCCTGGCGACCCCTTGGGTTGCACCTCTGCCAGTACTACAATTTTGCACTTTGTGGGCAGAAAAGCTCAACATTTGGCTCAGGGCATAACTGCAATTTTTTTTTGTTTTGTTCTGTTTTTTGAGACAGGGTCTCACTCAGTCATCCAGGCTGGAGCACAGTGGTATAATCATAGCTCAGTGCCGCCTCGACTTCCTGGGCTCAAGCGATCCTCCCACCTCAGCCTTCCGGGTAGCTGGGACCACAGGCGCATGCCACCATGCCTAGCTAATTTTTTCTATTTTTTACAGAGACAGGGTTTTGCTATGTTGCCCAGGCTGATCTTGAACTCCTGGCCTCAGGAGATCCTTCCACCTCAGCCTCCCAAAATGCTTGGATTACAGCACTTTTTCAGATCTCCTCCCAGGAATCATGAATGTTCTTAATGAAATCTGGAATGGTGAATCCTTTCCAGAGGTTTTCAATTTACTTTGCCCAGATCCATCAGAGGAATCACTATCTATGGCAACTACTGCTTTCTAAAAAGTATTTCTTACATACAAAGACTTAAAAATTGAAATCACTCCTTGATCCAGACTGTGGGATGGATGCTGTATTAGCAGGCGTGAAAACAACAATCTCCTTGTGCATCTGCATCAGAATTCTTGGGTTACTGGGTGCATTGTCAATGAGCAGTAATATTTTGAAATATTTTTTCTGAGCACTAGGTCTCAGTGGACTTAACATATTCAGTAAACTGTACTGTAAATTCATGTGCTATCATCCATGATTTGTTGTTCCCTTTATAGCGCACAGGCAGAGTAGATTTAGCATAATTCTTAAGGGCCCTAGGGTTTTCATAATGGTAAATGAGCACTGCCTGCAACTTAAAGTCATCAGCTTAACTAACCCTTAACAAGAGATCAGCTTGCCCTTTGAAGTCAGGCATTGACTTCTCCCCTCTAGCTATGAATGTTCTGGATGCATCTTCTTCCAATATAAAACTATTGAGTCTACACTGAAATCTGTTTAGTGTAGCCACCTTCAACAATGATCTTAGCTATATCTTCTGGGATAACTTTCTGTAGCTTCTATCTCAGCATTTGCTGCTCCACCTTGCACTTAGCTTTTTTTCTTAAACCTCATGAATCAACCTCTGCTAGCTTCAAACTTTTCTTCTGCAGCTTCTTCACCTCTTTCAGCCTTCATAGAACTGAAGAGAGTTGGGTCCTTGCTCTGGATTAGGAATTGGCTTAAGGGAATGTTGCGGCTGGTTTGTTCTTCTATCCACATCACTAAAACATTCTCCATATTAGCATAAGTCCATTTTTTTGTTATTATTTTATTTTGCTTTGAACCCTGAGAAACTAAGCAATAAGGTTGTTTTGCTTTGCTTTATCATTCATGTGTTTACTGGAATAGCATTTTTAATTTCTTTCTAGGACTTTTCCTTTGCATTCACAACTTAGCTAACTGGACAAGAGGCCTAGCTTTTGGGCTATTCAGCCTTTAGACATACTTTCCTCACTAACCTTCATCATTTCTAGCTTTTGATTTAAAGTGAGAGATACGCAACTCCTCCTTTCACTTCAATACTTATAGAGGCCATTTGAGGATTACTAATTGGCCTAATTTCGATACTGTTGTGTCTCAGGCAATAGGGAAGCCTGAGGAGAGGGACAGAGATGGGAATGGCTGCTTGGTGGAACAGTCAGAACACACACAACGTTTACAGATGAAGTTTGTTATCTTGGGCGCAGTTAATGGTGTCCCAAAACAATTACAATAGTAACATCAAAGATCACTGATCAGGGTGGGTGTGGTGGCTCACGCCTGTGATCCCAGCACTTTGGGAGGCTGAGGCGGGTGGATCACCTGAAGTCAGGAGTTTGAGACCAGCCTGACCAATATGGAGAAACCCCATCTCTACTAAAAATACAAAGTCAGCCAGGCATGGTGGCACAAGCCTGTAATCCCAGCTACTTGGGAGGCTGAGGTTGCGGTGAGCCGAGATCGTGCCATTGCACTCCAGCCTGGGCAACAAGAGTGAAACTCCGTCTCAAACAAACAAAAAGGATCACTGATCAGAGATCACCATAACAGACATAATGATAATGAAAAAATGAGACACAGAGACAGGAAGTGAGCACATGCTGCTGGAAAAAAATGGCAGAGAGATCTGCTCAACACAGTATTGCCACAAAACTTCAATTTGTGAAAAAACACAGTATCTGTGAAGCACAATGAACTGTAAAGTGTAATAAACAGAGGTAAGCCAGTATATGATCATTAGTACTGCTAGAATTCCAAAAACTTAAAATATTAGAGGGGTATCAAAAACTATTAATTTTACAGAAATAGCATAAAACAGAAGCTTCATTTTATTGAGTGCCAATGATATGCCAGGCATAATGCACAAGTATTTTAACACAGACTTCCACTCTCCAAGTATGAAGGATCATATTGGCAGCTGATGTGACTCTCATAGTGGAAAGCAGAACGGTGGAAGTGAGCTCTTATGGCACATGTGCCAGTGGCTTCTGTCCTCACCTAGACCAAGGAAAGCTACATTCTGACAATTTAAGTCAAGATTATTTTAAGAATGTGAATATATATACAATAGGGGGATAAAGATTGGGCATTAAACAATAAGCAAATTTCTTTTACACACCCCACATACTCCTAACTCCCTCCCAAAAGATAGCCAAATATGAAAACATTTACCTTATCTGAACCCCTGAATACATATGATTATAGATATCATTGTCTTCTAGCACTCCATGTCCATTGTCATAAAAATAAACACCAACCTAAAATTTAAAAAAAAAAAAAAAGCTTTTTCAAGGGACAAGTATTTACAAAACAATGTATTTCCCATCCAAGAGTCCAGGCTAATCCTACCTGCTTGCCACTGTGTATCCGGTTTCTTCTCAGTACTGGAGTGCTGCCAGTTGTCACCCAGACTCCAGCTAGAGTGTTACTATAAACTTCATTCTCTTCTATTACTCCTTGTCCCTTTTCATGCTAAATGAAAGTTACACTGGTTATAATATTTATCTTCTATAAGCAAGGCGTTTATAGTCTGTTACCCCCTTTATAGACAGTTAAAAAATTTTCCATTTTTGTTTTTTCATCCGAGTAAGGAGGTAATGGCAATATTCTTTTGTTTTGTTTTGTTTTGAAATGGAGTCTCGCTCTGTCGCCCAGGCTGGAGTACAGTGGCGCGATCTTGGCTCACCACAACCTTCGCCTCCCATGTTCAAGCAATTCTCTGCCTCAGCTTCCCAAGTAGCTAGGATTACAGGCGTCTGCCACCACGCCTGGCTAATTTTTGTATTTTTAGTAGAGATGGCGTTTCACCATCTTGGCCAGGGTGGTCTTGAACTCCTGACCTCGTGATCCACCCGCGTTGGCCTCCCAAAGTGCTGGGATTACAGGTGTGAGCCACCGCGCCCGGCCAACATTCTTTTTATGTAGCCTCTACCTGAGTTTTAAGCTTTCAAAAATTTTATACTGTTCTTTAAGTGGTTTTATACTTTTAATATCACAGTAATAGTAGTAGTAGCATTCAATTTTCTTTAGCAAAAGAAATTAATTCACCCTAGGATGTGTAACAAACTGACGACCTCTCATTTAGTAATAAATTAACAGTTACTTCAAACCTATTTCTCGAGAAATCAATTCAAAATGATATGGCTTCATGTTCCCAAAATTTTTACTTTTAGCAGGTAACTGAGGACATGTGCATCTCTAGAACCATAAATGAAAATTAAAAGTAATGCCTTGCATAAGGACCTTTTTGAAATTTCCTACATTTTCTTACTTGAATCAGTTGCAAAATTTTAGATACCATGAGTGAAGACGATTAATACACAGGTTTCAAAATTTTGAAAGTTATTATATTTTAACATAAATTCAAATGAAAAAGTGGCAGAACTTCAGTGACTCATACAGTAGTCATACTCGTAAAATTCTGGTGTAACAAATATAATAGACTGCAAATGAACTGCTGCTGAGGCTAGCCCATATTGCCAATAATAAAGACTTTAATAAAAAGGTGTTTCTCTTATGGCTAAATTTAGTCAGCTGCTGAGTAAATTTTACATAATTAAACACAAACTTAAAATCAGAAATCATTAAGATACTGGCAGGGAGAAGAAGAACGTTATTTTTGTCTAACTATTAAAGACAGTCACAAATTCATACCTCAAAAGTTGAATATGGCCTACCTAAAAGCTTGAGGAGAAACCCTTTATCCCCCTGGTTTTGATGCATGAGTTTATAGGGAACTATATACATTAACTTACCACATAAATCCCACCATGCTGGCCATCATGAATTTTGTTATGCCGAACAATTGGACAACTGTTTGTCCTAATTTGAATTCCTGCTAATGCATTGCCTATTTAAAAATAAAAGTTACAAGGTCAACATTTGTGAGCCTAGAGAATACAGTAAGGATTTTACATTAGGTAGTGGTTAAAATTCTTACACTAGAATTTTAGTGACCATTACAAGACAAAATTAAGAGAACTAGAAGTGTAAATAGATGCAGAGAGCTGCAGGCAGTATAGTATAGCTATGCTATAGTTGTGGAGCCGAGCTGCCACATTTTGAATCCCAGGAATTCCACTTCCTGTGTGACCCTGAGTAAGTAATTTAACCTCTTTGTGCCTCTGTATACTGATCAGTAAGTATCTTTGTGCCTCTGTATCCTTATCAATATTTAATGGTATCTACCTCACAGTGTTGATGTGAGTATTATATGACTTAACTCAGGTTAAGATGCTCCGCAGAGTGCCTATACTTAGTAAAGCTTTATGTAAGTATTAACCAGGTTAGAGTTACCAGAAGCGAAAGCCCAGGCACATATTGGTGTCTGGCACACAGATATCTACTGATTGTTTGCTGATTTAATGTTCCTAAAACTTTAATGAGGAATAAATATTTTCTTTCTCTAATTAGCACAAAGTATATTAAACTACCACAGAAACAATTAACTATTAAAAAACAGAGTGAAACTATGGAAACTGCAGATATTCCTTGGGACTAAGGTCTTATTTATATTTTCATCCCTGGTATCTGGCATACTGCCTGTGAATACATACCACAGAATAATCTTTATTAAGCATTTAGGCCAGGCGTGGTGGCTCATACCTGTAATCCCAGCAATCTGGGAGGCTGAGGCTGAAACAGGCAGCTCACTTGAGGCCAGGAGTTCAAAACCAGCCTGGCCAACATGGCAAAACCTGTCTCTATTAAAAATGCAAAAATGGCCAGGCGCGGTGGCTCACACCTGTAATCCCAGCACTTTGGGAGACCGAGGCAGGCAGATCACAAGGTCAGGAGATCGAGACCATCCTGGCTAACATGGTGAAACCCCGTCTCTACTAAAAATACAAAAAATTAGCCGGGCGTGGTGGCGGGCGCCTGTAGTCCCAGCTACTTGGGAGGCTGCGGCAGGAGAATGGCGTGAACCTGGGAGGTGGAGCTTGCAGTGAGCCGAGATTGCGCCACTGCACTCCAGCCTGGGTGATAGAGAGAGACTCCGTCTCAAAAGAAAAAAAAAAAAAAGCAAAATTGAGCCGGGCATGGTAGCATGCACCTGTAATCCCAGCTACTCTGGAGGCTGAGGCATGAGGATCGCTTGAACCTGGGAGGCAGGGGTTGCTGTGAGGTGAGATTGTGTCACTGCACTCCAGCCTAGGCAACAGAGTGAGACTCTGTCTCAAAAACAACAACAACAAAAATTAAAGGGCAGCGCATGAGACTCACACCTGCAATCCCAGAATTTTGGGAGACCAAGGCGGGAAGATCACCTGAGGCCAGGAGTTCAAGACCAGCCTGGGCAACAAGGCAAAACCCAGCCTCCACAAATAAATGAGTGGGGCACGGTGGCACATGCCTGTAGTTCTAGCTACCAGGGAGGCTGAAGGAGGAAGATCGCTTTGAGCCCAGAAGTCTGAGGCTGCTGTGAGCCATGTTTGTGCCACTGTGCTCCAGTCTGCACAAGAGAGTAAGACCTCATTTCTTTAAAAAAGAAAAAAATTAAAGAGCTGGATCAGTGCTTCCACTTGGGTAGTTTCAAAATGTTCCATCATTTTGCTAATATCAAGAAGACATACAAATCTATAAGTTTTATAGAACAAAACCATACGCTTACCATAAATGTCATTTCCTTCAATAAGGCCTCGTCCATCACCAAAGATGTAAACTCCTCCTTGATTTCCATTAAATATAGAATTTCCCCTATAATTATGCGAAATAAAAAAAAAGAAGACATCTATTCAGCCAAACTTACTTGTTTTATACAACGGTAAGGCCCCTCATGGTCATATAACAAATTACATAAACTTCTAAGGCCTCAATTTCTTCATTATTTCTAAGGCCTAAGACTTTGGAAAAGTCAGACTACTATTTGAAAGAACATATGTAGCATTCTTAAAAATTCCCCTCAAAACAGCTAATACATTCAAAACAATTTTTTAGCTGATCTAGAAACATTTGATGACTATTAACAAGATGGAAATCCCAAAATCTACTTCCATAAAGCCAATGGAAAATAAAATTTGACAATTAAAAATAATTCATAGTGTCTGATTAGATTATAATACCTTTGGTTCTACAATTTTGGCTTATTAAGGGAAAATGACAGCTTGCAGTTTTTGACTTTTTGATAATTTTAGTCTTTCTGGCCAAGAATCTTTGAGATATTTTTCCTGAATTATTCTATTTGCTAACTTCAGAAAAAAGAAGACAAAGTCCTTCAAGCTCCAAGGGGAGGTAACAGTCCTATTTACTCATCTATAATGCAGTTTGATGAATTTAAAATAAAAATCACAGCATTTGCAATTTTTCATAATATCACATATGGTTTATATCACTAATAAAAAGAAAAATAAAAACACCAAAAAATAAATCTGCAATAGCTATGGCTCATTCAGATGCACAGACTTTAACTAGGAAAATCTATTTTATAGTAGTCAAATGTCTAACAAAAACTTTCAAGAGTTAAAGCTCAATATCTTGACTTTTAAGCAAACCTTGAAGTGAAAAAGTAATTTTCACCCATAATTATATGTAAATACCTTATTGTTGGGTCACTATTTGAGGTAATCCATACACCTGCAAAGTTGTTTGCATAGATTTTATTCTCTATGAATTGTCCTCTTCCTTTTTCATGGACATATATTCCTCCAGTCTGCCCATGGTGAATTTCACATCGAACCACTGTAGGGTTAGCATAGGCTTTTACTTCAAAGCCTGCTATCCTATTTCTGTGTATATTGCAACTTTCAAAGTAACCCTGAAAAATACAGAAATTAAATCTGTAGGTAAAGCCTACTTTACAAAAAAAGAAATGCCATTTAAAAAACATTTCAATGCATATCTAAAAATTAAGTATTAGAAACATTTAAGGCTGGGCGTGGTGACTCACGCCTGTTAATCCCAGCACTTTGGGAGCCCTAGGAAGGTGGATCACCTGAGGTCAAGAGGAGACCAGCCTGGCCAACATGGTGAAACCCCGTCTCTACTAAAAATACAAAAATTAGCTGGGTGTGGTGGCTCACACCTGTAATCCCAGGTACTTGGGAGGCTGAGGCAGGAGAACTGCTTGAACCCGGGAGTCAGAGGTTGCAGTGAGCCGAGATTGCGCCACTGCACTCCAGCCTGGGTGACAAGAGCAAAACTCCGTCTCAAAAAAAATTAAAAAAAAAGTTTAAGAATAAAAAGTAGGTATATATACTAAGCTTCAAGTAATGATCATGGAAAGAAAAAGATTTAAATGTTTTAATTTTTTTTTTTTTAACAGACAAGGTCTCACTCTGTTGTCCAGGCTGGAGTACAGGGGCACAATCATAGCTCACGCAGCCTCAAACAATCCTCCCGCCTCAGCCTTCTGAGTAGCTAGGACCATAGAAAGGCACACACCACCATGCCTGGCTAATGACTTAAATGTTTTAGCAAAACAAAGAACTATATACATCCTCTAATAAGTCCAAGTACATTCAAAGGCATGAAGGAAAAACAGCAAAACATCTATTCGATAAATGTAGACGAATACCATTAACTAGTAAGCACATATCCTTCAACAAAAGGTTAAAGTCATTAAGAATATAAACTCTGGCTGCCTTAAAAATGTCCCAACAAGTCAGCTTCTAAAAGTTGTGGCTGGGCCTCCCAGCACTTTGGAAGACCGAGCAGGGAGGACTGCTTGAGCCCTGGAGCTCGAGACCAGCCTGGGTAACAGTGAGACGTCGTCTCTACAGAAAAAGTTAAAAACAAAATTAGCCAGGTGTGGTGACATGTGCCTATAAGCCTAGTTACTAGGGAGGCTGAGGTGGGAGGACTGTTTGAGCCTGGGAGGTTGAGGTTGCAGTGAGCCGTAATCACACCATCGCACTCCAGCCTGGACAACAGAGTCTCAAAAATAAATAAAGGTTGACCAAAGAACACAATCAGAGTCTTAAAATAAGAGCAATTTTTTTAAAAAGTTCACCTTAGCCCATTAATAGAGAACTGGCTAAATACAATGTTTTTGAAGACTTAGGTTCATCCTACACATGTTAAATGAAAAGAACAAGTTTTAAAGTAGTATACATTATGTATAATCTCAATTTTGTTTAAAGGGAACTTGAAGGATGGAACAAAAACGTGAGATGATTATGAGTGGTGGAATTATGGATAATTATGTGTTTCTTCATACTTTGAATTTCTTAAATTTCCTATATAATGGACATGTTTTACTTTTATAATGATAATGGAAGTTACCATAATTCTGATATCCTTAGGCCAAAGACTAAATGCAGACTGAATATTAAGAAAAAACGGAATGTGCTTACTCTCTTTCCTCTTTAAAATCCTTTCGGCACTAAGTATTTTTCTCATGTTACTTCCATGTATTGCCTTATATTATTTCGATATTTATATATGTCCATTTCTACCCCACTGTAAGCTCCTGTCTGGACTATTCTAACTTCTGGAGCATGTATGTAAGACTTTACACACAGTAAGTACTCAAACAGGATTTGATGAATTTTTTTTGCCAAATTTAGTAGAGGTTAAAAAGGGGATATTCTGAATACTCTAGTATACTATATGTTTAACTCTTCAAGAAAACAGGCCTCCAAGAATAACATACAAAAGTAGTTTTCAGACTTCATTTTCTAATAAAGAACAAATTATCTATAACTTATATCTCTATATTTGGATTATAACCTTATTCTTTTTTAAAACAAATCAGGAGCTATATAAAAGATAGCGTCTTCAAATATAAAACTTTTTCTTTGATTTTATACAGAATAAAAGTGAATACACACTGGGTGTATAAATACACTGTTATGGCAAAACTGACCATCAAAAAAACAAAAAGAGGCTAGACAAAGAGAACTTAATACTAGATTATTCACCATTTCAGATGTTTTCACCCATGAGGAGGGAGCACAATTAGTATAACTCTTAGTCTCTCTCTGCCAAGAGTTGAATGACATGTCTGGTGGATTTTTTCTTCTTCTTCTTTTTTTTTTTTTTTTTTTTTTTTTAGAGACAGGCTCTCACTCTGTTGTCTGGGTTGGAGTGCAAGGGTGCAATCACTCACTGAAGCCTCAATCTCCTGGGCTCAAACGATCCTCCCCACTCAACCTCCCAAGTAGCTGAGACCACGGGTGCATGGCACCAAGCCTGGCCAATTTTTGTGTTTTTAGTAGAGATGGAGTTTCATCATGTCGCCCAGGCTGGTCTCAAACTTTCAGCCTCAAGCAATCCTCCCGCCTTGGCCTCTCAAAGTGCTGGGATTACAGGTGTGAGCCACCATGCCGGGCCGACAAATCTGACTGGTAAACTTTTACAGCGCTGCAAGCAAAATTTGATACCTCTGAATGCAGTGATACAGTAAAAAAAAATTGATATACACTGACTAAACAGTATTCAAATGCAAGGGATAATCTTTTTGTTTTCTTTAGGTTTTGATTTTACAGAGTTAAGAGACTCAAGTACATCCACAAGTTTTTTTGGTTTTTTTTGAGACGGAGTCTCACTTTGTCACCCAGGCTTGAGTGCAGTGGCACGATCTCGGCTCACTGCAACCTCCATGTCCCGGGTTCACGCCATTCTCCTGCCTTAGCCTCCCGAGTAGCTGGGACTACAGGTGCCGCCACCATGCCCAGCTAATTTTTTGTATTTTTAGTAGAGACAGGGTTTCACCATGTCAGCCAGGATGGTCTCGATCTCCTAACCTCGTGATCCACCCGCCTCGGCCTCCCAAAGTGCTGGGATTACAGGTGTGAGCCACCGCGCCCAGCTGATCCACAAGTTTTTTAAGGCAAATAGCAGCCCTCTCCCTCATTTCCTTTATCCAGAGGGCCCCACTTTTAATTCTTTTAGCTGATTCTTTTGATTCACATCTATTTTATTAAGTAACTCACTGTACTTAGTCTTCACTTTCCAGTTTTAGGTATTATCCACTGACTTCTATTATGGGACAGCAGAATTTAGCTCTCCTACCTCTCTATCCCCCACAATATATACTCACACATTGTATCCTTTCAGTGTAGTTTAACCTTAATTTTGGTTAGATTAGTGTGCTATTCAGAGTTGAGCCATAAAATATGACTTCTTTGCTGCACAATTTTTTGGATTTTTTTCTCCTTTGCTTAGCTTTCTAGTGACAACTCTATCCTAAACTTGTTGCTAGTTGTCCAAATCACCTCTTCTTTTTATTTATTTTTTTGACACAGAGTCTCACTCTGTTGCCCAGGATGGAGTGCAGTGGCCCAATCTTGGCTCACTGCAACCTCTGCCTCCCAAGTTCAAGCGATTCTCCTGCATCATCTCCTATAAATCACCTCTTAATACATTTACATTTACATTAGGTTTACCAATTTATCTTTCTGAACAGCTTTATTGGAGCTTTAACCTGCTCCAATCTGGTTGGCTGCCCTGGTCACAGGCATGCAGTCATTTACCACATTGTATTAATAAATTAGGTTAAGGATTAAATATGTCACCTAATTCCATCAAATATGGAGTTTATAATCTGTATCTTTTGTTTCAGAGTAACTTTCAAGAAAATAAAGCAGCAAAAAGTTTTCTTTTCTCAACGACCTTAAAATGAGAAGCCTCTACATTGGCACAACAATGATTTTACTACCTTTAGAAATGACAAAGATTGATTGACTTATAGTTTTATAATTTTGCAAGAAAACTTATTTTTATTATGGATTCAGTTAATGTAATTTTGCTTCAAGATTTTTTTGTTTGTTTGTTTTTGTTTTTGAGACAGAGTGTCTGTCGCCCAGGCTGGAGCGCAGTGGCGCACTTTCGGCTCACTGCAACCTCTACCTCCTGGGTTCAAGTGATTCTCCTGCCTCAGCCTCCCGAGGAGCTGGGACTTTTGGTGTGAGCCACCACGCCCAGCTAATTTTTGTATTTTTAGTAGAGATGGGGTTTCACTATGTTGGCCAGGATGGTCTGGAACTCCTGACCTCAAGTGATCTGCTCGCCTCGGCTTCCCGAAGTGCTGGGATTATAGGCATGAGCCACTGAACCCGGCCTGCTTCAAGACGTATTTTAATAGAATGCAACTATTTTGTTAAGCAATACCTCTAGTACAAAATAAATCAATAATACAGAACTGTAAGAAATTAGATTTTTTTTTTTTTTTGAGGTGGAGTTTCACTGTCTCCTAGGCTGGAGCGCAGTGGTATGATCTTGGTTCATTGCAACCTCCAAATCCCAGGTTCAAGCAATTTTCGTGCCTCAGCCTCCAAAGTAGCTGGGATTACAGGTGGGTGCCACCATGCCCAGCTAATTATTGTATTTTTAGTAGAGACGGGGTTTTGCCAAGTTAGCCAGGCTGGTCTCGAACTCCTGGCCTCAAGTGATCCACCTGCCTCAGCCTCCCAAAGTGCTGCGATTACAGAGCTACCAAGCCCGGCTGAAAAAAATTTTTTAAGAAGACGGGAATCTCCCTGTCACCCAAGCTGGAGCTATCACAGGTCATTACAACCTTGAACTTCTGGGCTCAATCAATCCTCTTGCCTCAGCCTTCCAAGTAGCTAGGATTATAGGCGTGTGCCACCATGCCCAGCTAATTTTTAGAATATTTCTTTAGTAGAGATAGGGTCTGTCTTGCTCAGGTTGATCTTGAACTCCTGGGTTCATGCAGTCCTCCTGCCTCAACCTCCCGAAGTGCTGGGATTACAGGTGTGAGCCACTGTGCCCAGCCTCTGCTTTGTCTTTTAATGCAAACCACAAAAGTTCCAACATGTATAAATTTTTTGAAGTAAAACATTCTTTATTAAATATGACAAAGTAGGCCAGGCGCGGTGGAGCTCTTGAAGTCAGGAGTTCTAGACCAGCCTGGCCAACATGGTAAAACCCTGTCTGTACTAAAAACACAAAAGTTAGCTGTGCGTGCTGGCAGGCATCTGTACTCCCACCTACTCGGGAGACTGAGACACAAGAATTGCTTGAAGCCTGGAAGGTGGAGGTTGCAGTGAGCCGCGATTGCACCACTGCACTCCAGCCTGGGTGACAGAGTGAGACTCTTGTCTCAAAAAAAAAAAAAAGACAAAATAAAAGGCATTCAAGAGTTTCACAAGAAACTCTCCAGATTAAAAAAGAGAGAAAAATGCTATCTTCATAGAAATAAACTTCCACAACTCTAATCTATAAAAACACTTACCAAATACTGTGAAATCTGGGTAAGAAAGAGGAGGGTGCTGGGAACTAACCAATGTTAGTACCTTAGACTTTCAATGAAGTGTAGTTGTCCCCAAGTAACTAAAGGCTATAATAAGCTTAGCTTATTATTATCTTCTAACTAAAGTGATGAAATCTAATGGCATGAATATGCCATGAATTTTTTTATTTTTTTGACAGAGTCTCACTCCTCTGTCGCCCAGGCTGGAGTGCAGTGGCATGATCTTGGGTCACTGCAACCTCCACCTCCCACCTCCCCACTTCAAGTGATTCTCATGCCTCAACCTCCTGAGAGGCTGGGATTACAGGCACACGCCACCACGAGGCAGTGTTTCGCAGTGTTGGCCAGGCTGGTCTTGAACTCCTGGGCTCAAGGGATCTGCCTACCTTGTCCTCCCAAAGTGTTAGGATTACAGGCGTGACCCACTGCACCCGGCCTCAAAAAATTTTATAGTTATTTGGCACTGCTATGACATTTTATTTATTTATTTATTTATTTTTTGAGACAGAGTCTTGCTCTGTCGCCCAGGCTGGAGTGCAGTGGCGCGATCTCGGCTCACTGCAACCTCTGCCTCCTGGATTCAAGCGATTCTCTTGCCTTAGCCTCTCGAGTAGCTGGGACTTGAGGCGTGCACCAACACACCCGGCTAATTTATGTATTTCTAGTAGAGACAGGGTTTCACCATGTTGGCCAGGCTGTTCTCGAATTCCTGACCTCAGGTGATCTGCCTGCTCGGCCTCCCAAAGTGCTAGGATTATAGGCATGAGCCACCACACCTGGCCTGCTATGACATTTTAATCTTATTTTACAAAAGTAACAACTCTGCACTGAACTGAGTATTAAACAAACAAAAGACAATTGGAGAACTGTGAACATTAAGAGAAAATTTGATGATATTAAGGAATTATTCCTAATTATTGAGGAGTGGATTAGCACTGTGGTTATGTGAAAGAAAAAAAAAACACCCATCTTTTAAAGACACATGGTAAAATATTTACAAGAGATGATGAAGTCTGGTATTTACTTCAAAATAATCCAGAGTGTAAAAAAGGTAGTAAAACGTATGAGGTATACATTAAACAAAATTGGCCATGAAATGATAGTTGTTGAAGGCAGACAATAGGTACCTGGAGAGTCATTACACTATTCTCTCTACTTCAGTGTACGTTAGAAATATTTCATTAAAAAAATGTAAAAATTAAAGGCAACACCCACACTGGAAGCAAAATAGCAGCAGAAAAACAAAACCACGGAGACATGGTAAGGAACACAGATTTGAGGAACTCACACAACACTAAACAGAACAGAACATAGCAATATAAATAACCAGAAAGATAGCTAAGTTTCTAAAGAAAGGAACATATGGAACAGAAAAATAGTAAAACAATACATCAGCAAAAGCCAAAATATGGATACTGAGGTAGAAGAGCAATCTTTCAAGCAAAGAAGAAAGAAAAAAACCCAATGTGATCTCAGAGTTCTCAGCCATGCTCAATGCTACAATAGAAAAATGTCTACAGAATCGTGAGGGAAAGAAAGAAACTCAGCTAAGTTAAAAGGCAATGGATAGGGATTCTCGCATGGCAAGAATTCAAGCTACAATATCCATAAGGCGTTCTTTAAAAAAAACAAACAAAAAATGGCTGGATGACAAAACCTAGCCATACCAAGAATGAATCAAAATTTAAATTCAAGAATGGAGAAACGATGATAAAAGAACTAATGATAAATAAATAAAGAATAAATATAGACCAATAACTGTAGGAATGCAAATATTTTAAACCTTTGCAAAATAAAAATAAAAATGATGGGGTGGAGATAGATTGAAATACTTTATAAATCTTAAAATGTATAAATCTCATTAATCCTTAATGGAAATATCTATCTATAGCATTGTCTAGACTTATTTTTAAAAATGCTGTGATATTTACAAGCCCAAATCTATTCTTTAAAATGGTATAAGGAGTGTGTGTGTGATGAGGAGTAACTTACTATGGTGAACTTTAATAAGGGACCATCCCATCACCAGAGGTCTTTCAAAAATGATGAACTTGGCCAGGTGTGGTGGCTCACGCCTGAAATCCCATGCAAAGGCACACATCTTACATCTTGGCTCACTGCAACCTCCGTCTCCTGGGCTCAAGTGATCCTCCTGTCTCAGCCCCCAAGTAGCTGGGACTACAGGTGTGAGCCACCATGCCCAGCTAATTTTTGTATTTTTTGTAGAGACAGAGTTTCACCATGTTGTCCAGGCTGGTTTTGAACTCCTGAGCCCAAGCGATCCAACTGCCTTGGCCTCCCAAAGTGCTGGGATTACAGGTGTGAGCCACTGCACCCGGCCATGGTCTAGTTTAGTTTAAAAAAAGAGCTCTGCCTTGGCCAGGCGCAGTGGCTCATGCCTGTAATCCCAGGACTTTGGGAGGCCGAGGCAGGTGAATCACTTGAGGCCAGGAGTTCAAGCCCAGCCTGACCAACATGGTGAAACCCTGTTTCTACTAAAAATACAAAATTAGGCAGGCGTGGTGGTGCATGCCTGTAATCCCAGCTACTTGGAAGGCTGAGACATGAGAATCGCTTGAACCAGGAGGTGGAGGTTGCAGTGAGCCAAGATCACACCATTGCCATTGCACTCTAGCCTGGGCAACAAGGGTGAAACTCGGTCTCAAAAAGAAAAAAAAAAAAAAAAAAAAAGAAAAATGAAAATAAAAAAATTTCTTTGTATAGATGAATCCAACATTCCCAGGATTGCTTAATATTGTATAATAGGCAACAAAACCTCACCATAATCCTATTTGCTACAATGTGGTGACCCTCTCTCCCATCTTGGACTCCGCAACAAAAAATTTTACCAATGCTGTATTAGGACTTGAAAATTACCTCAAGGAAAATTTGACATTAAATGAAAAAAAATCTGAAAAGACATTCAAAACATTATTTTGAAATGGTGATCTCAGAGCTCAAAAAGTCATGTCTCTAGAAAATTATGTAAAACTATAAGGTAATACTTAAAACACAGTATATTCCATAAGGATGCCTAATATTAACTGCTGCATAATGGTTTTAAAATTGGTATTTTATCAATGTATCTCCTATTAAAGTTCTGCCAGTTTAAAATTTTCAAGAGGAATTAAATGAAAAGCAAAATAACAATGAAACCATTATTTCTCAAAGTATACTCTACAAACTGTGTTAGATTCACTTATGTTGTTTATTAAAAATACATATTCTAAGCCCCATCCTTGGAAATTTTGATTTATTAAACTGGAGGATACAGGAATTTTCTTTAAAACAGAAAGCTTTTGGGTGGCTTTTATGAACACACATTTGAGACTTAATTAACGAGTTATACCTTACTCCCCTCAAAGATCACATATATTGCCTAAGAACGCTATCACCTCTACATGGATATGTCTGATGCATAAATTTACAGAATAAATATTTCATATTAATTTTAAAAAATAATGCTGAAATTGCTTTTAAACCTATACTCTTCAATTCAGATAATTTGGTGATGAGAAAATAATGCTGAAACATACTTGGAATTTAACTGATACAGAAGTCCGTTTTTCTATTAAAAATAAGTGTTCTTACCATGCCATGATCAAATGTGAACACACCAACATCACGTCCATGATGAATATGATTCCGTCTAATAATTGGGTTTCCATGATTTTTAACCCAAATCCCAGCTAACGCATTATTGGAAATTTCATTATCCTCATATATTCCCTACAACAAGTTATCAGAAACAAACATCAGTAGAGCTTTTAAACATTTTCTAAAAAGAAAAAAACCACACAAAATTAAAAAATACCTGTGCATGATCTGTTATATATAGTCCAACATTTTCACAGTCACTGATGTTACAGTGCTTGATGGTGGGACATGCTCCTTGACCACTAACACATACTGCAGAACCAACTGTAGAAAAATTATTTATTTATGTAAAAACCTACTGGGCAACATACAGTGACTCAAAATTTTATTGTAAAATATAAAGAAAACACTAACCTGTACATGTACTTCGGATGATACAGTGATCAATAATAGGGCTACAATTTACTGTAATCTCTAAGCAGTGGTGTGCATTGTGGTGTTGTGCAGATTTGTCATCAGGGTTAAACTGAAAAGTAAAAATTTTGTTTGAAATAAACAATTACTGCCTTTATGATTTCAATGTGTATTTTAAATCTTAACATGTCTTACCCTTATTGTCATATATCCAACATAAGCATCTTCAGAGCCTTCCATAAAAACGAAGGTTGAATCTCTAGTGTTTTCAATTATAACTTTGTCTGCCACTTTCCCAGGTGCTGTGGAGAAGATATTTTAAAGAATATTACCTTTATTCGATTTCAACAGATGGGTATCTTTATGGAGGGGGAACTTACTAAAAACATTAGTACTGAGTAGTGGGACTAATATTCACTATCAGTTAACTATGTTTCATCATCAGCCTTTGCTATATTCAAATCCATGCACAGTATTACTTCTAATAACATTTAACTATAAATACTATGAATATAAAATGCAACGGCATATTAAAAAATGGTTTCTTGTGGAAACAAAAACAAAAAATGGTTTCTTGTGGAAACCATTCTGTTTCCAGCAGCAGCACTGGAAACAGAAGCTCAAGAAGAGAAGAGACCTCTATTTAAATTTATTTCCAACAGTGGCCTCGATTTAGAAAGTAATAAAATCACCAGACAAACATTTGCTCTAATCTATTCTCCCCATCTTCATGAGGAGATAGAGGAAGAAAGCAAAAGAGGCTGTAAATGCAAATTTCACTAGCAAATAATAATTACTAGCTATCTTAAAATGTTCTATGTACTGTATCCTCAAAATAAAAAAACCACAAATCTTCAAATGACTCAGTGTTTGACAGATATTACATTT
The DNA here is from genome assembly GCF_000001405.40 of Homo sapiens. Lineage (NCBI taxonomy): Eukaryota > Metazoa > Chordata > Mammalia > Primates > Hominidae > Homo > Homo sapiens. The sequence goes on from NC_000002.12 coordinate 47,833,657, forward strand.
ATTCTTAGAAACCTGACCATAAATAGCTTTGAAATAGTACAAAAGTATTTAAAAATTCTATTTCAGTTCCTTTAAAAACATAGCAATAGAAATATTAGCATCTTTCTTTGCAATTCTCCTGCCTCAGCCTCCAGAGTCGCTGGGATTACAGGTGCACACCACCACACCTGGCTAATTTTTTTTGTATTTTTAGTAAAGATGGGGTTTCACCATGTTGGCCAGGCCAGTCTTTAACTCCTGACCTGAAGCGATCCACCCACCTCAGCCTCCCAAACTACTGGGTTTACAGGTGTGAGCCACCACACCTGGCTGCATCTTTATTTTCAAATAAAAGATGAAAAAGCTATTTTTCTTCGTTTAATGAATAACTCAAGGCAAATGGAGAAAGTACTAACATTAGGAAACATATACAGCCAGGCACAGTGGCTCATGTCTGTAATCCCCGCACTTTGGAAGGCCGAGATGGGCAAATCACTTGAGGCCAGGAGTTTGAGACCAGCCTGGCCAACATGGCGAAACCCTATCTCTGCTAAAAATACAAAAATTAGCCACGCATGGTGGTGCATGCCTATAATCCCAGCTACTTGAGAGGTTGAGGCATGAGAATTGCTTGAACCCAGGAGGCAGAGGTTACAGTGAACTGAAATTGTGCCACTGCACTCTAGCCTGAGTGACATAGCTAGACTCTGCATCAAAAAAACAAAAAAGGTTGGGGGGGGCGGGGAGAAAGAATTTATATACAGCTATAATTTCTGAACTCTTATGTTTTCACTTCCTTCACTTAAAATATGTGTGATATCTTCATTCCTACTTTACCAGCAGGATATTATAAAACTGGATTTTAAGTCACTAGCATTTTTAAAATCCTATCACATAAATGAGTAAAATATTAAAATTTTAATGACAATGCATTTCAAAATACCTGCACCAATCATGGTGATTGGAGATTCAATATATATCCATTCATCAGTATATATTCCAGAATGAACAAAGATAAGTCCATCAAAATGAGCCTCTTGTACCCCACCAAGGGCATCTTCAATAGTATCATAATACTAGAAAAAAATAAATGTGTCAGTACAGAACTGAAAGATTACCATTTTAAGTCATAAAAATAAAAATCAAACATACCAACATATTTTCTCTTCCTTTATATCTTGCAGGGTTACTGTAGAAATGTTCAGCAAATCCTGGCTTTACATGTGCACCTTTATACTAAAATGTCAAAAACAAAACAAAACCATTGACTACTAACATAAACCTTATATTTAAATTAATGTACAATTGCATGAACAACTTTTATTACAAATCAAAAATAATTCTCAACTATTCCAAATAATTTTCTGTCAGAGTACAATGTAAAATCTAAAACAAGTTATGATCCGGTAATATCCAGAAACAAAGAACAGGGTTTCTCAATCTCAGCATTACTGATATTTTAAGTCAGTTAATTCTTTGTTATGGGGGCTGTCCTGTGCACTGTAGGATGTTTAGAGGTATCCCTGGCCTCACCCAGCCAAATAGCAGCAGCACACTCTCCTCCCATTGTGACAATCAAAAAATGTCTCCCGACATCGCCAAATGTCCCACAGAAAGCAAAATCATCTCCAGCTGAGACTCACTCACGAAGGGCCGTATAACAATTAAGCTAAATGTGGAACTTTAAAACAAATGCTGAACACTAATAATTTAAATACAAGTTCAAACAGACCCATTGAAATCACAACTGCTCTTAGGCTACTAATGCTTACTGTACTAACTTATTAATGGGGGGATATGTCAGTAGTGAAAAGAATTGCTGAATATTCTGTTGGTTGATAAATGTTCATTAAAACCTACTCAACTTTTTTTTTTTCCCTGAGACAAGAGTCTCACTCTGTCGCCCAGGCTGGAGTGCAGCAGTGCAATGTCAGCTCTCTGCAACTCTGCCTCCTGGGTTCAAGTGATTCTCCTGCCTTAGCCTCCGAAGTAGCTGGGACTACAGGTGTGCGCCACCATGTCCGGCTAATTTTTGTATTTTTAGAAGAGATGGAGTTTCGCCATGTTGGCCAAGCTGGTCTCGAACTCCTGACCTCAGGTAATCCTCCTACCTCGGCCTCCCAAGGTGCTGGGATTACAGGTGTGAGCCACCACGCCCAGCCTAAACTTATTTCTTAAAAGAAAGTTATTTACAAATGTATAATATAAACCAATATATTCTATTTATATTTCATACCAACTGCTGGAAACTCTCTTTCCAGGGATTTGGATGTTCATACTCTTCTGGATTAATCTGGTAGAATTTTCCAGGTTCAGGATGCATCATAGGGCGAGTATATTCAAATACTTCCATATATAATCGTTTCCTGAACAGAGAAAGGAATTAAAATTTTCTTGATAAAATGTCCTTTAGATTAATACAGTTTTGAACAACTATAACAATTATTTGAGGCCTCAAAAACTTGAGTAAGAAAGTAAGAATAGACAAAAATGAATATTAAATCACAGGATTTTTTTTTTGAGACACAGTCTCACTGTCATCCAGGCTAGAATGCAAGTGGCATGATCTTGGCTCACTGCAACCTCCCTCTCCCAGGTTCAAGCCTCAGCCTCCTGAGTAGCTGAGATTATGGGCATGTGTCACCACGCACAGCTAAAAACAGGATTTAAAACGTGAAAACGTATTTTTCACATTTAAAATTTTCAGTGTAGTTGCATATGGAAATTATGTTTTTTTCCTTTTTTTTCTTTGAGACATAGTCTATTTCTATCACCCAGGCTGGAGTGCAGTGCCACGATCTCAGTTCACTGCAACCTCTGCCTCCTGGGCTCAAATGATCCTCCCACCTCAGCCTCCCAAGTAGCTGGAACTACAGGCACATGTTACCCAGGCTGGTCTCGAACTCTGGAGCTCAAGTGATTTACCCACCTCAGCCTCCCTAAGTGCTGGGATTACAGGCGTGAGCCACCATGCCTGGCCGAAAATTAGTTTTCCTGCAAAAATTTTCACAATGTAACTGCGTATGAAAATTTGTCCACACAGAACAACAAAAAGTTTCAATTTCCTTACAAACTGTTTACTCAGGAAGGGGAAAAAAAGTTATCCTTACTGTAAAAACATCATGATTATCACTTAAAAAGATAATTTTCTTTCTTTTTCTTTTTGAGACAGAGTCTCACTCCCGTTGCCCACACTGGAGTGCAGAGGCGTGATCATGGCTCATTGCAGCCTTAACCTCCCAGGTTCAAGTGATCCTCTTGTCTTATTTTTTGATTTTTTTTTGTAGAAATGAGGTCCCAGTATGTTGCCCAGGCTGGTCTCAAACTCCTGGGCTCAAGTAATCTGCCCACTTCAGCCTCCCAAAGTGCTGGGATTATAGGCGTGAGCCACTTCGCCTAGCCTAAAAAGATAATTTTCAGTAAAAATACTTTGAACTTAATTTGTCCTATATCTTCAGTCCATTTATATCCTATCAAGCACAATGAAATCTTCAAACTGGAGTAATGGCTAACTATTATCATTTCTGGTACAGTGAGCAATGCTGTTTTGTTCTGCTGCTCTTCATTCTCATTTCTCCTTTGTAATTTTTCTCTTAAATGTAAGGTGTGGGCCGGGCACAGTGGCCCATGCCTGTAATCCCAGCACTTTGGGAGGCCCAGGCAGGAGGATCACCTGAGGTCAGGAGTTCAAGACCAGCCTAGCCAACATGGTGAAACCCTGTCTCTACTAAAAATACAAAAAATAGCTGGGCATGGTGGGAGGTGCCTGTAATCCCAGCTACTCAGGAGGCTGAGGCAGGAGAATTGCTTGAACCCGGGAGGCAGAGGTTGCAGTGAGTCAAGATTGTGCCACTGCACTCTAGCCTGGGCAACAAGAACGAAACTCCGTCAAAAACAACAACAAAAACATATATATATATGGTGCACCTTTTGTGCATCATAAAAGTAATACATATAACCGTTGTAAAACAAAGAAGTGTAAAGAACTATAGTTTCAATATATTAACTATTAACAGTCTGCCATATTTGCTTCCACTCATTTTATCTACAGATCATTTATTATAGTTGTGATTATATAGCATATACAATTTTGTACTCTGTTCTTTTCTTTAAAAAACAGGGTCTCCGTCTGCCGCCCAGGCTGCAGTGCAGTGGCACGATCACGGCTTTCTGCAGCCTTGACTTCCTGGGCTCAAATGATCCTCCTGCCTCAGCCTCCGGAGTAGCTGGGACCACAGGCAGGAGCCACCACACCTGGCCTCTTTTCACTTTTTATAACAGCATTTTTTTCATCTTATTAAAAACCTGGGCTGGGTGCAATGGCTCATGCCTATAATCCCAGCACTTTGGGCGGCCGAGGTAGAAGGATCACTTGACCCCAGGAGTTCAAGATCAGACTGAGTAACAGAGTGAGACCCTTTGTCTCAAAAAAAAAAAAAAAAAAAAAATTAGCTGGGCATGGTGACACATGCCTGTGGTGCCAGCTACTCAGGAGGCTGAGGTGGGAGAATGGCTTGAGCCCAGAGGGTTGAGGCTGCAGTGAGCTAGGAGCGTGACACTGCACTCCAGCCTGGGTGACAGAGCAAGACCCTGTCTCTCAAAAAACAAATGAAAATCTCTTTGTAAAAATTACTATTAGTGGTTATATCACAACTCTCCAAGTACACATTACACAGTTTATGTAGTTCATTCCCTTAATTCTGGATATTTAGATTATTTATAATTTTTCTCATTATTAACTAGGCTGTTACGAAAAATCTGTACATAAAGCAAAAAAAACTTTTCAGAAGTAGAATTACTGGGTCAAAGGGCATGACCCAGTAATTACTGGGTCAAAGGGCATGAATTATTTAAAGATTCATGAATACAACTGTTTTCCAAAAGTGATATATAAAACCTACATTCTAATCTATCAGATTTAAAATTCATTAGCTATTTTAAATTACACTGTTATGTTTCTAAAAAGCTACTAAAAGAAAAACATTTCCCATAATCAATCAGTTGCTATTAACTGATAAACAGCAGATAAAAGACTTCATTTACTGATTTATAAATACCACCTGGACTGACAGCCCCCATTTGTAACTTGGAATTGATAAGCATTTTAATTTTGTTCCAACTAATTGTAACTACCAACTCACCGCACCGACTTTCCTACCATGTTTAGCATTTTGGGCAACAAATAACATATCTCAAGTTAATAAGGAATAGGTTTTTACTTACCACAAAATTGGATCATTAGCAAGTTCACTGAAGCGTTTACATACACAAGCTGCTCTACAAAGATCCTGTTCCAGCAAGTAAGAGAAGATTTTTAGAACCACTTCATCTGGCAGTTTCTCCTGAAGATACTGTTCAGCAGGTGCTGCTATAAAGAGATTAACATATAAACTATCATTCGAGCAATAACTTTCTCATTATTTAAAGAACACAGTTTTCATTTTATCTAATGAATAGCTTTTTTTTTTTGGATAATGGTCATTTTATAAGCATGTGGGTTTCATGGGTAACACATATTTATCTCTATCCTGAACTAACAAAAGTACTCCTTCTTTTAGGTATTATGTGCCATCTCAGAAATGGTTAAAATAAATACATAAAAAGCATTTTTATACAACAATAAAAGTCAGAGGGAGAGGTCAGGGTTCTAAAGTTTATTCTGTAATAATCACTTTCTGAATCCCAAAGGTAATACTCGAATACACTTAATTTTCATTTTTTGGTATCAAGCAAAATTAAAAAAAATTATTTTACCCTATTTGTTACTTTCCCACAGGAAATACCTGATAGATCTTGTGATTTTCCAGACACTCTTGCACGTTTTGCACGATGACCAAAGTTTTCTGTAGTTGAAGTTGAGGCGCCCTTCAAAAACAAAACAGAAACTAGTAAAGCAAATATTCTTATCATCCATAATCATTACTTCTAAAAAAGGATGACATTCCCTTTTTTGTTTCTTGAAAATTCTTTCATTACAAAAAGAAAAGCAACTACAGTTAAAGTTACCTCCATACTGTTCTTTGTGGGACACGCTGTTCTTTTCGGCAAAAGAGTTTTTCTACGAAGTTGGTATGGACTATTTTGTGCACCAGGACCTGATTCTTCTGCAACCATATCTGCAGGCACATCATCATCTGTTATAAACAAAAGCAATAAGAAAAATTATACCCTTTTTAAAAAAAGTTCTATGGATACAGAAAACTTTCTTAAAACTTCAAATTCGGGAGGGAGCAGATGTAAGTTTTATATGAAATTCCAACCAACTGGATAGCTATATGAAAGAAATGTTAGATTTCTATAAAATGTGGAAGATTTTTTTTTTTTTTGAGACAGAGTCTCGCTCTGTCGCCCAGGCTGGAGTGCAGTGGCGCAATCTCGGCTCACTGCAAGCTCCGCCTCCTGGGTTCACGCCTTTCTCCTGCCTCAGCCTCCCGAGTAGCTGGGACTACAGGCGCCCGCCACCACGCCCAGCTAATTTTTTGTATTTTTAGTAAAGATGGGGTTTCATCGTGGTAGCCAGGATGGTCTTGATCTCCTGACCTCGTGATCCACTCACCTCGGCCTCCCAAAGTGCTGGGATTACAGGCGTGAGCCACCACGCCCAGCCGTGGAAGACTTTTTTTTAAAAAAAGGTGAGGAGGATATCCACTTGCTGAGAGGAGTGGGAAGGGAACTGGTACTACATGGTTAGAGACCATATATGGTGAAGGCAGCTTGGCAAGGAGTGTGTCTATGAAGAGGAACGGCTCAATATAGTGCATGAGATACCAGGTAGGTTAAAAAGGGTGTCAGAGGGTAGTCTGGTGTATGAACATCTTTTTTTTTTTTTTTTGGAGATAGGGTCTCATTCTGTCACCCAGGCTGGAGTGCAGTGGCCCGATCACAGCTCACTGCAGCCTCAACCTCTTGGCCTCAAGCAATCCTCCTGCCTCAGTATCCCAAGCAGCTGGGGCTACAGGCATGCACCACCACCCAGCTAACTAAAAAACAATTTTTTTTGGTGAGATGGGGTCTCACTATATTGCCCAGGCTGGTCTCAGACTCCTGGGTTCTAGCAATCCTCCCACCTTGGCCTCCAAAGTGCTTTCAACAGAGCACGGCTGCAGTGAGCTATGATCACACATCTGCACTCCAGCCTGGGTGACAGAGCAAGACCCTGTCTCAAAATCAGTCAGTCAATCCATCCATCTATGAGTTCATAATAATACTTTAAAAATTAAAAAAAAAAAAAGATTATTTGAAAGATGCTAGTGGAAACCAACCCATCATGTTGAAAACTTGTAAATAACACAGTGGCTCAAGCCTGTAATCCCAGCACTTTGGGAGGCCAAGGTGGGCGGATCACGAGGTCAGGAGATCGAGACCATCCTGGAAAACACAGTGAAACCCCATCTCTACTAAAACTACAAAAAATTAGCCTGGTGTGGTAGCGGGCGCCCGTAGTCCCAGCTACTCAGGAGGCTGAGGCAGGAGAATGGTGTGAACCCGGGAGGCAGAGCTTGCAGTGAGCCGAGATCATGCCACTGCACTCCAGCCTGGGCAACAGAGCAAGACTCCGTCTCAAAAAAAAACCAAAAACCAAAAAACAAAACTGGTAAATAACACCAAATAAGCAAACACTTATTCTTCCTTTCTTACATAAACTGAATCACCAGGTAGCAAAGTATTAGATGAGGGGAAGCTTCTCTATAGAAACATTCCAGTAATGAAGGGATAATAAAATTAGAGAATCACCATTCTGCTATCTCTAATGAGTTAACAGATTTAACCAATGAGTACCAATAGTTTGTAAAATCACAAAAACAACCAGTAGTGTATATATCTCCTATACCACTACCTATAAAGTCTGGCCAAAAACATCAAACCTGAATCCGATCAAACCTGTAAGAAACTCTACAGGTCCAACTATCAGTTTCTTAACAAATAAACTGGACAAAAACAGTGGGAGAAAAATAAGGAAAACTTTATAAAACACATTAAGAATGTACCCTTTGGTATTCAAATTATTATTATTATTATTATTTGAGATGGAGTCTCGCTGTGTCGCCAGGCTGGAGTGCAGTGGCGTGATCTCAGCTCACTGCAACCTCCACCTCCTGGGTTCACGCCATTCCCCTGTCTCAGCCTCCTGAGTAGCTGGGACTACAGGCACACACCACCATGCCTGGCTAACTTTTTGTATTTTGGTAGAGACGGGGTTTCACCATGTTGGCCAGGATGGTCTCTAACTCCTGACCTCGTGATCCCCCCACCTCGGCCTCCCAAAGGGCTGGGATTACAGGCGTGAGCCACTGTGCCCGGCCAAATTATTTTTTAAAAAGCTAGAAAATGATTATAATACAAATGCTTTTAGTGGGGAAGGAGGAGAATATCAGTTTTATTTTTATTTTTTTTTTTTGAGACAGAGTCTCGCCCTGTTGCCCAGGCTGGAGTGCAGTTGCGCGATCTCGGCTCACTGCAACCTCCGTCTCCTGGGTTCAAGCCATTCTCCGGCCTCAGCCTCCCGAGTAGCTGGGACTACAGGTGCACGCCACTATGGCCAGCTAATTTTTGTATTTTTGATAGAGACGGGGTTTCACAATGTTGGCCAGGATGGTCTTCATCTCTTGACCTCGTGATCTGCCCGCCTCGGCCTCCCAAAGTGCTGGGATTACAGGCGTGAGCCACCGGCGCCCGGCAGGAGGAGAATATAATTAGAATGGGAAACATAAAAGGCTTAGTAGTAGCTGGCAAAGTTCTAGTTCTTGCCTTGTTGGTATTACAAAGATAATACCTTAATAATAACTCAACAAGCTGTGTATTTGTGTTTTATGTAGGTTTCTCTACCTAGCTATATTTCATAATAACAAAGGTATAAAAAGGGGGGAGAGTTTGTAAAAGTGTAATATTTAAAAGTAGAGATTTCCAGTCAGCTAACCTTGGGTGTAAATTAACATTTTTAAGCCTACATTTTCTCATCTATTAAAGATAAGAGTATGTTATAATTGAAAGCTGCTAAAAACTTAAATATATGTAAAACACACAGTATGCCTGGGCTCATATGCAGAGTTCAAGAAGTATTTCAATTACTATTATTTCATTTAAATATTATTCGATTAACATCACTTTCAAATGAAACTTGGAAAAACAAGTAAATTTTTCTTTAAAAAAAAAAAAAAAAAAAGATACAGGGTCTCACTTTGTCACCCAGGCTGGAATACAGTGGCACAATCATGGCTTACTGCAGCCTGTATCTCCTGGGCTCAAGCAGCCCTCCCACCTTGGCCTCTCGAACAGCTGGAACTGCAGATGTGAACCACCACACCTGGCTAATTAAAAACAACTTTTTTTTGTAGACACAAGGTCTCACCATGTTGTGCAGGCTAGTCTCAAAACTGCTGAGCTCAAGTGATCCTCCTGCCATGGCCTCCCAAAGTGATGAGATTATTATAGCTGTGAGTCAATGTGCCCAGCTTGTAAATTTTCCATGTACTGCAGGAATCACAAAAAGCAGCCAGTATGATACGCCTAGGCATTTGTGGAACTCTCTCCCTTTGAGGTCTAATATGTGTAATTCTATAAATGTTTGTATATTAATAATATGACCAGTAAACGTCCTATGTGTGCTTGAAAGGAACATCAACACTAATTTTTAGAGTAGGGTTTAAACATGTCTAAAAAGATCTAGCTTGTTAATTGTGTTGTTCAAATAGTCTCTATGCTTACATTTTTTCACTTTTGTTGAGGGTGGTGGTGGTTTATTCATTGGCTTCTGAAGGAAATGTGCTGAAATCTCCCACCATATTTGTAGTTAATCTTTTTTTTTTTTTTGCCTGCAAATTTTTGCTTTATGTGCTTTGAGACAATATTATTTGGACACACAGATTCAAGATAACTATTTCTTCCTGGTGAATTATTCCATTCTTCATTATGTAATTAATGGCTTTCTTCATCATCTTCATTATGTAATGGCTTTCTTCATCACTAACAATGCTTTCTGCCTTACAAATCTATTTTTGGTCTATCAGCTTTCTGTTTTGGTTTGTGTCAGTCTAGTATTTTTTAAATCCTTTATTTTCAATTTCTTACTTTTATGGATTACATTTTAGATTTGCTGCTGCTTCTTCTTCTTCTTCTTCTTTTTTGAGATGAGTCTTGCTCTGTTGCCCAGGTTGGAGTGCAATGGCGTGATCTCGGCTCACTGCAACCTCTGCCTCCTGGGTTCAAGCTATTCTCCCACCTCAGCCTTCCGAGTAGCTGGGATTACAGGCACGCGCCACTACGCCCGGCTAATTTTTGTATTTTTAATAGAGACGGGGTTTCACTATGTTGGCCAGGATGGTCTCGAACTCCTGACCTCAAGGTATCTGCCTGCCTCAGCCTCCCAAAGTGCTGGGATTACAGGCATGAGCCACTGTGCCTGGCCTAGATTTGCTTATTCTTAACCATTTATTGCTAGACTTTTGCTTTTCAGCCAAGGCAAGAGTATCTGTCTAATCTGTAATTTAACCCATCTACTGCCAATTTCCATGATTATATTTTTAATTTCTAAAAGTTAATTTTTTCCAAGTTTTACTGTTTCTTTTTCACACTGATCTATTACCTCATTGCTTCATTTCCTTCTTTTATCCCTTCAATCATTTCACTCACATTTTATATTCTCTCTTAGATTGTTCTGTCATTGACTTTGTTCTTGAGTGAGCATTTGACTAGTGGGCACTTTTTCTAATCTCTATGCGTAATTAGGGAAGTTATTTCAGGCTCTAGGCCACATGCCTGGGTCTTTGTTTCAGATATATTTTGAAAAGGCCCAAGGCCATATATCCTATCCCCATATGTGCAATAAAATTCAACCCCAGACCCCTTAGAACATATGCAGGACCAAAAGCCCCCTGTGCTATATACAGCAACACTAGCTCCCGCTTACTGTTCTGATTTTATTTCTCTGATTTCTGATACCTATGAATTTTCCTCCTCTTCTTTCCTTCCTTAAAAGTTTAGTTATATGTTTATAGTTTTGTTCTTAATGCGTATTTCTTTTGTTCGTTTTGTTTTTGAGACAGGGTCTCACTCTGTCACCCGGCTGGAGTGCAGTGGTGGGATCTCGACTCACTGCAACCTCCGTTTCCCTGGCTCAAGCAATTCTCCCACCTCAGTTTACAGGTGTGCACGCCACCATGCCTGGCTAATTTTTGTATTTCTGTAGAGACATGGTTTTGCCATGTTGCCAAGGATGGGTCTCAAACTCCTGAGCTCAAGTGATCCGCCTAACTTGGCCTCCCAAAGTGCTGGGATTACAGGCATGAGCCACTGTGCCCAGCCCTTATTACATATTTCATTTTGATATGTTTGTAGTATGCATGCATGTGGGTTAATGTCTCTATCAGCTTGTTTGCCATTTCCTTCAGTAGTCAGTCCAATTCTACAACACTCAAAAGTACATTCTCAAACTTTTCATCCTATACAACTCCCTCCTCCTTTCCTCACCTTCACCTTCTTAAAATCTGTGGACCTTATTACTACAGACACCCACCCACCCCACCCTGGAATCCTTTGCTTCTCACCAAAGACACAGCAAATAGTAAAGACTGAAAAGTAAGGAATTCAGAGGTCCTAACAGGAAAGAGAAGGTGCTAATTAATTCATTTGCATCCTAAAATGTACAGCAAATAAATTCAAGAAGCTACATGATTTAAGTCATGAATACCACAGAAATCTCAACTTCCCACTTGTAAACACTGTCCTGAAGTGCTCATGAGTTATAAAATCACTGTTTTGAACTCTGCGCTGAAGAATATGTGCTAATTTCTACATAGTTCTCATATTAAATTACTACTGACTGTTCTGAGAATCAAGTACAGTGCCAGAAGTTACTTAAAAAGGGATCATTCTGGGAAGATAAGTTGGCTACTACTGTGATAAGCAGCAAAACAGAAAGCTTAAAAGAAATCTCTAGTCATTTGGGTTCGCTTCATCTTTTGAACTCCTGTAGTACTGAATATATACCGTATATACCTTACTATACCTTAGCTGCCTTATGTTATACTTACTTTTTTTATTATATGCCATATTTCCCTAACAAAATTATAAGCTCTGAGGGCGAGGCAGGGTAACAAGGGTGCCCTCTTTTATATTCTTCAGTGTTTAGCTTGGTGCCCAATCAGTACTCAATAAATACTGATTCCCATCAATGGAGAACCCTTTAATTTTACTCAATTCAGGGAGTTCTTCGTAGAAGCCATCACTAGTGGTGGCTTATCTCCTACTTTACAGGAAAAAAAAAAACCAAACAAGAACTGCCTTAACTTCCTTCCAACATCCAAATCCACAAATGCATTTACATGTAGATCCATTATTTTTTGTCCCCTCCTGAAATTATGGAGAAGTATTCCCCCAAAACAGACTTAGCATACATGAAACAAAAAATATTTGTTACATTAAATAAAAATGAATAAAGCCAACGATCCATGATAGATGCGGCAAACTGGCTCCAACCCAAGAAACACGAAATCATGGATTAGTTATGGTTTTGTGCCAACAAGTCTAAAAGCAAGACCTTAAAATAATTTTGGCCAGGCGTGGTGGCTCATGCCTGTAAATCCCAGCACTTTAGGAGGCCCAGGCGGGCAGATCATCTGAGGTTGGGAGTTCTAGACCAGCCTGGCCAACATGGAGAAACTCCGTCTCTACTAAAAATACAAAATTAGCCAGGTTTGGTGGCGCATGCCTGTAATCCCAGCTACTCAGGAGGATGAGGCAGGAGAATTGCTTGAACCTGGAAGAAGGCGGCTGCGATGAGCGGAGATCATGCCATTGCACTCCAGCCTGGGCAACAAAAACGAAACTGTTTCAAAAAAAAATTTTTTTTTAATTTTATGGTTTTCATTTTTATATCTAATAGAATATTATGCCAATGATTGTCAAGTTGTAATCAAAGACTTAAAAATAACCCTCTACCAAAAATGTTCAATTTTAACTATAATTCACAGAAAAATTTAGTTAGAAAAAATGTTCTAGACCAGAAATGTCCACCAGAAATAGAACGCAATCCACATATGTAATTTAGCTGCATTAAAAAATAAAACAGTGAAATTTTAATATACTTAACATATTAAATCTGAAATATATCATTTCAATATGTAAATATAAAATTATTACTGAGATAATTTACATTTTTTTCATACTAAATCTTTGAAAATAGTACGTATGTGTAACACAGCATGCCTCTATTCAGACTAGGCATATTTCAAGTGCTCAAAAGCCACATGCAGCTAGTGGCTACCCTTAATTGGACAATGCAGACACATACAGTCACTTATCACTTAAAGACAAGAATACGTTCTGAGAAGGCTGGTCGTGGTGGCTCACATCTGTAATCCCTGCACTTTAGGAGGCCAAGGAGGCACTTCATCTGAGGCCAGGAGTTCAAGACCAGCCTGGCCAACATGGTGAAACCCTATCTCTACTAAAAATAAAAGAAATCAGCCAGGTGTGGTGGTGGACACCTGTAATCCCAGCTACTCAGGAGGCTGAGCCAGGAGAATTGCTTGAACCTGAAAGGTGTAGACTGCAGTGAGCCGACATTGTGCAACTGCACTCCAGCCTGAGTGACAGAGTGAGACTCTGTCTCAAACAAACAAACAAAAAGAAATTAAGCACTTAGGCTATAATGGTATAGCCTACTGTTCCTAGGCTGTAAGCCTGTGCAGCATGTTACTGTACTGTACTGAACACTGTAGACAATTGTAACACAATGGTAAATAACTGCCTATCTAAAGAAAGTAAAAAGGTACAGTAAAAATATAGTATCATGGCTGGGTGTGGTGGCTCACGCCTGTAATCCCAGCACTTTGGGAGGCCAAGACGGGAGGATCATTTGAGGTCTGGAGTTTGGGACCAGCCTGGTCAACATGGTGAAACTCTGTCTCTACCAAAAATACAAAAATTAGCAAGGCATGGTGGCATACGCCTGTAGTCCCAGCTACTCAGGAGGCTAAGGCAGGAGAACCGCTTGAACCCAGGAGGTTGCAGTAAGCCAAGATCACACCCACTGCACTCCAGCCTGGGTGACAGAGCGAGACTCTGTCTCAAACGAACAAATAAACAAAATATGGTATCATAATTTTTTGGGACCACCATCATATACAGTCTGTTGTTGATGAAAACATTGTTATGTGGTGCGTGACTGTGTTAGACAGACTGTGTGTGTATATAAAAACACACACATATGGCCAGGCACAGTGCTCATGCCTGTAATCCCAGCACTTTGGGAGGCTGAGGCGGGTGGATCATGAGGTCAGGAGATTGAGACCATCCTGGCTAACACGGTGAAACCCCATCTCTACTAAAAATACAAAAAATTAGCCGGGCGTGGTGACGGGTGCTTGTAGTCCCAGCTACTCGGGAGGCTGAGGCAGGAGAATGCTGTGAACCCGGGAGGTGGAGCTTGCAGTGAGCTGAGATCGCACCACTGCACTCCAGCCTGGGCGACAGAGCGAGACCCCATCTCAAAAAAACAAACAAACAAACAAAAAAACAACCAAACACACACACACATATATATCTTTCACTAAACCTTTATCAGTTCTCTTAAAGCAGAGATCCCCAACCCCGGGGCCAGTTAGGAACTGGGCCACCCAGGAGGTGAGTGGTAGGCGACCAAGCAATACTGCCTGAGCTCCGCCTCCTGTCAGATCAGCCACAGCATTAGATTCTCATAGGAGTGTGAACCCTATTGTGAACTGCACATGCGAGGGATCTAGGTTGTGCACTTCTTATGAGAATCTAATTATGTGGTGCATGTCTGATGATCTGAGGTGAACAGTTTCATCCTGAAACCACCCACCCCTCTGAGTCCGTGGAAAAACTGTCTTCCATAAAACCAGTCATTGGTGCCAAAAAAGGTTGGGGACCACTGTCTTAAAGGATAAAAAGTTAATACGCAATTTAAAAGTATGCTATTTGCACACACATATATAATATCAAAATTTATTTTATAATTTCTAGATTTTACTACAAATCCTATGCTATAAATACACTACAATCTTCACTATTAATAGGAACCACAGAAATAAGTAAAGTCTTCTGGAAAATAAACATGTTTCTTTAATTAAAAAATAATCTCTGACATCTTTGATAATAAATGTAGCACTGAAAATTTATTTTAGGATTCAAATAAGATTCCTAACTGTCTTGACTCTATTTATTCTGAGCCTAGCAGAATACCTTTTTATATACCCTTTACCTTGAAAGTTTGCAAAAAATTATACTATTGATTGGCTGGGGTTTAAAGTCTACACATTTTAGGTTATAAAGTTAAGAGTAGTTTATGGAATTTAATTGACAGAAGTTTTTTTCCCCACAAATACACAAATTCCAATTTACTTACCCATAGTCACAGATCAGATTGGAAACTTAGGCAAATCTGTGCGACTAACAACTTTGTGTTTAGAAACAGCTCCCAGTCTCATGGCGTAAAGGAACCACACTTGACAACTGTTTCTAACACAGTTGGAAACTACCACAGCTTTTCTCTAACTGCTAAAAAAATTCACAAATGGAAATCAAGATAAAATTTAAATACTTATAAAGTTACATGGTTTACTTAAAATTTAAATATTTTATAATAGAGATCCCAAAAGTAAAGTTATAATTAAAAAAACTTTTTAAAAGCTTGACTTGCTGTAAGCAAATGTTTCTGATTTTATAGTTACATTTTAAAATTATTTATTTAGGATACTGTTACATAATACTTCCATTAATGTATTCAGTTATTAACACACATACGTTCTTACACTGAATTTTTGCCACCACAGGATCATTATACTTAAAATGACTTAAAAAATGTGCATTTTCGTTACTTAGTAACAATCTTCAAAAGCCAAATCTTGCCATGGACTGTGCTAGGTATTGGTGACACAGGTCAATCAAACAGAATATTGTATTTGCTCTTCAAGAGCCTAAGAGACAGACAACTAAACAGGCAGTAATAATGCAGTGTGTCACATGCTGATAAGGTTAAGCAGAAAGTATTGAGGGAATATTTAAGAACATCTAATCCAATCTTAGATGATGTGGGTATTGGTGTAAGATTTTCTGAAGAAAGTCCAAGCTAAGAAATGGATGACAACTGAGAGTCAGTTATGCAGAAGGAATAGTGTGTGTGAAGACCTGAAGGTGCTCATCTCCAGCACAGGTATCAAGGAACTGCCAGCTGCTCCATATGTATGGCTATACTATGTAGCAGAGGCCAAATTATAAAGGCTATTACAAACACTTAAAATAATTTAGACCTTATCTTAAAAACAAAATATGGTCACTGAAGGGTATTAAAAAGAACAGTAATGTGTTCTGATTTTGGTTTTAGGAAGATCACCCAAACAATGCAAAAACAACTGGAAATGAATAGCACTGGTGGCAGGAGACGAGTAAGGGAGCTACAGCACAATACAACTCAGAGAGGAAGATGGCTACAGTAATAAATATGGAAGAAATGGATATATGAGATACAAGATAAAGCTCATAAAACTTGATGAGTGGGTATGGTGGGCTGGGGGTGGAGAAGAGGTTGGAACCAAATTAATACTGATTTGGGCAATCCAATGGATGGTGGTGCCATGTACTAAGGCAGTGACTTTGGAGATTGAAGGTGGGGAAAAAAGATGAGTTAAGGGTTTCAATTTTGAGTTTTGAGGTACCTGTGAGACATTCAAGTGGAAATGCCCAACATAAAACTAAATATGTAGATCTCAAGCATTAGTGAGTCATTTGGGTTGGACATAAATAAGAGAATTTTGTCACTCAGAAAATACACTACACTAGGAATGGGGAGTCAGAAAGCATAGACTAGCTATCATAGCTATCATAATGTACATATGGTACAATACTGTTTCATGGTAGACGTGCCATTCAATTTTTGAGAGGCAGCCATATGATGTAAAGTGGACTATTAACTGTTGATGTCAAAATTAACAATACTCTATATAGAAAATGTCCACAGATTCATGAATTTGAAATGAATTTAAAAAATAAGTAAAAAATGTCTGTGGGCCCAGAATTGACCAAAGTTCATAACTTTAGTTTGATTAAAAGAAAATCTCCAACTGACAACTACTAATTCAAGGATTAAAGTCTCTTGAGAATAGCTTAAATTTTAATTCTTTCCTGTTATGTATCACGTTCTGTTCTCCCAAGACATTTTCTCTCATTGCTTTTGGGAAAAGGAGTGTAAAATAGTCTCTCCCCAGAATGGAACATTTAAAAATGTTTTCTTCCATTCTCATATTTGTTCCCCTAGTTTTTCACGTTCAATATTTCCTAAGAGTCAAAATTCATAAAATACATACAATAATTTTCTATTTTAACAAGCAAGAAAAAATTTTTTAAAGTTAGTAACTTCCAAAGATTTAAAATACTTAAGTTCAATCCAAGTTCAATTGGACAATGTAATTCAAAAGTAGTGTTTATGTCCAAGGAGAAACTGATATGGCCAGAGTTATCAAATATATCATTAATTCAAGAACAGAATGACCATAGCCCCAAATTAAGTCAAACCTAGCTTTAGCCTAACCTTGGACTCACAGACGTTATTAACTAAATGCTATTAATTTTTTCTTTTCTTTTCTTTTTTTGAGACAGAGTCTCATTCTGTTGCACAGGCTGGAGTGCAGTGGTGTGATCTCGGCTTACCACAACCTCTGCCTGCCAGGTTCAAGCGATTCTCCTGCCTCAGCCTCCCAAGTAGCTGGGACTACTAATTTTGTATTTTTACCACGCGTGGCTAATTTTTGTATTTAGTAGAGATGGGGTTTCACTATGCTGGCCAGGCTGGTCTCGAATTCCTGACCTCATGCTCCACCCACCTCAGCTTCCCAAAGTGCTGGGATTACAGGTGTGAGCCACCGCGCCTGGCCTATTAATTTTCATCTGTTTGCTAGTCATTGTGAATATGAAGGTCCATCACTGAGGGAACTGTTCTAGTAGGGGAGTGAGATATGTAAACAAATAAAGCAATATAGTAAGTGCCATACCAAGGACACACACAGGTGTTATAAAAGTATAAAACAGGACACACAAATCGTCATACGCACACAGTTTAAAAGAAAACAATTTAGCCTGTCCCTAATGTATTTTCACATAATATTTAGAAATTTCTAGAAATGTCTTTAGTTTATGGGCAAGGAGTTTAAGAGCAAGAGTGAAGTATGAAAAGCAAAATGAAAATATGGCTATATTCTTATAAGCATTAAATCCTTAACCTTTCCTTTGTGAATTCACACAAGAAACAACTTTTTTTAATACAGAATGCTTTACAAATTTGTGCGTCTATCTTGGGCAGGGGCCATGCTAATAGTAGTCTCTGTATCAAGCAACCAATTTTTTTTTTTTTTTTTTTTGAGGCTGAGTCTTGCTCTGTTGCCCAGGTTGGAGTGCAATGGCACTATCTTGGCTCACTGCAACCTCCACACCTGCTTCAAGCAATCCTCCTGCCTCAGCCTCCCGAATAGCTGGGATTACAGGCACCTGCCACCACACCCGGCTAATTTTTGTATTTTTAGTAGAGACGGGGTTTCGCCATGTTGGCCAGGGTGGTCTCGAACTCCTGACCTAAGGTGATCCACCTGCCTCGGCCTCCCAAAGTGCTGGGATTACAGGTATGAGCCACTGCGTCTGGCCAGCAACCATTTTATTGAAAGAAGAAAAACGGACCTCACCAGAGAGAGAAAAGGATGGAGAGGGGGCTCAGCATCATCAGCTCTTTACCAGTCCCATACTTTGACTATAATTTGTGGTACTGCAACATGATTTCTAGTAATGTTTTTTACAAATCAAGTAATCACCCGACAAGAAAGGTATTAATTTGTTCTACTGACAGGCAGTTCAGGCCATTAAAGTTAAGTGAAATGCTTAAGGTTAGAAAGCCAATAAATGGTAGCAAAATAATTTTTAAGTCAATGGACTCTAGATATGATGTTTTTATTTTTACTTTTCACTACTAAGTAATTTGGGTGTCTTTTAAAACTTTATTGTATCAATACAAATGATGATGGATGATAATAATGATAGTAATTCAAATAAATAGTGCCACTACTGCTAACAGTGTACCTAACACTTACTGAAAACCTACATGTACAGGCACTACTGTTTCAAGTGTTTTATACGTGTATCAACTCATTGAATCCTTGCATCAACTTCATAAGGGACATATTATTATTCCTATGTTATTGATGAGGAAACCAGGCAAAGAGAGGTTAGGCAACTCACACTAGGTCACACAGTATTAAGCAGCAGAGGCAGAATTTTAAATCACATGGGTAAGCTCCAGAGCCCCCTACTCTTAATCTCTGTTATACAATTAATTTTGCTAAATAATATTGGATATATTTATTAGGAGTATATTAGCCTATAAAAGAATACCATGGAACAGGACATAAACCTTTTGGAAATGTTTAATTTGAAGAATTTTTTTTTTTTTTGAGATGGAGTCTTGCTCTGTCACCCAGGCTACAGTGCAGTGGCACGATCTTGGCTGACTGCAACCTCCGCCTCCTGAGTTCAAGCCATTCTCCTGCCTCAGCCTCCCTAGTAGCTGGGATTACAGGCACTCACCACCAAGCCCAGCTAATCTTTGTATTTTCAGTACAGACGGGGCTTCACCACGTTGGCCAGGCTGGTCTCGAACTTCTGACCTCGTGATCCACCTGCCTCGGCCTCCCACAGTGCTGAGATTACAGGCATGAGCCACCGTGCCTGGCCCAGGAATTAAAAAAATAATAATAATACTTTTACATGTCATATTTTATTCAAATATATAAAAATACCAAAATATTAAATCAGATCCTTTATTTTATTAATAGGTAGCTCCTCAGATGTTTTAGTATTGTAAATAGTAGTATGTGGAGACAGTATAGCACAATGACTAAGGATACAAGCTCAAAAAAAACTGGCTCTTGGTTACATTCCTGGCTTAGTAGCCACCCTGTTATCTTGCATAAGTACCTTAGCCTCTTTAACTTAAGCTCCTCAACTCATTTTCAGTTCATCTATAAAATGGAGATAATCATGGTGCTTACCTTATAAAATTACTGTGAAGATTAAGTAAGACTGATAATACTTAACAGTACCTGGCAGAGATGACCTCTCAACATTAGCTATCATCATAATTGAGATGGGATACTGAAAGTTACCAAGGTCCACTCAAAATGTATTTCAAATTCCACCTGGAGGCTTAAAAAAAGTTATCCAATTTCATCTTCTAAAAACTCTTATGAGGTAGAAATAATGATTTCTATTACAAAATACTACTCATGACAGGTATTTAGAATGGTTCTAGAAGCTTAGAAGATAATGTTAAATCCACAAATGCCAAGTGCTGACCACAGATAAAAATGAATACTGTTCCCTTTAAAGTATCAGTAGTCATTAGGAGAGGCTATAAAACTATTCCAACAATCCTGCCAGTTTCAAAGTATGTATCACATTAATTCTTTCCGAACTATAAAAGTATGTTCACTTAGAAAATTTGAATAAAGAAAAAACACACAAAAGAGAAAACAGTTACTTAATGTCTCAGTTTAAGAATATTCTTTTTTTCTTTTTTTTGAGACGGAGTCTCGCTCTGTCACCCAGGCTGTCCCCAGGACTTTTTTTTTTTTTTAAACCTACCTATCTCTACCTTTATTCACTGTGGTCCCTACTGCTTAGAACACCCCTTTCTTTTCTCTCTACTTAATGTTTACTGTTCAGTCAAATCTCATGTTCTCTATAAAGTTTTCCACAACTTTCCCATCTTAGACTTATTTGTAATTACAACTTGTAAAAAGTCAAGTCAAATATGGAGTATTAGAAAGAAAACTATGAATACTGGGGGGTAAAGTGAATAAAATAAAAATAAATAAATAAATAAATAATAGAAAACAGAACCTAGCTGTATGACTGGACAAGTCAATTAACCTCTCTAGAATTCAATTCTTTGCCTGCAAAATGAGAGGGACAAACTAGATCAGCGGTTCTCAAAGCATAAATTAATTAGAATTATGTGGAAGTTTGGTTAAAACAGATTGCTGGGCTCCACCTCCGTAATTTCTGATTCAGAAAATTAGGGAGGAATGAGAATTTGCAGTGCTAACACGTTCCCAAGGGATGCTGATGGTGGTGGACCAGGATCACGCTTTGAGAACCATGGGAGTCAAAGAAAAGTCTTTGAATGCCAAGGTAAAACAACTGATCTTTATTCTGTTTTTTTTTTTGTTTTTTTTTTTAGTGGAAAAATTTCAATTACTGTTGTAACATTCATCAAACCTTTTATTAAGAGATGGCTTTGGCAGCAACGTGCATATAAGAAACTAAGGCACAATAAAAAAGACTCCTTCAATATCAGCAATAAATTAGAAAAAGGCCTGGA
Organism: Homo sapiens; assembly: GCF_000001405.40. Classification (NCBI taxonomy): domain Eukaryota; kingdom Metazoa; phylum Chordata; class Mammalia; order Primates; family Hominidae; genus Homo; species Homo sapiens. Next base: position 47,855,018 of record NC_000002.12, read on the forward strand.
TTAGGGTGGTGGTAGTAAGAATAAGAACAAAATAGAACATGAAATCAGGAATCACTTTCTAGAATTGTGAGATCACTATATCATTTTTAGGGATTTAGTGTTCAAGTTACTTTCTTAGTACATTTCAATTTCTAATGTTTAAAATTAAAAATTTGGGGGAAAATGACAGACTAGGTAGACTCATTTTTTTTTTTTGTTTTTGAGACAGGGTCTCACTCTGTCGCCCAGGATAGACTGCAGTGGCATGATCACAGCTCACTGCAGCCTCGACTTCTGGAGCTCAAGTGATCCTCCCACACCTCAGCCTCCTTAAGTAGCTGGGACCAAAGGCGCACATTTGTTTTTTGCAGAGATGGGGTCTCACCATGTTCCCAGGCTTGTAGGTAGACTCATTTTATCTCCAAGACTATTTAATGTAATTAGTAAGAAAATAAAAAGATATAAACCCCTACAACAAAGAAAACAGGATGGACACCATCAGTGTACATAAGAAATTTCAACAGATTTCTGGAACACACAAAAATAAAGGAATGTGGCCAGGTGCAGTGGCTCATGCTTGTAATCCCAGCACTTTGGGAGGCCAGAGTGGGCTGATCACCTGAAGTCAGGAGTTCGAGACCAGCCTGACCAACATGGTAAAACCCATCTTTACTAAAAATACAAAATCAGCCAGGCATGGTGGTGCATGCCTATAATCACAGCTACTTGGGAGGCTGAGGCAGGAGAATTGCTTGAACCTGGGAGGCAGAGGTTCCAGTGAGCCAAGATTGTGCCATGGCACTCCAGCCTGGGCAACAAGAGCGAAACTCCATCTCAAACAGTTCAAAAAAAAAAAAAGGAATGTTGCCTGGTGAAGCAAAGTAGAAAAAGCTGTATTGCCTGGTAAGATATAGATGAGCCTACAACAGAAGACAGAGATATCAAGTTCATTCAAAACCTGAGCAAAAGCCAGGCATGGGGGTGCACACGTGCAGTTCCAGCTACTCAGGAGGCTGAGGCAGGAGGATCACTTGAGCCTAAGAGTTCGAGGCTGCAGCGTGCTATCATTACATTATGCACTCCAAGCCTAGGCAACCAAGTGGAATACCGTCTCTAAAGATGAAAAACAAACAAAAACCTCAGAGAAGCTTTTAACTCAGAAAATGCAAGTACAACAAAGGACACAGTGATATGTGGATCTCAAAACAAGCCAAATCTCACCAAACCACCAAACAAGCATAAAGATAGATTAAATAGATTTCCAGACACACAGAGACTTATAAAGTTAATCTTCTCCACAATCTTTCTTAAGAAATTACTTGAAGACATATTTCAGCAAAACTAAGGTGTAAACACCAAAAGAGGAAGACACGGTATGCAGCAATTAATGGACTATCTCAGGAAAGCAACAAAGAGAAGGAATCCCATGATAAAGGGTATAAAATAGGTCCAAAGAAACCAGTATACATTGGAAGAGGGCTCTGGGAATGAAATGTCCTTGAAAAAAAGTTATAGATTAGATAGTAGGAAACTTGGAAAAACTTGAGGACATAAAAGGCTGTAAGTGGTATGTAAAAAAGAATCCATCAAAACAGCTAGAAATAATCTTTTGAGTGGCCTACGGACAGTTGTATCAGTTAGTGGAGAACAAAACATAATTTTAGCACATATTCAGCACTATAGAGGTAAAATGTCCATATTCGTAAGGTGAACATTTACTTTTTAACTTCAACAATCAACCTACATATAAATCAATGAAGAAAACTTCACTAACAATAGGATAATTATATTATCAACTGTGATAATGAAAATGTAGAACTGAAACAGTACAATGTAAAAGGCAAGAACCACGAATGTCGTAATACAAAGGACGGAGTCTACAGATATTATCCAAGTTGAAGAAACATAAAATTAAGCTTTAAGTATATGATTTAAAGCTATACTGGGATGAGTTGGATGGTAAGAATGTTGTATGTAGACCATCACAGCAGAAATCAATAGACAATGTTTAAATGTGATAATGGGATAAACTCTGAGCAGCCAATATAGACATTACACTATTTATGCACAGAAACTCATCTACTTTAGTCAAAGTTCACCACTCAGGATCTTTACTTTGCACACAATTCTTTTAATTAGGGCACCAGATTTCCAAGTCTGCATACCTAACAGTGCATGTGGATTTACTAGAGATTATAAAATCAGTATACAAACTGCCCCATAAACAAACAACACACCATTTGTTTGGAGAGAAAAGATATACACAGCCATTAATGAGCAAGAAGGTATTTTTTTTTTTAAATCAGCAGAGACAGGGTTTTGTTTTGTTGCCCAGGCTGGTCTCAAACTCTTGGCTTCAAGTGATCCTCCTGCCTCAGCCTCCCAAAGTGTTGGGATTATAGTCGTGAGCCACCACACCTGGCCAGAAATTTTATGGTCTCATACAGACATACATATAGCTATACTATATATGCAACCAGATCATGTGAGACAAGTAAAGACTACAAATATAAAATAAGATGCTGTATCTGCAGTACAACTGATCTACATAGAAGCTTAGAAAATCAATAAAAATAATCATGGGGGGTAGATTTCATAGCAGGGATAGGGATGTGGTTTAGGGGTAAGATAAGGACAGACCATGAAACATGAAAAACTACATGTTCAGAGAGAAGGGACATTAACAAATGAGCAAAGCTAACTCAGGAGCTTTGTCACGAGAAGTCACAGTAAACTCGAGAAGGAAGTCTTCAGGAACTCAAAGTCATTGAATGAATATACAAAACTGGCAGACGCAGGACTACAGAAATATTTTTTAGGCAAGCCTGTTTCTTACCATCAAAATTACAAGACAGCCTTTGCAGCTGGAAATACAAGAATCATAAGGCAGACGCAGCAGACTTTTAAAAATCGCCATTATTTTGTCCTTTATATGGGCAAATATATATATATACACACACACATACATATATTTCAAATCTTTACCAAAGTAGATGAAATATCGCATTAAAGAACAGCAGATGGCGCCAAAATATCTTTTTAAAAAAATCATTGCCTTGGGTCACTATAAAAGAGCGTAAACTAGAAAAAAAAATACAAATTATCCAAGTTTTATTTTTATTTTTTTGAGGCGGAGCCTCACTCTGTTGCTCAGGCTGGAGTGCAGTGGCGTGATCTCAGTTCACTGCAACCTCTGTCTCCCAAGGTTTCGCCATGTTGGCCAGGCTGGTCTTGAGCTCCTGACCTCAGGTGGTCCACCCACCTCGGCCTCCCAAAGTGCTGGGATTACAGGCGTGAGCCACCGTGCCCAGCCCACTTATCCAAGTTTTCATGTAGTAAATCTACAGACTGATGTCAATAACAATGTTCTAAAGCATGAGTACTTAATGAAAAACATAATACAGGCCAGGCGTGGTGACTCACGCCTGTAATCCCAGCACTTTGGGAGGCCAAGGTGGGCAGATCACCTGAAGTCACGAGCTCAAGACCAACCTGGCCATCATGGTGTATCCCCGTCTCTACTAAAAATACAAAAATTAGCTGGGCATGGTAGCACATGCCTGTAATTCCAGCTATTCAGGAGGCTGAGGCAGGAGAATCCCCTGAACCTGGGAGGCAGAGGTTGCAGTGAGCTGAAATCATGTCATTGCTCTCCAGCCTGGGCAACAGAGTGAGACTCTGCCTCAAAAAAAAAAAAAAAAAAAGAAAAGAAAAATGAAAAACATAATACAAATGCAAAAACCTGAACTGACTTATCTAGAAAAAGGGTCGGGCGCAGTGGCTTATGCCTGTAATGCCAGCACCTTGGGAGGCCAAGACGGTTGGATCACGAGGTCAGGAGTTCAAGACCAGGTCAACATGGTGAAACCCCGTCTCTACTAAAAATACAAAAATTAGCTGGGCGTGGTAGCCCGCGCCTGTAATCCCAGCTACTCAGGAGGCTGAGGCAGGAGAATGGCTTGAATCCGGGAGGCGGAGGTCGCAGTGAGCAGAGATCGCGCCACTCTGCACTCCAGCCTGGGCGACTGAGCAAAACTCTGTCTCCAAAAAAAAAAAAAAAAAGAAAAGAAAAGAAAAGAAAAAGTATTAATAGCTATAAAATTAAAGGAATTCATATCAACATTTACTTCAACTCTTAATGGCACTAACAGAACTAATGAGCAATACAGGTAATTTAAAGCCACTCTTCAGAGATACGTATTTCCTTTCTTGATTCTAGGATGCGATGTATAAGCAGAAACACTACAATAAAATGTACCCAACTAATCTGAAGATCATCCAGAGTTCAAAATATTAAAATACAAAAATAAAAAATGAAAAAAAATTAAGGATTTAGAGAACTTGTGCCAAAGTCAATGGTTCGCTTTTATCATGATATTGGAGTTAAGACTGAATTCAATTTCAGATGTCTTGGAGGATTTTTTAAAAAAAGATTAAACTAATTTCACCGATTGGTGCTGTGAAGAGAGGTTGGGAAAAACTTGGCAAAGATTTAAAAGTAACAGGCTCTAGATGATTTACATACATACACAAAAAGAGTATATTTCCATAAATGGATGAGACCTCAAGAAAGATTCTCTTCCAATCCCTTGTATACAAACAGCTGAAGCTTTACTCTTGTCTTTCTTATTTGCAGCCCTCAAAGTGTTTTCACAGTTACGCTTTCAAGGTAGCTGGGGGGTTTACACCCTTCAAGCACTGAAACAGAATTTTAACTTTAATCATTTTGATTAAAAATATTTCCAAACCCAATTATGTTGTCTTTTAAGACAAGGATATTCTTAAAATAATATTAATACTTTCATATTATAAGATAATCATTAGGATCATGAAATAGTCTATTTTTTTGTGCTAGGATGAGACCTGAGATTGAGGCCCCATTTATCAGTACCAAGCTATTTTCTAGAATAAGTTATCCTAAATGCTTAGTTTGAGATTCTCATGAAAAGTTCATAGATTTTCCCCCCTTTCTTGCTGTCATGTTGCTGTTTCTAGCTGTCCATGGGCTAACTATAAAATCCTCTCTTCTCTGATAAACCGATAAAATAAGCTTAGGAGACATGTCTGTTTTTAAAGTAAGAGTAAACGGGCACTAAATGAGAGCTTAAGAGGTTTTTTCCAAGAAAGAACATGGGTTTTAGAACTATGCTATGCTGCTCAGAAGTCTTTATTGCTTCTGTTTCTTAGTGTTAAATGAAACTGCTGGGCACTTTATTCCAAATAGTTAAACTACTCATTTTTATCACTGTGCCCTGACTAGCTAACTCATTTGCCAGAGAGCACAGAACCAAAGAATCTCCAACAGCCAGGGCATGAGAAATTGGCTATATTTCACATGGCTAGCTAATAAATTTAAACAACAATTATGAATGTAAGTTTTCAATCCTTAGCCTTAAGAATTATTTTACCCTGGATTTTTTTTTTTTTTTTTGGAGACAGAGTCTGGCTCTGTCGCCCAGAGTGGAGCGCAGTGGCACAATCTCGGCCCACTGAAACCTCCGCCTCCCAGGTTCAAGCAATTCTCCTGCCTTAGCATCCCAAGTAGCTGGGACTACAGGTGCATGCCACCACGCCCAGCTAATTGTATTTTAGTAGAGACAGGGTTTCACTGTGTTGCCCAGGCTGGTCTCGAACTCCTGAACTCAGAAAATCCACCTGCCTCGGCCTCCCAAAGTGCTAGAATTACATGCGTGAGCCACCACGCCCAGCCTACCCTGGGTTATTAACTAAGGCTAATCAAAACTTTTCCCTGCAGGAGAGAGAGAGAAAGAAAGTCAAACCAGTCACATAGAATAACTGTGTTCCACTGGAAAATAGGAAAAAAAAAAAATCAGTTGTTTTCCCCTATTTTTTTTTTTTTTTTTTTTGAGACGGAGTTTCACTCTCGTTGCCCAGGCTGGAGTGCAATGGCGCAATCTCGGCTCACTGCAACCTCCACCTCCCGGGTTCAAGTGATTCTCCTGCCTCAGCCTCTGGAGTAGCTGGGTTTGCATTTTTAGTAAAGTCACTACGTCCAGCTAAGTTTGTATTTTTAGTAGAGATGGGGTTTCTCCATGTTGGTTAGGCTGGTTTCGAACTCCCAACCTCAGGTGATCCACCCGCCACGGCCTCCCAAAGTGCTGGAATTACAGGCATGAACCACCACGCCTGGCCTTCCCCTATTTTTAAGTCTTAAACTGGGAAGTGTAGCCGTCCTCAAACTTAGTTGTACACTGTGTACACTTATGTATCTTGTAAAAACATATACATCCACACTTCCTATGGAGTAGATATTGTAATTGACTTCATAATATTCATTCTATCCCATATGAATAGTCTGACCTTTTTTTTTTTTTTTTTTGAGACAAGATCTTGCTCTGTTGCTCAGGCAGAAGTGCAGTGGCACAATCATGGCTCACTGCAGCCTCGATCTCCTGGGCTCAAGTGATCCTTCCACCTCAGCCTCCCAAGTAGCTGAGCCCACAGGTGCATACCACCATGCCCAGCTAATTAAAAAAATTTTTTTTGGAGAGATGGTGTCTTGCTGTATTGCCCTGACTGGTCTTGAATTTCTGGGCTCAAGCAATCCTCCCATCTCAGCCTCCTGAAGTGCTGGGATTACAGAAGTGAACCACAGCACCCAGCCCATTTATGGTGACTCCATACCCTAGGATTGGCAGGTCCAAGCCAATGTGGCCCAATGAGACACAAGAAGTTAACTTGCTTGGTTTTGGCTTCTGGGAAAGAGACGTCCTTCTCTCTTTTTTCCTGATAGATACAAACAAGGATGACGGATGCATTATTTACAGAAGGCAGCCATCCTAGGTCCTTAAGGAGAACTAACCTAAGGCCCATGTTGGCACAATGAATAGGGCACAGCTAAGACAACAGCAGAAAATCAAACACAAAACTTCTTGTCATGTAAGGTTAAGTTTTTTTTTTTTTTCTTGAGATAGAATCTTGCTCTGTTTCTGTTGCCCAGGCTGGAGTGCAGTGGCACAGTCTCAGCTCACTATGACCTCTGCCTCCCAGGTTCAGGTGATTCTCCTGCCACAGCCTCCCGAGTGGCTGGGATTACGGGCGCACGCTACCATGCCTGGCTAATTTTTTTTATTTTTTATTTTTAATAGAGATGGGGTTTCACCATGTTGGCCAGGCTGGTCTCAAACGCTTGACCTCAAGTGATCTGCCTGTTTCGGCCTCCCAAAGTGCTGGGACTACACAGGTGTGAGCCATCGTGCCTGGCCAGTTTTCTTATAGTTTAAGCCAATTTAAATCAGATTTAAGTTACATCCAAAAGCATCTTGAAATTTGAAAAAGCTCCGCTGTTCAAGATACATAACCAGGGTTGAAAGCCATTGGGACTAGAGCAGTAATAGCCTGAAATTCAAAAGAAATGAAACAAAGGGCGGGTGATATGAAGAACTGGAAAGGAAAATGAAAATAAGAATCAAAATCTAATCTGTGAGGCAAACTTTTTATTTTTTATTTTTTTAAGAGATAATGTCTTGCTATGTTGCCCAGACTGGTCTTGAACTCCTGGGCTCAAACAATCCTCCTGCTTCAGCCTTCCAGAGCAGCTAGGACTATTGTGCCACCACGCTTGGCTAAAAGGGCAAATGTTTAATCATAAAAATGTAAGTGCAAATCTCAAAATATGCACAATGTATAATTCTCTCTCTGGATCATCTTTTAGCAGTGATCACCACAGTACAAGTACATAAATGCTGTATAATAACTATAACAAATCTAAGAACAATTAGCCCAAAGACTTACAGCAGCTTCAAAAACGTTTTCAGCCGGGCGTGGTGGCTCACACCTGTAATCCCAGCACTTTCGGAGGCTGAGGTGGACAGATCACCTGAGGTCAGGAGTTTGAGACCAGCCTGACCAACATGGTGAAACCCCATCTCTACTAAAAGTACAAAAATTAGCTGGGTGTGGTGGCGCATGCTTGTAATCCCAGCTACTTGGGAGGCTAAGGCAGGAGAATCGCTTGAACCCCGGAAGTGAAAGTTGCAGTGAGCTGAGATCGCGCCATCACACTCCAGCCTGGGTGACAAGCGTAAAACTGTGTCTCAAAAAAAAAAAAAAAACAAAAAAACAAAAACAAAACAAAAAAAACCACCATACACACACAAAACAAAACGAAACAAAAGTTTTCCCCTTGCCTTCAAATCTATTTCAATATAGAAAATAAAACCAAAACATTGTTGTTAGGTTAGCTCAACATATAGTAGTCTCAAGTTAAAAATGCTATAGGAGAGCTAATGAGCTAATTATTAAATTAGAATTCTATTTACACTTTCTTGTTAGGAATAATCACTAGTTGATTTTATAAAAGATATTCTGCTTTCAGGCCAACAGAGAAACAGAATTAAATAAAAATATACTTTAATGTCTACAAGTGCTCTTAAACAGCTCGTTTACATGGCTCTGAAACAACACAGCTAAAGAAAACTTAAGCGAAACCTATAATCAAATCATAAAGGCATTAGTTTAATAAACTCTTCTTTAAAGAAAGGGTCTACAGACAGCTCCTAATTTATGAAGTACCTAAATAAAAGTGGTAACTTTATTTCAAAAGTTTCCCCTAGTTCTCACTAGACCTAATATTTTGGGGTTATGGCATAACAGTTTTTCAAGGAATTGGTTAAATCTGAAGAAATATAGCATCCTCCTCTAGAACACAAAGGCCGGGTGCGGTGGCTCATGCCTATAATCCCTGCCTACGGTGGGCAGATCACTTGAAGTCAGGAGTTTGAGACCAGCCTGGCTAACAGGGTGGAACCACATATCTACTAAAAATATAAAAATAAGCTGGGTATGGTGGCACATGCCTGTAATCCCAGCTAATTGGGAGGTTGAGGCAGGAGAATTGCTTGAACCCTGGAGGTGGAGGTTGCAGTGAGCCAAGATTGTGCCAATGCACTCCAACCTGGGAGACAGAGTGAGACTCTGTCTCAAAAAAAAAAAAACCAAAACCCCATAAAGACAAATCAATAAATCTAAAGCTGGATTTAGGGTTTTGCTATTTTGAACAAAATGGTAGTCAAGTTACAATACGGCATATGTGCTGGAATTTTTAATTTATTTCCATTAAAAAGCTGGTAATTTGGTCATGTTTACAAAGGCATGTGACTTCATTGATCTTCACAGTTATAAGACTAACATAACTATGGTAGTTAAACAGAATCCCTCCTAATTAAATGTTCCTATTCATTAAATATAAAAAAGCATTTATTAAGTACTCACGGTATTTCATGAGAAAACATATAATGAAAGAGACAGAAACTACCTTTGAACAACTCATAATTAAAGACAGGAATTGGCTGGGCGTGGTGGCTCACGCCTGTAATCCCAGCAGTTTGGGAGGCCAGGGCAGGCAGATCACCTGAGGTCAGGAGTTCAAGACCAGCCTGGCCAACATGGCAAAACCCCATCTCTACTAAAAATACAAAATTAGCCTGGTGTGGTGGTGCATGCCTGTAATCTCAGCTACTCGGGAGGCTGAGGCAGGAGAATTGCTTGAACCCGGGAGGCAGAGGTTGCAGTGAGCCAAGATCTCACCACTGCACTCCAGGCTGGACGACAAGAGTAAAACTCCATCTCACAAAAAAGACAAAAATAAACAAGAATCTAGATTAAATAATGGTAAATAAGAGACTAGATTTAATAAATTATTTATGTTATAAACAAACAATAGAGGCTCTGTCAAGATGAATAAAAGTCCACAGAGGTCAGGTAAATCACTAACTTACTCACTAGGGCAATGACATATCTATGAATTAGGTATTTTCACCCACATCAAGTGACAGAATTGAAAAGAAGCAAAGCCTTGAAATTTACTTCTACTAAATGAATCAACATGTATTATAATAGTCTATTTGTTATGTGAGACAAGAACACTCTTTCCTCATTTATTTGCCAACAATACTTTAAGTAAAATATTAGTGTAACACTTGACAAGACTTTCATTCTACGTGTACAAACAAAACACCTGGGCGCTTGTTAGTTTAAACCTATTTATAGAGTAAAATTTTCTTAAACTAAAAATTTCCTGAACTGTTTCCTGTTTCCACAGGAATTAACAGAGTTGTGTTAATTGTAGATATACATGAACCACAGTGTCTGGCAGGTAATAAGTGCTCAATAAATACCCATCAATAAACAAACTGCAGCAGAACCTGATTGTATCTTTGTGACAGAAACTGCTATCACCCCAAATCTATTTACCCCTTCGGTGATAGAACCCAGATTTTAACCTGCACAGATGAACATCTTGAATAAAGCTCACATTTCTCAGCTGCTCTTATTACTGAGTTGGCCATCTGACTAGGTTTTGGCCAATGGGCTACATGGCCAATGGGCTACAGGTGTCCTGTATGACTTCTGAGATATGTTCTAAAAGAAAGAAAGAAGGCCCTTCTTCACCCTTTCTGCTTCCTGCTAGAAAGAATGTTGGAGAGTGAACAAATAGTTTGAACCATAAAGGCTGTGTTTACAGACTGCAGACTAATAAATAAAACAGGGGCCTAGGTCCCTAATGTCATAGTGGAGCCTTCATACCAACTCTAGATGCTTACCTGTAGACTTTCATCACAACAGAGAGGAATAAACTTCTATCTTGTTAAACAACTGTTGTTTTGGGTTTCCTGTCACTCTGGCAGATCTAATTTTAATTAATAGTCATACAAAGTAAAAACACTCTACATTTGTGTAAAAATCTTAAATAAATTTAAGACACTGGTGGAAACAACATGGGATATTATTAGAGTCAACAAAATGTGTTCAAATACCAGCCCCAATACTTAGCTATATGATTGTGGGCAGACACTCAGCCTCATTGAGCCTCAGTTTCCACATGGGTAAAATGGCAGAAAAATATTTACTTCTGAGAACCACTGTGAGGATTAACTATGATAAAGGGAGAAAGAAGGAAACAAAGGAAAAACAAATAATCAGCAAAGATACTTTTAAAAACATTAGCTGGGGTCAGGTACAGTGGCTCATGCCTATAATCCCAGCACGTTGGGAGGCTGAGGCAGGAAGAATCACTTGCAGCCAGGAGTTCAAGACCAATCTGGGCAACATAGCAAGACTCCCATCTCTACCGAAAAAAAATTGGCTGGGCATGGTGGCACACAACTGTAGCAGCTACTTGAAAGGCTGAAGCAGGAGGAACTCCTGAGCCCAGGAGTTTGAGGCTGCAGTGACCTAGGATCTTGCCACTGCACTTCAGCCTGGACAAGTCAGACCCCTTCTGCTTCAAAAAAAAAAAAAAAAAAAAAAGTGGGAAAGGGAAATAAAAATGATTCAAAACCCAAAAATAACGTGGAAAGCAGGTAATTCAAATACACTCTATCTCATCTTTTATAACATACAACATCTACAAAATGAGGGTGCTGTGTTACAGGGTATCTAAAAGTTCTTCCAGCACTAAAAAACTGCGTCCCAAAATGATGTGTTCTGTTACACATATCTACGCTAGCAAGTTTGTTTTTTTTTTTTTCTTTTGAGACGGAGTCTTGCTCTGTCGCCAGGCTGGAGTACAGTGGCGTGATCTAAGCTCACTGCAAACTCCGCCTCTCGGGTTCAAGCGATTCTCCTGCCTCAGCCTCCCGAGTAGCTAGGATTACAGGCGCGCACCACCATGACCAGCTAATGTTTATATTTTTAGTAGAGATGAGGTTTCACCATGTTGGCCAGGATGGTCTCGATCTCCTGACCTCGTGATCTGCCCACCTCGGCCTCCCAAAGTGCTGGGATTACAGGCGTGAGCCACTGCGCCCGGCCTATGCTAGCAAGTTTTCCTAAAACCTTTCAGCTGCATGTCACTTTGAGAAAAAATACCCACCCTCCAAACATACTTTGATAACAGCCAGGATTCTCCATGATGAGCCTTGATCATCTTCAGACTACTTTTAAATATGAACACTGTTCTGACTCTGCAAAATGTTTTGTGTTCTCTGGCATCTTTTATATGTACTCAAAAACAGAGTTGCAATATCTAAGAATTAAGGCCCTCTGATGATACTCACAACTTATAAATAAGCTACCTGAAAACTAAAAATCTAATTGCTCCCAGGTTCCAGATTTTGTCTAACATTGCTTCATTTAATTAATTGCTTTAATTACTTAATTTCATTATTCTCTCCTCTCTTTATTGGTACAGTGCAGTATCAGTCAGATAGGCTAGTTTAAGCTGCAGTAACAAATCCCGAAAATCTCCAGTCTAGCTTAAAACAACAAAGATTTATTTGTTGTTCACTTTACATGTTTATCCTGAGTTAGTGAAGAGCTCTGCTCCATAGAATCATCCTCCACTGGAACTCAGCTTATGGAGCAGCTATTCTTTTGAAACACTGCTAGTTGCAGCAGCAGAAATAAAAGAGAGTTCTGGAAGTTCTCATACTGGCAATTAAATGATTGGCCTGGAAGTGACACACCAACTTCCATTCACAACTCTTTGGTCAGAACTGTTCACACGGCCCAATGACAAAGGGGTCAGGAAGTGCCAGATGGAGGAGAGCCAAAAATAATTACTAAGCAGTATAAATGATTACTGTAAGTCCCAGTCTAACGACACATATGAAAAAGGTTAAATGTTTTTAGTGATATAGATTTGAGAAATTATTAATTCTAATGGCCATTTGATCACTTAAGAACATCAGGACCTTAAGCTTCACTGAAATCACAAACATAAACTTCCAGATTCCAGGGGAATCTATATCAAATGCCTGGAGTAAGTCAATAAAGAACTGACACACATTATCTGCATATTGTTATCTATGTAGACATGGATACATACATACATACATATTCTCCTAAAGACATAGTACATTTCCAGGGAAATAGAGATGACAATGTCAGCCCAAATTTGAGGCTTTAAAAAAACCCATTAATTCATCCCATGTTAGTTTCTCATGTCCAATAATTAGAAACAACAATTTTTTTTAAGTCTCTGAATATGGGCCAAACAGTTAGCAAGAGTCATATACTTAAATGCCTGAAGATCACAGGTAAAGAAAGTGAGTGAAGTAAAACATTAACATCAGAGGAGGCAGAGAACTGAAGAACTTAAGGCCCACACAATCCTTACCCACTGCAAATCCCTGGACAACTACTGCCATGTCAGAATTCAAGCCAGTGTTACTGGATGGTCCGAAATGTATAAAGCAGCTGGGATTCCAGCTATTCAGGAGGCTGAGGCAGGAGAATCACTTGAACCCGGGAGGCGGAGGTTGCAGTGAGCCGAGATCGCGCCACTGCACTACAGCCTGGGGGTAGAGCAAGACTCTACCTCCAAAAAAAAAAAAAAAAAAAAGCTGGGAATCAAGACTATGTGAAATCTCTGGAAGCTTTCATGTTCTTCTCATTATTCCTGGGTACCCTGAAATTTCACAATATGCCACAGTGTGGGCCTTTTAACATTCACTGTCATGAATGCTTGCTGGGCCCTTCCAATTGCAAATTCATGTACTTTATTTTTGAGAAATTTTCTTGAAATATTTGTTTGAATTACTTCTCAATTTTTTATTTCTGGAACTCCTAATATTTGAGAGTTGGACCTCCCAGACTGACAGCTCTCTACTTTAATCGCCCACATTCCATATTTTTGTTTTAAAATTCCAGTTCCCCAACCATTGTTGTCATTGCCCAGTAGGCTCATAAACAAAGTGGCCATACTGGGAGGAATGGAGGTTATACATGGGCTTAGCAACAGGGACTTCTACTTGCCAAGGTTGATTTGGCTATGGCTGCTGTTGAGCGTCCAATTTGGTAGCAGCAGAGGCCAATACTTAGCCCCCAATATAGTACCATTTCCTGGGGTGATCAGCCAGGTACCTAGTGGCAGGTGGATTACACTGGACCATTTCCATGATGAAAAAGGCAACATTTGTTCTCACTGGCATAGACACTTCACAGCAAATGAAAGGCAGCAATGGGCCCATGTTCATGGAATTCGCTGGTCTTACCCCGTTCCCAGCATCCTGAAGCAGCTGGCTTCACAGAACAAAGAAGTGGCCTTTTGAAGATTCAGTTACAACGTTAGCTAGGTGGCAATACTTTGTAGGGTTGAGGCAAAGTTCTACAGGAGACTGTGTGTTCTGAATCAGTGTGCTATATACAGTGTTATTTCTTCCACGGCCAGAATTCACAGGTCCAGGAAACAAACGGTGGAAATAGGAGTGACACCACTTATTTATTACCCATAGTAACTCACTAACGAAATTTCTGCTTCTTGTCTCTGTGAGCTTATGCTCTGCTGGCCTAAAAGTTTTAGTTCTAGGCTTTTATCAAGAGACACAATAATGATTTCACTGGAAGTTAAGACTGCCACCTGGCCATTTTGGACTCCTTATGCCTTTGAATCAACTGGCAAAGAAGGGTGTTATTGTGCTGGCTGGAGTGACTGATCTTGACAACCAAGCGGTAACTAACTCTACAATGAAGGAAAGGAAAAGTTATATCTGAAATACAGGAGATCCCCTAAGGCAACTCTCTTAGCAGTACCATGCCCTCTAATCAAATGCAATGGAAAACTACAACAACCCAATTCAGGTGGGACTACTAATGGCCCAGACACATCAGGAATGAAGGTTTGGGTTATCCCACCAGGTAAAGATCCACGGCCAGCTGAAGTACTTGCTGAAGGCAAAAAGAGTACAGAATGGGTAGTGGTAGTTATAAAGAAGTTATAAAGAAGGTAGTTATAAATACCACATAGTATGTAAGTTATAGGATTTCAAGAAGAGCAAACCCCACTCACGTGTTTTGCATCCTTTTTTGGGGCAAGGGTTAGTACACTTTTGGTCATAAACAGGATAGTCATATCCTATTAGGTGGAAGTATGACCTGGCTAATTGTTTTATTTTTAGTAGAGACAGGGGCTTCACCATGTTGGCCAGGCTAGTCTTGAACTCCTGACCTCAGGTGATCCACCCACCCTGGCCTCCCAAAGTGCTGGGATTATAGGAGTGAGCCACCAAGCCTGGCCAAGATTAGAATTTAAATTGGTGAACTCTGAGTAAGCTGACTGCCTCCCATGTGGGTGGGCCTTATCCATTCAGTGGAAGATCTGAATAAAACACAAAGGCCTCTCCAAGCAAGAAGGAATTCTCCAGTCAACTGCCTTCGGTGTTCATCTGTACCATCAGCTCTCCTGAGTGTCTCTCTCTCTCCCTATGAATATAGCCTATTGAGTTCTGCTTCTCCAGAGAACCCTAATACACATGGATTTTTAAATTAGTGTTATTGCTACTTACCATCTCATTCTGCTTCTTAAGTTTTCTGCTCTGTACTACCCATAAATCTAAAGAGTTGCTTCTGATTGCTACATAGTCTCTGTGTGTGGGCTGAATTGTGCCTCTTAAAATGGTATTATGTCCTAATCCCTGATACCTGTGAACGTGGCCATATTTGGAAATAGGGTCTTTGAAAATGCAAGTTAAGGGAGGTCTTTAGGGTGGGGCCTAATTCAATAGGACTAGTGTCCTCATAAAAAGAGGAAAGTGCCAATGTGAAGACAAACACAGAGGGAGAATGCTATGTGACAAGAGGCAGAGACTGAAGTGATGCAGCTGCAAACCAAGGAATACCAAGGATTAACAGCTACTACCATAATCTACAAATAGGCAAGGAAAGATTCTACCCAGATTCTCAAAGAATCATGGTGCTGCTGCTACTTTGATTTTAAACAGAAGTGTAAGAGAATAAATTTCTGTTGTTTCAAGCTCCCAGTGTGTGGCAGTTTGATATGGTAGCACTAGAAAAGCTAGTATGAGCACTCACAAATTTTACTTATCTACATTCAGACTGATATGTGGAACACACAGGCTGTCACCAACTTCCTGCCACTACAAATAATATGGCAATGAATACCCATGTACATATCCCTTTATGAAACTCTTACAAATACTCTGAGATGTCTAAAAATGAAATTACTGGATCATAGGACATGCACATACTACTACTTGAGCTCCAGAATGGCTGCAAAGTCTACGCTCACTAACACTTGGCATTATCCTCCGCAGGGGTTTTAGAAAGTCCACAAATGCTTTGATACTCCTCTTCCTTGAGTATTGATACTCCTCCCCTTAAGTATTGGTTGAGCTTAGTGACTTCTAATGAACAGGAAGTGGTGATAGTATGCAATTTGGGAGAGTAGGTGATAAAAGACACAGTAGCTACCTGCTTGCTCTCTTCGATTACTTGCTCTGGACAAAGCCACGTGCCCTATCACCAGAAGACGCTTTATGAATCCACTCAAGCAGCCCTGTGGATAGGACCAGGCAACAGAAAATTGAGACCTTCTGCAAACAATTAGCAAGACACTGAAGCCTCTTGCCAACAGCTACGTGAATGAGACATCCTGAAAGCACATACTCCAGCCCCAGTCAAGACTTCAAATGACTATAGCCCTGGCCGACAGTTTGAGTGCAACCTAATGAGACTTTGATAAAGATGTTAAATTTGGGGGTAATCTGTCATGAAAGACAACTAAATGCATTCATTCAGTTTTCTGGTTTTTCTTCCCCTCAAACTAATAGGTATAAAATGAGATCTCATTTTAATTTACATTTTTTCTGACGACTAATTATTTGAACATGTCTTCATAGGTTTATTAGCTTTGAGGTTCATTCCATAAACCGCCTATTTAGAACCTTTGTGTATTTTTATATTAGGGTGGCTATCTTTTTCCTTTTGATTTCCAGGAGTTCCTTGAATCCTGTAGATGTTAAATCCCTTGTTAGATTTCACATTTTGAAAACATCTTTTCCCATACTATCATGATGTCCCTTCAATGCACAGAACTCTTTAATTCTGACATAAACAAATTCATTCCACTTTTTGACATGAGCAATGTGCTTTTAAAGTTCTGTAAACAATCTTTTCCCAATACTGGGGATAATCTGTCAACATTTCTATACGTTCCACATGTCATATATATTTTGATGTTTTTAATTTACAAGAGCTCATTTTTGTTCTTTAATGATCCTTATTTATAACCTCCAGTTCTGACTTCACAAATAACAGTAGCTTCTTTTATCCCTCTGAATCTTAGTTTCTTTCACGTTTTCTTTTTCCGGCACCATTTCTGCTGCTTCCAATGCTCTGGCTTCCATCTTTCCTGTTATAAGTTTACCTCAATTCTCTGGTAATCTCCAGCTATCCATAAATGTATTAGAGTTAAGGCATAAAATGCTGTTTAGAAATTCTGTGTGAGGTTTTAACTGGTAGGATTTAGTGTAGAGCTGCAGTTCTTAAAAAGTGTAGTCTGGGAATTCCTGGCAGTCATCAAGGGATGGCTTTCGGAAAGTATTAAAGTCAAAACTATTTTCATTATTGTATAATTTGTGTGCGTGAGACAGTTTCGCTCCTGTTGCACAGGCTGCACTGCAATGGTGTAGTCTTGGCTCACTGCAACCTCTGCCTCCCAGGTTCAAGCAATTCTCTGCCTCAGCCTCCCCAGCAGCTGGGACTACAGGAGTGCGCCACCATGCCTGCCTAATTTTTGTATTTTTAGGAGAGACGGGGTTTCACCATGTTGGCCAGAGTGGTCTAAAACTCCTGACCTCAGGTGATCCGCGTGCCTCGGCATCCCAAAGTGCTGGGATTACAGGCGTGAGCCACCGTGCCTGGCCTTATTTTCATTATTAATAGACATTAAGACATTATATTTTTTTGCACACTTTATTACAAGTACACAGTAGAGTTTTCCAGAGGCCACATACCTGACATGGGATATCACTACAGCCCAAATGCAGAAGCAGATATTAAAATGTAGTCAATTCCTGTTAAGCTGGCCATTAGATTCACAAATATGTAAAACTATTCCACTCTAAATTTTTGTTTTGGAAAATAGTTATTTTCCACAAAAATTATGTCATGTAACATATTTAATAGATTACTGTTGCTTTTAAAGGGACATTTAACATTTTTATTTCTTTAATACAGTAAATATTGATAGCTATAACCCACATTAAAAAAAATCTACTGGGGCACAGGGCTCCACAAGCAGTTAAAAGGGTCTTGTTTAAAAAAGTCTGAGAACTGCTATTGTAGAGTAATAAAGTAGGAACACACAAAGTTTCAGTGTCACTACTGGTAAGTCTATGGATTTATTTTTAGACAGGTTTTCCCAGAAAGTACTCTTCTAGCCTCTTCTTGAAAGGTGTAAATCTAGACGCTAGCACTCAAGGAGGCAGAGGTTTAAAGCACTGGGATGCTCAACTTTTCATATGCAGACTTGCCATTTAATCAACATTTTAGGTTTGAAGGCCCTTCCCTTATCTGTATCTGGTATTTCTCTCCCACAATAAGCCTCAGCTTTCCGCCTTGATGGTAAAGAGGCAAATACCTGGTTGCACAGGACACAGAAAGGAAGCTAAGAAGTCTAACTGCTCTTTTTAAAGTCTTACAACCAGTGCTCCTGGGTTTTATCCTTGCCCTACACGTGGCCCTCAAAGGCACCTGTGTCTCTAATTCCTTAGTCTTTTGAGGTTCTTTGGCATGATTTGGATTATTTCCTGTAGCTTCCATACCTTCCCAGTGCTCCTGGGTTTTATCCTTGCCCTACATATGGCCCTCAAAGGCACTTGTGTCTCTTATTCCTTAGTCTTTTGGGGTTCTTTGGCATGATTTGGCTTATTTCTTGTAGCTTCCATACCTGCCGGCTGTTTCAACTTTATTGGGTACACTAAGTTGCTACCCATTCACTCACTTTTCAGTTTCCAAACTGATTTATTTTGTCCCTCTTACCCTTTTCTCTGTTCTTGTGGGTTTATGCCTTTTAAAAATTATGTTACTGTAACATGATTTCAATTAAAAACAAAGATATGTATGTGTTCAACTTACCACATTTTCATCCCTTTACATTTAATCTGTGTTCCTCTGCTTTGAGTATAACTATTGTAAGGGCAGCTGGCTTTTTTTTAAAATATGTAACTTTAAAGCTGGGCCCGGTGGCTCGTCCCTGTAATCCCAGCCCTTTGGGAGGCCGAGGTGGGTGGATCACGGGGTCAAGCGTTTGAGACCAGCCTGGCCAACATAGTGAAACCCCGTCTCTACTAAAAAGACAAAAAATTAGCCGACTATGGTGGCGGGCACCTGTAATTCCAGCTACTTGGGAGGCTGAGGCAGGAGAATCGCTTGAACCTGGGAGGCGGAGCTTGCTGTGAGCAGAGATTGCACCACTGCACTCCAGTCCGGACGATAGTGCGAGACTGTCTCAAAAATAAATAATAAATAAATAAAATATATAACTTTAAAATATACATTAATCCACTGTAATTATATTTCTATTTTGTTGTGTTACATTTATCCTGATTTTCCTTTACTTCCTATTCCCCCTTTTCCTCTCATGCTTTAACCCTCAACATACCATTTACTACCTGGGTCCAAAGGATGCCTTAAAAATTTTTTTAGGTTATTTTACAAATAATTTACAGAGACAGTGCAAGACAACTTTTAAAATAAATTTTAAAAGGAACTTAAATACAGCAAATACCTCTTTGTACTAAGTAAGTTTAACACACAAACACCGTACAAAATTTAAAAAAAAAAACAATTTTGAGACAGAGTCTTGCTCTGTTGCCCAGGATGCATTGCAGTGGTGCAATCTCAGCTCACTGCAACCTCCAACTCCTGGGTTGAAACAATTCTTGTGCCTCAGCCTCCTGAGTAGCTGGGACTACAGGCATGTACCACCATGCTCAGCTAATTTTTCTATTTTTAGTAGAGATGGGATTTCACCATGTTGGCCAGCCTGGTCTCTAACTCCTGGCCTCAAGCGATCCACCCGCCTCAGCCTCCCAAAGTGCTAGGATTATAGGCATGTGCCACCATGCCTGGCCACATACAAAATTTAAAAAACATTGTCTCAGGACTTTTTTTTTTTTTTTTTTTTAAAGCAAAAAGGGATGGTTCAGGTTCATGTTGTGAAATATTCCTGTTGAATGACTAACTGGATAAAAATACCATATTTTCTTTGTCAAAACGTCTTCTGCATTCAATTCTTAAGTCTGAGAAAATTCATACAGGATATGATCATCTCAAGAATCAAAGTCTGACTTCATTTATATGCTCAATTTCACTATCATTATTGGCGTATGGAACAGCAATATCTAATATAACTTTCCACAACGATGACAATGTTCCGTATCTGTGCAGTCCAACATGGCAGCCAGCCACCGTGAAGTAAGAGTAATTGTAAGTTGTATTCTTCTCCTACATAACCCCTTAAAAGTGTGATGAGGAATGGAATTTTAAATTTTATTAATTTTAATTATTTTAAATATACATAGTCACATGTGGCAAGTGGCTACCATATTGGACAACTTAGGTCTAGAGTGCTATTTATCTTCGCGTTTATCTTCTAATTCGTATGTCTCCTAAATTTTTTTATACGTTTTTGAAGTAGGATGTAGTATTTGAGCAATGCAGTGAGAAAACTGAAAAATGACTATTTATTACATCTTCCATCTTCCTTCTAGGAGATTCTGTCATTCTTTTTTTGTCTTTTTTTTTTTTAGCACAGTATAAATAATTGATAAGTAATGATAAAATTCCTAGAGTAGTAAAATATTTCAATATATAGGAAAAGCCAAGATTATTAAGATCTCATAATGGATGTTAGGTTTATAAAAAAGGGTCTAATGGACTCATATGGTAACTGTAAGATAGAATAATTTTTTAAAATAAATTTTCTCTTTGTTCTTTGGTAGATCTCTAAGAATACAAGTCATAATATCTACCCTTCTAAATAGTTGGCACTGCTCTAAAATGAAAATCAAAAATGAAAATTATTCCAACTGACCCTGATGGTATACCAAGGGTTTAGCCTTCTTCATTCTCTTATTTTCATTCCTTTAGTTCTGCTGGTCTGGAAGACATCTATTTTATTTCTATTCCTTTTGTGGTTACTCAGGTTAAAAAAGAAAAGCAGCAGCAGCAGCAAACATGTATAGAGTAGTACTAATCAGTGGCTTTATATGTATTTCACTTAATCCTCCCCACAACAACTATGAGAAGGTATTATTGTCATCCCCAATTATACATAAGGAAATTTACGCGTAAGAAGGTAAAATAACTCCTTAATGTCACACAGTTAGTAAGAAATAAGCTAGTCTTTCATTCAGGTAGTCTGGCTGCAGAGCCACAAAATAGCTATTTAGTTTTGGTAAAATACCCTGAAGTTGGTCAGTGTCTCTTTTTGTGCTACTTTTTGGGAACAAAGCAAGAATAGTAGCATTCCTGACTCAACTCTATTTTCCAACTTTCTTGTTATTGTCTAGAGTTTTGATTCTACTTTAAAAATTATGTATTTGCAATCAACTCAACTTGATTTATCAAATATTTTGCCAATTCTTTGTTTGCCACTGTATTATTTTTTGCAATTCCTCCTTCTCCCTGGTTTACTATTCTTGCTGAAGTACAATCTTTGGTTCTCCCATCAAGCTTCTGTAAGTGAGGAGCTCTCTATTTTGTGTATTTCCTCACTTTGGGCCTCATTCTTGCTGACAGATAATAGTTTAAATGAGTATAGAATCAAGGTCAACAGTTATATTCCTTATACATTCGGAGGAAAGAAGATCCTTTTATCTTCTGGAAGACACTGTTCTGGTAAATACGTTGTTAATTTAACTAATATTTTAGTGTAGGGACTGTGGCATTTTTCATTTTGAAAAGCTTTTATGTTTTATGATCTGCAATTTCACTTTTGAGCATCTAGAAGATTTAAAAAATTTATCCTGGTAAGCAACTGTTCAGCAGTGCGCTATTTCAATATGAAAACTCAGTTCAATATGAAACCTTAAATTCTGGAAACCTTTTAATCATTATCTCACTGAATACTGTTTCTCTACTACTATGTCTAATCTCTCCTAAAATTTCTTTTGAATATTGAACTTAGGTTTGAATCTCTCGATCTATATTCATTTTTTTTTTTCCACTTCTCTCTTACTACATTCTGGGTGAATTCCTTAATACTATTTTCCAAATCACTGTTTCATTGACCATGTTCAGTCTAGTACACATCTAATGACATCTTACTTAATACAGGGTTTTTTTTTTTTGAGAGGGTCTTGCTCTGTTGCCCTGGCTGTAGTGCAATCATGGCTCACTGCAGCCTCAACCTCCTGGGCTTAAGCGATCCTCCCACCTCAGCCTCCTCAGTAGCATGGGACCACAGGTGTGCAGCACCACACCCAGCTAATTTTTCTATTTTTTGTAGAGATGAGGTTTTGCTATGTTGCCCACACTGGTAATTTTGGTTCTTTTATGGCAATTATTCCTTCCTTTACCTCCCTGAGGATCTTAAACATACACTTTAAAATTGTTCTATTATTTACACCTATAGACTAAGGATTCACTTGAATATCAATTATTCCCACTCCTGCAAAAAAGAAAACATACTATAAATACTGTTTCATGATTCCCATTTTTTCCCACTAAGCAACAAAACTTAGGAGATATTTCTGTATCAGTACACAGAAAACATTCTCTTTTCCCTCTGATGAAGGTGTTGACTTGGTTATTTTAGGTTTAGTTTTTCTTCTGTATTTTCGAATTTTTGTTTGGCAGGTTCATTGTAACTCTAAGTTGCATGGTGTGTGTGTATCTTTGTGTGCTTACCTTACCCTAACGATTTTTCATTTTCTCCATCTCTCACTCAAACCTCCCACCCCAGAATAAGGTTTTTCGTTTCGTTTTGTTTTGTTTTTGAGATGGAGTCTCGCTTTGTCGCCCAGGCTGGAATGCAGTGGTGCGATCTTGGCTCACTGCAACCTCCGACTCCCAGGTTCAAGCGATTCTCCTGCTTCAGCCTCCCAACTAGCTGGGATTACAGGCGCGTGCCAACACGCCCAGCTAATTTTTGTATTTTTAGTAGAGATGGGGTTTTACCATGTTGATCAGGCTGGTCTCAAACTCCTGACCTCATCATCCGCCTGCCTCGGCCTCCCAAAGTGCTGGGATTACAGGCGTGAGCCACCGTGCCTGGCCCAGAATGAGGTCTTATAATTGCTGCATATGTCTCCTCCTGAAGATCCAGTCCCTAAGTCATGGGCAGGTAGGCCCAGCTTTTACCCAGGAGGCTGTCACTGCTTCCTTCCAGCACTCTGGACCTGCAATTTATATAAGCCATATCCCTAAGCAACAATCATACATTCTTTTTCAGTTTTTTCCTGATTCAGCCCTTTAGTTTCTGGGGTAATAAAAACAGGCTGTTCATCTCCCTGCTCCAATCTGTCTACCAATATACAGTAGAGTTTTGGTCTCTATTCTGCAGACGACCTCTCAGAGGCATCTTCCTGCCTGCAAAACAGATTTTGATAGATTCATGTATTTAGTCTCTATTTAACACCTTGCCTTTTGTTCTTTTTTTTTTCTTTTTTTAAGACAGAGTCTCACTCTGTCACCCAGGCTGGAGTGCAGTAGCACGATCTCAGCTGACTGCAACCTCCACCTCTGGGTTCAAGCAATTCTCCTGCCTCAGCCTCCCGAGTAGCTGGGATTACAGGTGCCTGCCACTATGCCGGGCTAATTTTTGTATTTTCAGTAGAGATGGGGTTTCACCATGTTGGCCAGGTTGGTCTTGAACTCCTGACCTCGAACTCCTCAATCTGCCCACCTCGGCCTCCCAAAGTGCTGGGATTACAGGTGTGAGCCACTGCGTCCAGCATTTTTTTTTTTTTTTTAAAGGAATGAAAGGTCTCAGCCAGGTGCGGTGGCTCATGCCTGTAATCCCAGCATTTTGGGAGACAGAGACAGGCAGATCACCTGAGGTCAGGAGTTCGAGACCAGCCTGGCCAACAACATGGTGAAACCCCATTCCTACTAAAAATACAGAAATTAGCCTGGCGTGGTGGGATGCCTGTAATCCCGGCTACTCGAGAGGCTGAGGCAGGAGAATCACTTGAATTGGGGAGGCAGACATTGTAGTGAGCTGAGATCACGCCACTGCACTCCAAGCGAAACTCTGTCTCAAAACAAAACAAAACAAAAAAGCCTCCCTCCCAATCTTTCCACGTATTCAGTTCCTCTCCCCTTTCTCCAGGTAACGCATGTTAAGATTTCCTTGTCCATCCTTTCCAAGTTTGTGAGTGTAAAAAAAATATGAATATAAATTATGCAGCCCCAGAATTTTGCCTTTTTCTTACAGCTGCATGGTATTCCATTATATGGTTTTTCCATAATTTCTTTGACTAATCCCCTACTGATGGACATCTGGATTGTTTCTCACCTTCTGCTATTACAGAATAATCTGATACATGTATCATGTGGTGTAAAGTATAAGATAAATTTCAGAAAACTCAACCTGCTGGGTAAATACATTTTTACTCTGGCAGATATTGACCAATTGCCTTCCACAGGGATTATCTCAATTTGTATTCTCAATAGCAGTGTATGAGCAGCTTTTCCCCCAAAGCTTCACAACCAATGGAGTATGCTGCCCAACTTTTGTTTTTGCCTAATAAGGGAACTATAATCATTGTAGTTTTAACTTCTCTTACTGTGAATGAGGTACTGGCCTCATTAGCTTAAAAGCCACTTATATTTAATTTTCTGTGAATTATCGATTCATATCTTTGCTCGGTTTTTATGGGGTTGCAAGATCTTTTTGTTATCAAGTTTCCAAGTACTTACTGCATGTATATCAGGAAGGCTACCCTCTGTCTATGATTAAAATTACCAATAAGTTTTGCTAATTCCTAACTGTAAATAAGTTTTGGCTGCAAATAAGTTTTACCAGTTTTGCTGAAACTCTATATCCACTGAACAATTCCCTTTTTCCCCTTCCCCTAGCTACCACCACTCTACTTTGTTTCTAAGGGTTTGACTACTTTAGATATCTCATATAAGTGGGGTCATGCAGTATTTGTCTTTTTGTGACTGGCTTTCACTTAGTGTAATTCCTCAAGGTTCATCTACGGTTGTATCACACAACAAAATTTCCTTTCTAAAGTTTGAATAATATTTCATTGTATGTATATACATTTTCTTTATCCATTCAGAGAAGGTTTTTTTTTTTTGGAAACGGGGTCTCACTCTGTCACCCAGGTTGGAGTGTAGTGGTGCAATCTCGGTTTACTGCAGCCTCCACCTTCCAGGCTCGAGAGATTCTCCCACCACAGCCTCCCGAGTTGCTGGGACCACAGGCACATGCCATCATGTCCAGCTAATTTTTTTGTATTTTTGGTAGAGTCAGGGTTTTGTCATGCTGCCAGGCTGGTCTCAAACTCCTTGGCTCAGGCAATCCACCCAACTTGGCCTCCCAGAGTGCCCTGAGAGTGTTTTAATGTAATAGAATTTATCATTTATTTCATGACTTCTGGATTGAATCAGTATAAAAGGTCTTCCCCATACTAAAATTATAAGAAGACTTCTACTTTTAGTATTTTCATGGCTTTATTTTATTCATTGATCTGTTTGGTATTTATGTGAAAAACATCCAATTTCATTTTTTCAGTTTTCCTGGCTCCTTTCTTGTTTACTTTTCCTTATGAACTGTGGAATCAGAATGTCCAGTGTTTTAATTTATAAAATTAAAAAACATTGTGTTGTTTCATTTGTTGAAGCTTGTTTGGCGTCTTTCACATAAACATTTCCTGCTATGAATGTATTTCCATTTCTCCTTGTATTTTTGGTTATTTCTGCTTCACCAAGTTTGCTATGTTATCTGACATATTGCTATTCACAACTATTAAATTTTCATTGTATCCTTTAAGAAATAAGTGCCACTCTTTATTGTTTTTTAGTATGAACTCCACCTGGTATGTTAAAATCATGACACTCCTAAATTATTTTCATTTGCATTTGTATCTTATACCTTTTCTCTATCTTTTAAAATACCAGTCTTTCACAATCACTGCCTTAGGTGTGTACCTTGTATAAACCAGAGAGTGGGTTTTGCCTTGAATCTAAGCTAAAAATATTTTCCTTCTAAAGGTGAGTTAAGCATATTAATATCTTTTTTAAGAAAGGCATGTTTGGGCCGGGCATGGTGACTCACACCTGTAATCCCAGCACTTTGGGAGGCTGAGGTGGGCAGATCACAAAGTCAGGAGTTCAAGTCAAGCCTGGCCAACATGGTGAAACCCGTCTCTACTAAAAATACAAAAATTAGCCGGGCTTAGTGGCGGGTGCCTGCAGTCCCAGTTACTTGGGAGGCTGACGCAGTAGAATCACTTGAACCCGGGAGTCGGAGGTTGCAGTGAGCCAAGATTGCGCCACTGTCCTCCAGCCTGGGTGACACAACGAGACTCTGTCTCAAAAAAAGAAAGAAACAAAGAAAGGTATGTCTGGTCTTAGGGCTGTCTTGTTATGTATGTGGTTATATAAGAATTTTTTTTCACTAAATGATGTTTTATTTTTAACTGGTTTGTAGTTCTTTCAATATCTAGGAAGGTTTATAGCTTTGTTCTAATGGTTACCTTTGTAATTTCTATCTCTTTAGACAATACCTATTAGTTCCTCAACATGAGTAATGTTAAAATTAGCACGCCTCCTCTCCCATTACCCTATTTAATCAATAGTATTGAAACTAATAGCATTATCTTTAGTGTTTTAGTTTTATTTTAATGTTTCTTTTAAAGTGCTGAATATGTTTATATTTCTATTATTTGATCTGTGATGTTTAAACATCTTTTTCAATACCAGTTATTACCATAGGGCAATTCCTTCTCTCAAATTTTATTAGTTTGATCATTTGTATATCATCAGGGTATACAATATTAACATTATATTCTGTCGTTATGATCTCCACATTTTAGTCTTTTTTTTTGAGACAGAGTCTCGCTCTATCACCCAGGCTGGAGTGCAGTGGCATGCATAATCTCTCACTGCAACCATCTACCTCCCAGGTTCAAGTGATTCTCGTGCCTCAGCCTCCCAAGTAGCTGGGACTACAGGTGTGCACCACCATGCCCAGCTAATTTTTATATTTTTGGTAGAGACAGGGTTTCACCATGATGGCCAGGCTGGTCTTGAACTCCTGGCCTCAAGTGATCTGCCTATTTTGGCCTCCCAAAGTGCTGGGATTACAGATGTGAGTCACCACGCCCAGCCCACATTTTAGTCTTTATGTCTATATATAAATTCACTGCTTACACACCAATCATTTCCCCATGTCTATCAGCTGAAGTTTATACTCTACTATTTTCCTCAAGAAGGGCTCACATAAACAATATTCTCTGAGTACTATTTGTTCCTTAAGAACAATGTGACTGGATATAAAATCTTTAGCTCGCACTTTACTTTCTTATCTTATAAATGTTGTTCGACTGGGGTTGAATGTTGTGGAGAATTCTAAGGCCAGCCAGATTTCAATGTCTTATAAACAACTTGGAGTGGGGTAGTTAGGAAGGTTTCTGGCTATTGAAAGGAATCTTTAAGATCTTTCTGGTCAGTTTTCCCTGCCACAGATGCCCTTTCAATACGTAAGTTTCATCTCAGCTAGTTTTTCTTCAATTGTGTTTTTAACCACTTGTTCTACTGTCATGTTTTGGTTTTCTTCTATAGGGGTTTCAATTCTAAGTTTGTTGGATCTACTGTATTTTCTAAAACTTAAAAAAATAAAATCTTTATTTCCATTTTTTAAAATCCCTGTGTCTCTTATTATGTTTTCCTTGGGGCTAGTCTGCTTCTTGTGCTCCTTCTTATTTCATCTGTATTTCTGTACTATTTTTTGAGACAGGGTCTCCCCTCTGTTGCCCAGGCTCAAGTGCAGTGGGGCAATTTTGGCTTATTGCAATCTCTGCCTGCTTGGCTCAAGCCATCTTCCCACCTCAGACTCCCAAGTAGCTGGGACTACAGACGTAAGCCACCACACCCGGCTAATTTTGTACTTTTTTAGAGACAGGTTTTGCCATGTTGTCTAGGCTGGTCTCAAACTCCTGAGCTCAAGCGATCTCCCTGTCTCAGCCTCCCAAAGTGCTGGGATTACAGGCGTGAGTCCCCATGCCCAGCCATTTGCTTTCTTCTACTTCTTTCCCAAGTTCCCTCAACTCACATTTTATGTCCTCCTGTTGCCCTGCCATCTCTTTTCTGAGTTCTTACCATTCCTGCTTTGTAATCTTCTCTTGTAGAACTATTTACAAGCTTTACTCAAGTCTAAAAAATAGATGGTGAAATGCTGGGTCACAATTTTCATCTGTTCTGTAGCAACACTTCACTAATGACTGTTCTTTGTGTTTGGGAAGTTTTGCTGCCATATCAGCTTCTTTTTTATTTTGCGTAACAGAATAAACTGAATTTTCCTGAAGCAGCTATTTACATAGATTCCTGGGAGTGGGAAAGGAAGGAAATAACAGGCTTCACAGTCCAAAGACTCTCTACTCCTTTGACGCTTTAAATAATAAAGGGAGTGTGTGCTCTTCTGCTGCCCTGCGACCAGTGCCCTGTGCATTGCCTTCTCCTGTATCCCCTAATCTAACTCATCTCTTTATTTCACTCAACCTCAGAGCCGCCACCAAAATGCAGATTTTTGTAAAAACCCTTATGGGGAAGACCATCACCCTCCAGATTGAACCCTTGGATACAACAGAAAATGTAAAGGCCAAGATCCAGGATAAGGAAGAAATTCGTCTGGATCGGCAAACACTGATGTTTGATGGCAAGCAACTGGAAGATGAACGTACTTTATCTAACTACAACATTCAAAAGGAGTCTACTCTTCATCTTGTGTTGAGACTTTGTGATGTTATCAAGGAAGAATTCTTATACAACTCCCAAGAAGAATAAGCACGAGAGAAAGAAGGTTAAGTTGGCTGTCCTTAAATACCATAAGGTGTATGAGAATGGTAAAATTAGTCGCCTTAGTCGGGAGTGCCCTTCAGATGAATGTGGTGCTGCAGTGTTTACAGCAAGCCACTTTGACAGATATTATTGTGGCAAATGTCTGGCTTATTGCTTCAACAAACCAGAAGACAAGTAATTGTGTATGAATTAATAAATTTTTTGGCTGGGCGCAGGAGCTCACGCCTGTAATCCCAGCACTTTGGGAGGCCGAGGTGGGTGGATCACCTGAGGTCAGGAGTTGGACCAGCCTGGCCAACGTGGTGAAACCCCATCTCTACTAAAAATAAAAAAGTTAGCCGGGCCTGTGATGCATACCTATAATCCCAGCTACTTGGGAGGCTGAGGCAGCAGAATCACTTGAACCCGGGAGGCAGAGGTTTCAGTGAGCCGAGATTGTGCCATTGCACTCCAGCCTGGGTGACAGAGCAAGACTCCGTCTCAAGAAATAAATAAATAAAAATTATTTAAAAATACAGAGAAAAGCTGGTTCCTGTACATGTGGCTCTGTGTGCACATGTGTACAGCTCTACTTTCTCTTTTCTGAATATAATCAGGTACTTCGCCACCAACTCCCGTCATTACAAACAAGAGATTTACCTTTTGAACTTCAACATGAACCCCTTACTGTCAGTAAGTATATTTAAACTAATAGCTTCTGTCCCTTTCGGATGTTTTTGATAGCCCTCAAATAACATAATCTGGAGTTTACATATGTCTTTCAGTTCACTGAAAACAGAGGTTGATGCATTTTTCCTCTTTATGATTTCTAGAGAAGATGCAGATTTATGCATCTACATTCATTCGGAAAGTATGATTATTAATTGTGTGTATGTTTATCATTGCTGTCTTTGAAGAGACAGAGAATCTCAATGCTGAAACTCACAGCACCATCCTGATGGCTGTTCCTTACAGTGTAACTTCAGGTATTTTTGAAGTATTTTTTAAAAGCTTTTACATGGGAGATGATTATTGATGCATTATAATTTAGTAATTAAAACTTCATTCTGGCTGTTTAATCAGAAAAACACGGATTCTAATCCTAAGGTTGCCAATTACTAACTCTTGTGAATTAAATTCAGTAAACAGAAGTTTACTGTAAAACAGGTTCTTGTTATGCATAATATATTAATTATACATCATTTCTATTGCGCATCATAAGTCCATATACTGATATCAGACATCTATTAATGAGGAAATACATTCTGGTAAGAATATAGCAACTTCATTACCAAACAGTATTATAAAGAAAGCATTCAGGACAGTGAATAAGATGAACTTACTATGTAAAACATTATCAAATAAATATTAACTGGTAATTCTTCATTAAGCATAAATGGGCCTAACAACAACTGTAAATGACAGCAAACACCTGAGGCTGAGATATGGAAAAGCCATCAAGAAGACATAAGACACATAAAAGGAAGTGATCGAATACTGAAGTCAAGCAACCACTGAGTTCACAACTTTACTACAGTGTCAAAAAAAAGAAAACTGCAGTAGTACGGCATATGGCTCACTCAAGAACAATGTGTAAGCCAGGTGCGGTGGCTCACGCCTGTAATCCCAGCACTTTGGGAGGCCGAGGTGAGTAAATCATTGAGGTCAGGAGTTCGAGACCAGTCTGGCCAACATGGCAAACCCTGTCTCTACCAAGGGCGTGGTGGTGTATGCCTGTAATCCCAGCTACTCGGGAGGCTGAGGCACGAGAAACACTTGAACCCAGGAGGTGGAGGCTGCAGTGAGCCGAGCTCACACCACTGCACTCCAGCCTGGGCAACATAGGGAGACTCAGTCTCAAAAAAAGAAAAAAAAAAGAACAATGTGTACATGAGTTTGTCTAAGGAAGAATTTTGTAAAAGAAAAACAGCCAAAGCATACAAGACTTGGAAAAGATTGTTCCACAGGTGGTAGAGTAAAGCCTTGAAGAGAGTGCCTAGTTCCTCTTCCCCCCACCAAAAAAATGCCAACATAAAGTGAACCAAGAGACGAAAGGAGTATGACAACAAAGTAAAATTCTGTCCTGATAAATCTTCTATGGCCTTTGGCCCATTCTCTCTCACTAAGAATATCCTTTTCCCCCTCCTTTCCTCTATCTGTGGATACTCATTCCTCAAGGTATAGTTTAAGTACCCCCACTATCTCTGAACAGTCCTTCCAAACCATTTCAACCCTAACACTAGTTGCCTCTTTACTCTCAAGTATCTCATGTATTCATTCATTCAATACTTAACCTCATGCATTAATGATGGGATTATAAATTATGCAACCTTCTTTTTAAAAACAAATTTGGCAACATTTACCAAACTTTAAAATGCAAATATCCCTCCGAATCATCAAAATGTATAATCAAACATGGGCATTTTAAAATATATTAATTATAATTCAATAAAGCTTAAAAACAGAAAAACCCTTTGACCCAATAACCCACTTTTAAAAAGTGAACCTTTCGCCAGGCACGGTGCCTCACGCTGTAATCCCAGCACTTTGGGAGGCCGAGGCAGGCAGATCACAAGGTCAGGAGTTCAAGACCAGCCTGACCAACATGGTGAAACTCCCGTCTCTACTAAAAATGCAAAAATTAGCAGGGCATGGTGGCGTGTGCCTGTAATCCCAGCTACTCAGGAGGCTGAGGCAGGAGAATCGCTTGAACCCGGGAGGTGGAGGTTGCAGTGAGCTGAGATCGCGCCACTGCACTCCAGCATGGGAGACAGAGCGAGACTCTCAAAAAAAAAAAAAAAAAGTGAATCTTTCTACTAAAATTGTGATATAAACATGTAAAGATATTTGTATAGGGTTGTTTGCTGCAGTTCTTTAATAGCATACAAGAATTTAAATGTTAACAGATAAATATTTAATACATTGTGGTACATTCATGTAAGGGGACTACTCTGCAACTGTAAAAAAGAATGAGGTAATCCTCTATTTATACTGATACAGAAAAATGCCCAGGATATCTTTAAGCAAAACATGAAACTTAGGTTACAAAATAATACACACAGTACGGTTTGTTTTTAATGAAAAAAAGTGTTTATATACACATGCATTTAAAAAATTGAAAAAGCCTGTGCAACACAATGAGACCCCTGTCTCTACCAAAAAAAAAATTAAAAATTAACTGAGCATAGTGGCACATGCCTGTGGTTCCAGCTAATCGAGAGGCAGAGGTTGAGGCTACACTAAGCTGTGATCAAGCCATTACACTCTAGTCTGGGTAAAAGAGCGACAGGGCAGACACCGTGGCTCATGCCTGTAATCCCAGCACTTTTGGAGACTGAGGTGGGCAGATCATCCGAGATTGGGAGTTCAAGACCTGCCTGACCAACATGGAGAAACCCCATCTCTACTAAAAATACAAACTTAGATGGGCATGGTGGCGCATACCTGTAATCCCAGCTACTCGGGAGGCTGAGGCAAGATAATCACTTCAGCCCAGGAGGTGGAGGTTGCGGTGAGCTGAGATTGTGCCATCGCACTCCAGCCTGGGCAACAAGAGCGAAACTCCGTTTCAAAAAAAAAAGGTGGGGGGGAGGGGGGAGACAAGACCCTATCTCGAATTTTTTTTTTTTTTCTTTTCAAAAGAACCAACACAAAAGAACAGTTAAGAGCTACCTCTGGGAATGAAAGAACAGGGAAAACAAAATAACTGACTTTCCCCCTTAAATTCTATGTCCCGTGCCAGTGGCTTATACCTGTAATCCCAGCACTTTGTGAGGCTGAGGTGGGAGGATCGCTTAAGGTGAAGAGTTCAAGACCAACCTAGGAGACAAAACAAGACCCTGTCTCTACAAAACACTTTGTGGGGCCAGGCATGGTGGCTCATGCTTGTAATCCCAGTACTTTGTGAGGCTGAGGTGGGCGAACTGCTGGAGCCCAGGAGTTCAAGGCCATTCTGGGCAACATGGTGAAATCTCGTCTTTACAAAAAATACAAAAATTAGCCGGGCATGGTGGCACACGCCTGTAGTCCCAGCTACTTGGGGGACTGAGGCAGGAGGATCACTTGAGCCTGGGAGGCAGAGGCTGCAATGAGCCGAGATTGTGCTATTGCATTCCAGCCTGAATGACTGAGATTCTGTCTCAAAAAAACCCATTAGCGGGCTTGGAGGGACACACCTGTAGTCCTAGCTACTGGCGCAGAGGTGAGGCAGAATGATCTCTTGAGCCTAGCAGTTCGAGGCTGCAGAGAGTAGTGACTGTGCCACTGTGTTCCTGCTGGGTGAGAGAGTGAAACCTTGTCTGAAAAAAAAAATCCCTAAAAAATGAAAGATATATATATATGTATGTATTCTTTAATTCACTTAAGGATTTCTAGGGTGCCAGGCACTCATGATCTACACCGCTCACTTCGCACTTACACATTTCTTCTGAGAGAGTATTCCATGCTCCCATCTACCCCTTGTAACCATAAACAGATCAGTAGGTCCAACAACTCATTAAAATGAAAAATGACTAGAATGATGATACAATTTTGGAACCAGAACAGGTAACATTATCATTACTGACTGGGAATCTGGAGACTTGGGCTCTAAATCCAAACATCACTCTGAACAAACCTCAAGAATTGGGACAGTGGTTCCTTCTATTTCAAACATTCTATAATACCATTCCTGACTAATTTACCATCTCCAAGATAATTTTAAAGTATCTAAACTAAGCTGACACCAAAAAAGAAAGGATGTAATCTTCTTTAGTGGACCATTTTAGAATTTACCAGATGTTCTTTATGTCAGTCTAATAATTTAAATTCATTTTCTTTAGCTATCTTCTGAGTATATAATAGGAAAAAAATAGCTGAGCAACCTTTTTCTTTTAAAAATTACTTTCAACCACTCTGAAAGGTTAACTTACTTTTAGGCTTGTTCTTCTTTGGAATAACACTTAAAATTTCCTGTTAGACAGTTTTTCAGCCATTGCAATGTTTTACAAATCTTATTGCTATGATACAGTATCATGTGTTTATACACACCCAAGCACCCAAACCACACACACTTCAGAACCTCAACTGTAGCCCCTATCTGCTATATTTGGTTCTAGCTAGACAGTTCAAAGAGTCTGCTCATTTTTTTTCTGTCCACACAGATTAAAACACATCTGCTTTTTTAAAAACAGGTTATTCAAAGTAATTTGATTTGTTCTTGGTTGAGTACTTAATCGCACCCAGTTTTTAATCATCTATGAACATATTTAATATGCTCAATAATGTAAATTAGGTAATTATATGAACACACCTTGGACTAGAGAAGATGAAGGAAAACAGAAACATTCATTCACTAAGTGTCTATGTGCAAATGGCTAGCAGTACTTTTTTTTATAAGTTAGCAGTATTTTTTTATAAGTTACAGTTTCCATAACATAACTTTCTAAAATCTCCCCCAACTGACATAACACCAATATGACTGCTTCATGAAAAAACAAAAGCTTTGTTTAAATCCGGTTATGTTGCTTTTCTTCCTTCTTCAGCTACTAAAAGCCACTGTTTCAGAGAAATACATTAAATAAATCTGTGATTGGCTCTTCATAGAACCATGTAGACTATTCCCTAGAATCTATACTTACTGATTTTTCCTTAACCACATCAGTAGCTTCCAATTAAAAAACAAAAAGCAACAAAATTTAGTTGATCTCTTTAATGAAGGTTTTCTAGTGTGCTTTCTCAGGAAAACACTTGTTTTCTCTTGGTTTAGGTTTATAAGAAGCCTGTAAGATGGTCCGACAACTTATCAAGTGAGTGTGAGATGAGTCAATTAAAAATCTAAGAACTAAATTCATGTTTCAAAGTCCTACATTTTTAAAAAAATGGTTATTACTTATTCCCAAACACATTCTTCTTAGAAATCCTCTTAGAAAGTGAGAGGGTTTTTTTTTTTTTAACCAATAATGATGAAATTATTTCCCTTAGCAATCTGTTTCAACACCTAATAAATTGACAGTGACTAATTTCTTCACAGGTAAACTCAAGTTTTACGAAAAGAAAATATTCCCCACATAAAATTATTAAACAGACATGAGTCCATACCACTAGGGTACCTTCAGAAAAAATAGCCACCTGTTGTGATCAACATTAAATTCCTCTTTTCTAATTATCCAGTACATTTGCATACTAAATTTTTCATCTTCCATCATTCAACAGGCTTGTGAGCAAAACATTTGTACGTATTTACTACCATAATCAAATTATCTGACGCAAAAAGAATTTTATGCTACAGTCGCAAACTTATCCTGGAAAGAAAGAATCACTGGTTCAGAGTCCCAAATATCAAATTCCTGGGCTCAAGCAATCCTACTGCCTCAGTCTCCTGAGTAGCTAGGACTACAGGTACATGCCACCAGGCCTGGCTAATTTTTATTATTTATTTATTTATTTATTTATTTCAGAGACAGGGTCTCAGTATGTTGGTAGGCTGGTCTTGCACTCTTGGTCTTAAAGGA
Source organism: Homo sapiens (assembly GCF_000001405.40). Taxonomy (NCBI): domain Eukaryota; kingdom Metazoa; phylum Chordata; class Mammalia; order Primates; family Hominidae; genus Homo; species Homo sapiens. The sequence continues at coordinate 47,890,207 of NC_000002.12, forward strand.
TCCTCTCACCTCATCCTTCCAAAATGCTAGGACTGCAGGCATGAGCCATGGTGAGTGGACTAATTTTAATTCTGAACTGACTTCCTGATTATCAGTCATCCTCATTTACTAGAAATAATATAGTCAATTATCATCCTAAAGTTGCTGTGAATAAAAATATAGATGTCTATAAATTAATAAGCACTTAAAGCACACTTCCAACATTAAAAATATGTAACATTTAAGCTTTTATTCAAATTTAAAATGCCCTACATGGGGACTGTATCATCAATCAAGTAGTATGAGTTCACGACACAATCAGAATTATAAAATTATTGGCAGGGCACGGTGGCTCACACCTGTAATCCCAGCACTCAGGAGGCCGAGGTGGGTGGACCACCTGAGGTCAGGAGTTTGAGACCATCCTGGCCAACATGACAAAACCCCATCTCTACTAAAAATACAAAAAGTCAGCTGGACATGGTGGCAAGCGCCTATAACCCCAACTACTTGGGAGGCTGAGGCAGGAGACTTCTTGAACTCGGGAGGCAGAGGTTGCAGTGAGCCAAGACTGGGCCACTGTGCTCCAGTCTGGGCGACAGAGCGAGACCCTGTCTAAAAAAAAGAAAAAAAAAAATATTATTATTATTGAGACACAGTCTTGCTCTATTGCTCACGCTGGAATGCAGTGGTGCAATCATAGCTCACCGCAGCCTTGACCTCTAGAGCTTAAGTGATCCTCCCATCTCAGCCTCCTGAGCAGTTGGGACCACAGGCATGTGCCACCATACCGGGATTTTTTTTTTTTTAATTTTTTTTGTAGAGATGGAGTCTCCCTATGTTGCTCAGACTAGTATCAAACTCCCGGGCTCAAGCGATCCTCCTGCCTCTGCCTCCCAACATGCTGGGATTACAGGCATGAGCCACTGCCAAAACTATTACTTTTTACTTTATTCTCATACATGAATACTACCTTCTTAACAAATGTTTAAGTGTACAATACAGTACTGTTGACTATAGGTACAATACTGTATGGCGGAACTTATTCATCCTGCTTAACTGAAACTTCATGCCTGCTGACTAGTAACTCCACATTTCCCCCTCCCCTCCCTTTCACCCCTGACAACCACGATTCCACTCTTTGATTCTATAAATTTGACTATTTCAGATAACTTCATTTAAGTGAAATCATGCAGTATTTGTCTGTGATTGGCTTATTTCATTTAGCATAATGTCCTCAAACTACATTAATGTTGCACATTGCAGAATTCCTTAAGACTGAATAACATTCCATTGCATGTATACACCACATTTTCTTTATTTCTTCATCTGTCAATGGACATGTTGTGGGCTGTTTCCACATCTTGGCTATTGTGAATAGTGCCATTATAAACATGGGAGTGCTAGTATTTCTTCAAGTTCCTGATTTCATTTCTTTTGAATAAATACTTGGAAGAAGAATTGCTGGATCATATGATAGTTCTATTTTTAATTTTTTGAGGACCTCCACACTGTTTTCCATAATAGTTACACCATTTTGCATTTCTACCAACAGTGTATAAGGGGTTCAATTTCTACGTATCTTCACCAACACTTGTCTTCTATGTTTTTTTTAAACAGTCATCCTAATAGGGATGAAAAGATATCTCATTGTGGTTTTTATTTGCATTTCCCTGATGATTAATGATGTTGAGTCTTTTTCCATATACTTGCTTGCCATCTGTATGTCTTCTCTGGAGAATGTCTATTGAAGTCTTTAGCTCATTTTTAAATAGGTTATTAGTTTTTCTGCCACTAAGTTGCAGAAGTTCCTTAAATATTTTGGAGATTAACTCCTTATCAGATATATGGTTTGCAAATATTTTCTCCCATTTCATAGGATGCCCTTTCACTTTGTTGACTGTTTCCTTTGCTGTGTAGAAGCTTTATAGTTTGATGTCTCACTTGTCTATTTTTACTTTTGTTGCCTGTCCTTTAGGTGTTGTATCCATGAAATCACTGCCAAAGACAATGTCACAAAGCCTCCCTCCCTGTAGATTCCATATACAGTATTTGAAAAGCAAAGATATGTAAAAGAATAACAAAAATCAACTCGCCACCACCATCTCAAGATATTAGTTAACATTTCACCAAAAATTTTTAGATATTTCACCCGAAAGGGTATATTTTCTGTTTCATTGCATGTGTTATTAACACATGTCACTGATTGGTATGTAACACTTTCCTAGCCCCCTAAAACCAGGGACTTAACTTTACATACTGTGATCAACCTCCCTACATCCGGATCTTCCAGCTCAGTTTTTCAACTCTAGATATATTCAGCTACAAGGTTCTCACATGATGCAGAAATAGAGTACAGGTTTCCTCTGACATGCTGCAATGCAGAATCAGAAAGATTCATAAAGGCATCCTGGGAGTTACAACTACTGCTTGCTATGTGGGATTAAACATGCTTATGAGGAAACAAAATGTTGTTTTATCTCTGCAATTGAGGTGCTTAAATTCTAGCAACATATAATTTAATTTAAACCTGTCCTCCTACCTTCAATTTCTAGATACATGGCCAAAACAATGAATGTAACAGCCAAAACAATGAATATAATGAAAAAAGCTAATACCACAAAAGCAAGATTAATAACCCCAACTCTGCAGTTAATTTTCTTATCTAGGCGTTTTTTTTTAAGTCATTTACATCAAAATGCTATAACATAATCGCTAGGCTGCAACAACTTTTGAAGTGTGGTCCAAAGGTAATTCAATAAATAATTACCAGCCTGGTTCACATGGTGAAACCCTGTCTCTACTAAAAATACAAAAAAATGAACCAGGCATGGTGGCACGTGCCTGTAATCCCAGCTAATCCGGAGGCTGAGGCACAAGAACTGCTTGAACCCAGGAGTAGAGGCTGTAGTGAGTCAACATTGCACCACTGCACTCCAGCCTGGATGACACAGTGATACTCTGTCTCAAAAAAAATAAATTAAATAAATAAATAAATAAATGGCAGAACATATACCAGACCGTGGGGGTCAAAACAAGCCTTTATCTTATTAACATTTCACAGAAAACTCTTTTAACATACTCTGCTGGTCTTGCAAACAGTCTACGGCTAAGGCTACATGAAACTTCAGTGTTTTATAAATATATATAAATCACATGTGTATGTGCATATATATATATATACACACATACTGGAGATATAAGGATAAACAGATCTGTGTATCTCTATCCCTAGAAATATGTATGTATCTTATTCAGGCAGAAAAACATGGGGTGGCTCAGGAGATAAATTATTAATCTATTCAATACAAAAGTTGATTTCTACTTGTTAGAAGAAAAATTAAAAACCAGAAGACAATGAAAATAAAACCAAGAAGCTTACTTGCAATTCAGACTAATTTCAAATTTTATTTAAACTCAGTTTCTTAACTTTAAGTTCCACAAGGGCAAGAACTACGTTTGCATGGTGATAACCTAACAAATTCAAACCTTGCTGATTTATATTGGCAACCCAAATGATACAGAATTTTAGAGCATCTCAGAAGTCATCTTATTCAAAAATCCTCTAATTTAAAGATAAGATTAAGAAACCACTCTGGAAAAAGGGAAGACACAAATGTCACCCTGAAGCAGCTCAGGCTCCTTATCCCCAAATTTAGGGATAATGTTCAGTAAATGGCAACATTTACTGAATGTGGCTATGTGTTGAAAAAAGAAAATGGAAAGCAAGGGCAGTCTCCTCCACACTGCTTTTTGCGGATAAGAAAGATCAACTGGTAGCATTAACATTGGACTGCTTAAGTGCTGAAAGAGCAAATGTGAAATGTTCCTCCTTTGCTATCTAAGGCTACCATATCATCAATTTCAATCAAGTAGTTCCTGATGAACAGAGCCCTGTCATTCTCAGGGGATACTTGTATCATGAGGAATACAAGTTTATGTGCCACTAGCACTTTAGTACAAGCTTTCACTTGAAGAACTTATCAAGGATGCTGGGCAGAGGCACTTTTTCACCTTCCTCCTATACACCAGGAACGGAAAGGTCCAGTCAAGGACCAGAAAAACATCTCTAAAAGCAAAATATGCCCCCATTTTTCTGTGAAAGTTTCACAATTTTAAAATAAGCTTATTGTAAGACAATAAAGGGTAGTCAAGAATATGCAGAAAACTAGAAATGAAATAACTGTCCAAATAATAGCAAAATATTTTCATAAGAGTTAAAGAGATAAACTTTAAAGGAGTAAGAAACAGGTTCCAAACTTAAGTGGAGAAACAAAATTACTTATCACCACTTCAGCAGCAAAAGGAAGCAAGTTTTTGGAATGAAGGCCCAGAATCACATATTAAAGTCCACAGTATTTTTTTAAAATTCTTAAATACAAAAAAGATGTCTTCCACTCCTCAAAGCAACCCAACCTACAATCTTTGAGGGGAAATCAAAGTGATATTAAGTTAGTGAATAAACTTTCTGACTAGTGGGAAAAAAGTTCCTTAGATTTTTAGACAGTATACTTGCAAAAACTTAAAATTAAAAGAACTATTAAATGTTTGTGTGTCCAAAGTTTAAATCAATCAAATCTGTGGATAAAAAATTTTAGCACAAAAACAATGTTTATGATAACCCAACATATTTTAATAACAACTGTGGCTATCTGCAAAAAAATGAAAATGTGAAAATGGGAAAGAACACAGCAGTCTCCTCCTCTGTTTTTTGTGGAAAAGGTTAACACTGTAAGCCTCAAGACTGAACTGTTAAAGGATACCAAGAGACTCAAGAAAAACACCAATATTTAAAATAAAATAATTTCCAATTATTTTAGTAACATAATTATGAGATGCCATATTCACACACCTTAAAGCTGTTTTAGTTTCCATTTCTTGCAAAGTAAATGGAAATTTTGTCTTTGAGAAAATATCAGCAATGATATATGCTGAGGTATAAAACTCACACGGAATGTGGCAAATGTGTAAGAATGCTCACATATGCAAAGAAAAAAATGCAGAAAAATAAAAAGGAATGCTCACAGTAGCACTACTCCTGACATCCAAACACAAAAACAATCCTATGTCCATCAACTGTAGAATGGATAAACTGTAGTATATTCATACAATGTAATACTAAACAGCAACAAGAATGAACAATGAAAAAACTAATGCTACAAGCAGCAATATGGATGAAGCTCACAACAAATATTAAGGGAGAATTCTGTCAGACACATAGGAGTACATACTGGGGGGTTACATTTACATAAAGTTAAGAAACAGGCACAAGTAATCCAAGCAATCAGAAAGATGGGGTTGGGAACAGTGACTAGGAAGGCCCTTCAAGGGGGACACTTCTGGGATACTAGTAGTGCTTTATTCCTTGCTGTAGGTATTTTTGGTTACACAGATGTGTTTACTTCAGGAAAAGTAATCAAGCTGTACACGGATGATTTGTGCACTTACATATTTCAATTACAAGATTAGCAGAAATTATTTCCACAATTTAAATAACTATATAGTTTATGTTGTTGTTTTTTTTTGAGACAGAATTTCACTCTTTCACCCAGGCTGGAGTGCAGTGGCATGATCTGGGCTCACTGCAACCTCTGCCTTCTGGTTTCAGGCGATTCTCCTGCCTCAGCCTCCCGAGTAGCTGGGATTACAGGCATCTGCCACCATACCCAGCTAGCCAATTTCTGTATTTTTAGTAGAGACAGGGTTTCACCATGTTGGCCAGGCTGGTCTCGAACTCCTGACCTCGTGATCCACTCGCCTCAGCCTCCCAAAGTGCTGGGATTGCAGGCATGAGCCACCATGCCCAGCCATAACTATATAGTTTTAAATGTATATAGCCCATTTATATTTTAAAAACTATAGACTGTTTCTAATTCAAACAACTATTGCTAACACAAATGATTCATACATACTCTACTTCTCTCCCTCACAATCCTCACCCCAAAATTAGTCTTTTGAGTATTTTCTAAAAAGTGAAACTTTAAGAGAAAAATTTAAAAGTCAGAAAAAGATCAGGAAAAGAAATAAACACGTAATGTTAAGTGATTCTTGCAGGAATCCTTTACTCTCCCCCTCCCCCAATACTTTATTTGCCTCTGAAGAATCACTCCTACCCGAAAGATCTTTCTCCAAATTGTTTCTTTTCTTTTTTTTTTTTTTGAGACAAGGTCTTAAAACTCTGTCACCCAGGCTGGAGTGCAGTGGCTCAATCACAGTTCACTCTAGCCTTGACCTCCCTGGCTCAGATGATCCTCTCACCTCAACCTCCTGAGTAGCTGGGACTACAGGCATGGGCCACCACCCCACAGCTAACTTTGTATTTTCTGTAGAGACGGGGTTTCGCCATGTTGCCCAGGCAGGTCTCAAACTCCTGGGCTCAAGCGATCCACCCCACCCAGCCTCCCAAAAAGTGCTAGGATTACAGGCATGAGCCACTATGCCCCGCCCAATTGTTTAATTTCGCTTCCCTCTTTTACTTGGCCTAAAATACCAAAATTTGACAAGTTATCATAATCAGTCTCTTAAAAATGCAAATGTCTTTCAGAGAATTAATGAAGACATCAGTCATTCATATGTAAGTGTGAAGTAGTATAGTGGCTACTTTTATGTATTGCTGACCTTATATGAAATAAAGTGAGTGAGTCTATAATTTCCTTTACCATAAGAACACTTTGCTAAAAATACTAGCTTTCAAAATATAGTGCCTTACTCCAACTTCTATTTCTCTCAACAAATCTTCTTTGATATTTCTTCTTTACTATGATAGAAGTCTGGAAAGACTCCTACTTTTCATTTGTTAAATTTTATTCACTTCTAATTCCCTTTAAAGCTTGTTTTTTTCTTTTTTCAAAAAGTTATGACCAATTATGTGGGAAGAAACAATAACTAGTAACATACATACCAAAGTTGTCCATCTCAATATATAACAAGGGAATAAAAAATAGTTACATGCTCTTCCTCTTCCCCATCCCCTTTCCTACTAAGTGTTAGAATCTCATAAAGCCACATGTTCTTATATACAGTATGTTAATATACTATGAATGGAAGATAGAAAAATCAATGCTTGGATATAAAAAAGAATTATTGTATCTAAACCCAAGTAGAGTTGGCAAATCAGCAAAGGCTAAACTGATTCAAGTCAGTTGGTTACACTACAGTAACACAGACACCAATATCAAAGGTTAAACCCACACAGTGGCCAGTTAATTTCACACTAAAGAAAAACTTCTGGTCGGGTGAGGTGGCTCACGCCTGTAATCCCAGCATTTTGGGAGGCTTAGGCGGGCAGATCACTTTACATCATGAGTTTGAGATCAGCTTGGCCAACGTGGGGAAACCCCGTCTCTACTGAAAATACAAAAATCAGCCAGGCATGGTGGTGTGCACCTATAATCCCAGCTACTCAGGAGGCTGAGGCAGGAGAATCACTTGAACTCAGGAGGCAGAGGTTGCAGTGAGCCAAGATCACACCATTGCACTCCAGCCTGGGTGACAGAGTGAGACTGTGTCTTAAACCAAAAAAAAAAAAAAAAAAAAGGAAAAGAAAAAAGAAAAATTTCCAACAAAGATTTTGCCACAATTCAACTCAACCATCTGGAAAAGGAGTGTTGTTCACTAGGAAAAAAGAGTAAAAATGAGATTATCACTATTATCAGAAAAATAACTAAAAGTACATATTCTTACTCCATTTCTAGCCTTCAAATAATCTCTAAGTATGAGAAAATACAAAAGCTCTCTTCACACAAAAAAAAGGATGAATGACACCTCTTCTCTCATGAGATGTGAAAATATTCCTTAATGTTTTTTAAGGTTTAGTCACCACATGGAAGAAAACAATTTTCTCCCCTTTTTGAACATAGCCCCATGATCTTCATTTGTTAAAAAGAACAAAACATTTAACAACGGGGTTTTTAGAAACTGGGAGAGCAAGCAATTAACATACTGAACTCACACTTGCTTTAACATGCTATCTTATTCGGGGTGTTTAAAAAACGTTTTAAATGCAATTAATGCATTCATTTTCAAAGGAAAATAAACATTTTTGATATTTGCCTTCAACTGAAATAAATCATGTAAAGGAAGTTAGTTGGTTTCATTTCTCTATTTTCTAAGGATTAAGTTTAAGCACATTTTTTATGCTAACCAAACATATATAAAAACTCCAAGCTACACATATAAGAAACACACCAAACCATGGTGAGAAAAGAATATTTAGTCCACAAACCAGTCAAAATTACCACTGAAATCTAAAACTAATTTAACGCACATTTTTCTCCTTCTGAAATAGTCCAGCCTACAACCATGAGCTAAAATCAGTTAATACCCTTTATTCATAACTTATGAGTAATTCAGGGGAAATCTACCCTTCTTTGTATAATGAGTGCTTAATGATCTCATCAACACACTGGAAAAACATGCTGGTCAATCAGTAGAGTCTCATCTTGAGACAAATCTACATGAGAGGTAAAATTATAATCAGAAGATTACTTGAAAAATGTGAAACCAGATAAGTCAACAATCAATAGCATCAGACTAGTGCAGCCATCTCCAATAGGACAGATGGTATAGAACAGGGGACAGATCTGCTTCAAGGGGCAGGTTATTGCATCCCCTGAAAGTTATACAAACATTCTGCCAAATGTATTTTGGTATCTTTCCTTGTTTATAGAAAGATTAGGTGATATAAATCAATTTTGAAATTTTTTTGCTACTTACTATGCATCTTCATTGTTGTATAGCTGAGCCTCTACTTCTTCATTTATTAAAAAAAAAAAGTAATAAAATCTCTTACAGAATTGGTATAAGGGGGCCAGGCACGGTGGCTCATGCCTGTAATCCCAGCACTTTGGGAGGCCGAGGCGGGCGGATCACGAGGTCAGGAGATCGAGACCATCCTGGCTAACATGGTGAAACCCGGTCTCTACTAAAAATACAAAAAATTAGCCGGGCGTGGTGGTGGGCACCTGTAGTCCCAGCTACTCAGGAGGCTGAGGCAGGAGAATGGTGTGAACCCGGGAGGCGGAGCTTGCGGTGAGCCGAAATCGCGCCACTGTACTCCAGCCTGGGCGACAGAGCAAGACTCCGTCTCAAAAAAAAAAAAAAAAAAAAGAATTGGTATAAGCTTCAACAAATCAGTTTCTCTGAGGTTGTAACAAGTCATACAGATTGAATTTTATCTCTTGGGTTTAATTTTATATACAGCTGATACAATCCCTTACTTTTTATATTTAAAAGACCTATCATTTATTAAATATCTATCATGTGCTAGGAACTTTACTATCTCTCATCCTTACAAATGTTCTATAAGGCAGGTGTGATTCCCACTTGAAAGATCACAAAGTAAGGCTCAGAGAGGTAACATTGCTCACCAAATGTTAAATAACTAATCAGATGTGTAGTCAGGATTAGAACCCATATCTAGCTAGCTTTAACTCTGAGCTCTTTACATCATACTGTCTCATTCCTTATAGTGTATCTTCATAATTTTATTTTCACAGGGTAGCAACTACAATTTGGGGAATACTTTGCCAACAAAGTCACATACTATAATTCTGTGGAAGATAAGAATATATTTCAAAGGTCTGATAAATCAGTGAATTGGAAGGTCTAAAACAGAGTAATACTTCAAAGATAAGTGGGACAAGACAGAAACAAAATAAGAGTAACTTTAATATCAGGGATAAATAGGGGGACAATAAAAGACCTCATGTTGAAATAGCTCATTACTGTAAACTGGTTATTTTCAAAGTTAAAACAAACGGTGGGGGGCGGGGGGACTTGAGAAAATACTCAAACTAGGGGTTCTCACTAACAGATCAGGAACTACTTGTGGTTCCTGCCTTACCTAGTAGGTCTCCAAGCTGGTTGGCCTTCTCTTGGGTTTGTCAGAATTTCCAGTAAAGGGAGAAAAGCAGGATAAGAGCTCTTAGGCCTTATCAGCAGAGCTCTTAGGCCTCATCAGCACAACTTTAACACTAATAGCAACACTACTCTGTTTCTATCCCTCAAGTAAGTTCCAAGCTTTAAGAAAATAGGCTCTTTTTACAGCTCCCATACTTCCTGCCTCCAAAAGGTTGAGTGGCACTGTCTCCTCTCATGGGATACATTTGGAAGGGTTAGCCACCAGATGACAGAGTAGTACCCCACAGTACTTACTTCCTAAAACAGGAAAAATCATGTTTCTTGTGCAGAACTCCTCTATTAAGACTGCACAGGATCCATGAAGTTAAAATATCACATGCTAGAACAATGCCACAGAAAGTATAACTAGCATTCCTGACTAGAACAGCAAGGAGTGTCTCCTGGCTGCTGCATATTATAAATATACAGCTCATTCCTCATCAGTACAGTGTCGAGAAAAAAGTATATACACGTATATATACACACGTATACACACATATATACGTATATACACACGTATACACACGTATATACACACGTATACACACACGTACGTATATACACACGTATACACACACGTACGTATATACACACGTATACACACACGTATACACACACGTGTATATATATACACGTATACACACACGTGTATATATATACACGTATACACACACGTGTATATATATACACGTATACACACACGTGTATATATATACACGTATACACACACGTGTATATATATACACGTATACACACACGTGTATATATATACACGTATACACACACACGTGTATATATATACACGTATATATACACACATATATATGTATATATATACACGTATTTATGGAATTGCAGGGTTTTTAAAAATTGAAATCATTCAGTACGTATAATATTACATAAAATATTGCCGGTGGGGAGATATATATATTTATGTATATATATACACACGTGTGTACATATATACACATATATATGTATATATATACACACGTGTGTACATATATATACATATATATGTATATATGTACACACGTGTGTACATGTATATATATACACACGTGTGTACATATATACATATATATGTATATATATGTGGGTACATATATATGTGTGTCATAGATAAGATTTTTATCCCACAAATATGGGATTAGAGAGACTAGGTTTTTATTCTACAAGATTAGCTCAGAGTAGAAATGAATAGCAAAATCTATTAATGCATTCATTAAATTTCTTGAACTATAAATATCACAATTAGATTTTCAGCACTTCAAAACAGTCCTGTGACTTTTCCAATAACTAGAAAAAAAATACATCTATTTTCAAAAACTCCCATGTCAAGATTATTTCCAGAACCCAAATTCATCTTTTATTAAAAGGTAATAAATGAGAAACTAATAACAGTTATTAGATTCCAGGTAGAAGAATTTAGTAGCTGGAGGCTGATGTACGAAGGGGACTTCTGAATTTTAAACTGTGGCAATATTACCTATTCAAAGTAATTAATTTTATTTTATTTATTATTTATTTTTTGAGATGGAGTCTCATTCTGTCACCCAGGCTGGAGTGCAGTGGTGCAATCTCAGTTCAAAGTAATTAATTTTAACAACTAAAATCTACTGATGAGAACACACAGCACTTCTGTAGACTTGTAAGCTTTCCTCATACTTTGTAATATCTAAAAAAATTACAAAATACATTCCTGCAGTAAAGACAATAAATTCATCAGAACGGGCTGCAAAAGCTAACTCCTTCTAGAATTTTAAAACAAAACAAATATCAAAAATCCAATCCCACACTACTGTTTCATTAAATCATGGACTATATTACCGAATTGTCACTGCGTAAAATACAGTTTTTATTTTTGAGACCGAGTCTTGCACTGTGTCACCTGGGCTGGAGTGCAATGGTGTGATCTCAGCTCACTACAACCTCAGCCTCCCGCGTTCAAGCGATTCTCCTGCCTCAGCCTCCAGAGTAGCTGGGATTACAGGCGTGAGCCGCCATGCCTGGCTCATTTTTGTATTTCTAGTTAAGACGAGGTTTCACTACGTTGGCCAGGCTGGTCTTGAACTCCTGACCTCGTGGTCCACCTGCCTCGACCTCCCAAAGTGCTGGGATTACAGGCGTGAGCCATTGCTCTGGGCCTGTAAAATACAATTCTACTAGTACATGAAATCCCAATCTCAGGAATTTAAGAAATTAAAAAAGCTAATGATTAGGCTAGTATTTAGTCTTAGGATAGCTGATCATTTCAGCTAACGAGTGAACACAATAGTCCATGAAATACCCAGACCAATATTTCCTTACGTGGGGTGTAAGAAATGCTCCCCCATGGAAAGCTTTGAAAAATCCTCAAAGATTTTAATCTATAGGGTCTAGTTTCTTTCTTCTTCAAACACTGGCCATTACAGATAAGACAAAGCGTATATACACACACACATAATGTATGTACAAACATGTATATACACAAATATACCCACATACACACACACATACACATACACACGTGTGTATGTAAATATATTTAAAAGTGGTGTCAAGGAAGTTTTTATACCAATTAACCTGTGGGCAATGAAGCAGCTAAAGACCATTCTGACAGACTTTTTGCCTGAAAACATATTATACTGTAACTATTTTATTACCACTAAAGAACCTGAAATGCATCTTTATATAAAACAAATGATTTTATATACAGTCTGAACTAGTTTGTCTCAAAACAGCGAGTCTCACTTTGATTCCCTATCTGGAAAGTTGTCTGATCCACTATTAAGTAACTCTATCCAAGATCCTAATGCAAATGTTACATATCCATTAAGAGTTAGTAAAAGGTTAAAAAAAAAAAAACAAAAACCACACATACATTCTTAGCTTTAGTTCTTTAATTATCCTGTAATAATTAAACCCAGCATATTCCTAAACTAGCAACAACAAAATCCCTTTCTTTCCAAACTAGAAAGTGACACTTTGCGTGCTCCATAAAACTTTCGAAATAGAGTATTCTTAGTTAACTTCTGATCATTATATGAATCGGACATTTAAAAAAACGTAATTAAAATGTCAATTTTTCAAAGAATAACATATTTTTCCATATGGCTGGCAACATCTTTATTATTTTAGTTAACGAATTCATCTTAATGTTTTATTCATTTTAAGGCCATTTATGTGCCCTCTTTAAGACTCACACTATTTTCCCTAAAGTTCTTTTCCTCTCTGCTCTGTGCCAACACAGAATCTCCAAAACAGTTTGTACTAGCTGCAGAGAAGCAACAATTCTACAGTAAATTTCATTTACCATTTGGTTGGGTACATACTGAAATTTGGATTCATGAATATTGACAGTTTATAGACATCAATGAGAAGAAAATTGACACTGGCATGTGACTGCCAACAACCAAGTCACCTTACCTCACATAGAAATGAAAATAGACCTCAGTAGCTAATAATTTTGAACAAATGAATAAAAGTGTCCAAGACAAAATTACATCAACTAAGTTCGAAATTACACACAAACCTTGAAATGAAAATTCAGAGTAAACATTTTAAAATACACAAGGAGACTAAATTGTTTGACACGTTTTGATCCAATGCTAATATTATTAACCAATTACCACATCTTGAAAAAGCTTACTGTAGCAATAGAATCCTTAATATTAAAGGCTAGAATTTCAATCGAGTGTCATTGTTTTCTCAAACATATTTGTCAGCTGTACTGCATACAGTGGCAATTCTGGAAGAAGAACATTATTTGAACGGAACATCAGAAGAACACTGATAGACATATGTGAAAGGAAATAATGAGACTACAGATTTTTAAAATTTACCCCCAAAATGGTAAATGTATCAAAGAAATAAAACACTTTTACCAATTATGTTGCACAAGATCTCCAACTGCCTTGAAACATCACATTCTTTCAAGCAACATATAGCAAACTGCTTTCTCTAAGACTACCTTTAACAGTGACTGGTGAAAGCCTTTTAAACTATTTTCCGATTAACATCTCCCTCCTTCATTTGTTAAATATTGTGATCAAGTATAACAATGAAACCGTTTTTAAGGAAATAATGTATAATTTTAAAAAACATTTAATCTCAATCCCTTTAACCAATGGAGGTGTGACAACAAACGCATGTAAAATTAACCTTAATCCGCCAACTAAAACACGCAAAATGTCTCCTAACAATTCTCCTCCTCCTTAAAACAACAACCGTACACATAAATACGGTTCTGACCTCTACCACTACTGCGAACAGCTAATTAATAAAGAGAATGGTTATGTTTGGAGACCAAGGTGCAACACCCCCCCTCATAAACCTCCCAAAATAACCACATCATCCAAGTAGAACTGAACATTATTTTTGCTAAAGCAGGATTTCAACCTCGGGGAGCCTCAGCCCTTAGACAATGGTGGTTACCAGACAGTGCTAAACAGTTGGGTCCAAATGACACATTTCACTAGGCCTTGGACACAACACACACACGCGCGCGCGCGCAAACACACACACACACACACACACACACACACACACACACACAAAATATCCCAAGGGGCCAGTTCTAAGCAAGGGGCGTTCAAACCCCACTAGGAGACGGAGAGTAGCACCGCGGCATGGGGGGTCGCTCGGGGAGGACAGGCGAGGGGGTGTCGATAGAGCGGAAGGGTAACTGCACTGCACACGAGGGAGGGGGCTGGAAATGGCCGATGGATTCTATATTTATTTATTTAAAGGTCTTGATTTAATGGGTCCTTCCCAGGGGTTCGTAACTAAAGACAAACTGCGCAGCAAACACTGTGGGGTTGGGAGAGGAGTCGCTGCTCCCCCTACCCCGTGACCAGGGACGGGGGGGCGGGGGAAACAAGTTCCCCTGCCAACACCACAGACCACCCCGATTCCCCTCTCCCGCTCCTCCTCAGGAAGGGGTAGGCTAACACAGAAAAGAGGGGGAAAACAAGTTCCCCAGCCAACCCCACCACCCGATCGCTCCCAGTCGCTCCCCCCACCTACCACTAGAAAGAGGCAGACTAAACCATGGAAGGCGGCAGAAAAGGGAGAAATCACGCCGCTCGCCTTCCCCCCGGCCACCAACAGACTCCCGCGGGGTCTGTGAGCGAGCGGAGAAGCCAAAGGGATGGGTGGGGGTGGAGGGTGCTGAGCCCCCGAAACCAAACAAAGCGCGGCCTGAGCGAGAGCCCAGGCGAGAAGGGAAGCCGCGGCTTTTCCTGCCGGCCGGGCCCGGCCCGGGCTGACACTGCGGCACCGGGGGACCCGCCTCCGCTCAGCTTGGGTCTCCCACCCCCAGGGCGCGCAGGCCGCCCCCGCCCGCCCGCCCGCCCGCCCGCCCCGGCCTCCCTTCCCGCGGTGCCCGGGAAGGCGGGCGGTTGGGAGGTAGCGCGGCCTTACCCCGCTCGCCGACGTTGTTCCGCTCCTGAGGCAGCGGCGGAGGCGGCGGTGGCGGCGGCGGAGGCTGCTGCTGCTGCTGCTGCTGCGGCGGCGGCGGAGGCTGCTGCTGGGGCGGCTGCTGCTGGGGCGGCTGCGGCGGCGGCTGCTGCGGGGGCTGCTGCTGCTGTTGCTGCACCGGGCGCGGCCGCGACACTCGCCTGGGTCTCCGGTTGGCGGCTCGGACGGAGTTCATTTGCCGGGCTGAGGTGGCGGCGTTGGCGGAGGGACACACACACGCACACGCACAGCGAGCTTCGGGGCAGGAGAAAGGGGTGGGGAGAGTGGGAGAGGGGGGAGGAAGGAGAGGGGGCGAGGGGAAGGGGAGACGCTGAGGGCGGAGGGGGCGAGCGGGACCCCGAGTCCGGAGAAAGGCCCGGGTAGACAGACGGAGACCGAGCGAGGCCGGCCGGGAGGGCCTGACGCACGGGGAAGGCCGAAGCCGCCGGGCGGGGCGGCCGCGAGGGACGAAGGCAGAAAGACGGGCAGACCGAGAGAAAGAAAGAAAGGGCGTCCGCCGCTTGGGGATCCCGAGGCGAAGCGCGGCGGCGGCGGCGGCGGCGGCTGAAGAGACAGATCCCGGTCCCGCCGACTCGCGAGCGGCGTCTCCGGCAGCGGGGGGAGTGGGCGGGCGGGTGAGGAAGGGAGAAAAAGAGAGGGAGAGAAGGGAGGGAGGGAGCAGGGGGCGCCCGGCTCTTTTTTTTCCCTCTTCCTCCCCCCCACACCCCCTGAAAGAGATTTCTGTGAGGAATTTTTCTCTCTTTCTTCGGTCTCTTCTCTCTCCTCCCCCCCTTCTCTCCTCGGCGAAGGGGAAATGAGTGTGAAGGGAGGAGATAGGGGGAAAAAGAGGCGTCGTCCTTCCTCCTCCTTAAAGGAACCTTTCCTCCTCCTCCTCGTCAGCCCTGTCGCCGCTGCTTCTGCTGCTGCTCCGTGGCAGGAGGAGCCATTGACACCGCCGGAGCCTCCACTCGCCCAGTCGGTCCCTCCCCGCCGCGGGGCTGGCCGGGGGCGCGGGGGAGGGCCGCGGGGCGGCGGGGGGAGGGGTGGGTGGGCGGGGAAAGGAGGGGCGGGGATTCCGTCCAGGCGGCCAATCTAAGGCGCCCGTACAACCTTCCGGCCAATGGGGCCTCCGCTCTTATCGCGAAGTCCCTTCAACGCCCTGTTTCCTCTCTCGGGTTTCCTCCCTCCCCCGCCTAGGAGGGGGAAAGAGGAAAGGGGGAGTGTGGCGGGGCGGGTGATAATGGGGAGGTATCAGGGCAAATAATAGAGCAGGGGGTGGGCGAAGAGAGCGCCAGTGCGTAGCGACGATTCTGGGAGAGGAGGTGCTCGGAGGAAAGGGCGGGGGTTGCTGATGTAATGGGGAGAAGTGATTAATCCTTCGGTTCGCCGTTTCAGCTTCCCCCCTACCCCAACCTTCACCCGATTTTTTTGAGCTGAAAAAAAAGTGGAACGAGGGAGCCAATCTTTGGTAACTCGGGTTTTCTGTGGTAGGTGGGTTCAAAATCTGAGCTGTAGGGAGCGCTAGAGATTTCGTGCCCTTTAGCCAAGCTGAGGGTATTTGCAAACCCTGAAGATTTCCGTCTCCGAGCTTTGGGCTTGGTAAGCGAAGTTTGGAGTCGGTGCCTAATCGTATATCATCTAAACCTTGAAAAGGCTTTGACCTTTGGCCAATTTGATTTGTTCTTTGAAGAAGTGTATACAATGTGTGGGAAAATAATATGTGAGAGGAGAGAAGTAAATGTGTTGATGTTGTGATTGTTTATGTGATTTAATTTTTAATTTTTTTTTTTTAGGTCCCACAAACTGCAAGGAAAAGAAAAACCCTCAACAGGAATTACCTTTATACCTGATGCCCCCAACATAATCTCTCTCCAAGGGAAACGTGTTTTTATTGCCTTGCGGCTGAAAATGTATTCTCGATTCTCCCCCTTCTCTCTTTTGTTGTGCATTTTTTGGATGTGGTAAAACTGGCAGTTTATCTGATTATCTGGTTTTCAGAACTTTGGGCGATGTCTCTGAGTGTCATCAGTTGCTCTCTAGGTTTGACATAGATAATTAAGCAACTACAAAGCGTGATAAAGCTTTTGAGAGGGAGGAAAATGTATTTTGGAAGGAGGGAGAGACGCAAAGAGGCGAGCCTGTGTGTTGAGTCCCAGACTTGGTGTGTGACTACAGGCAAAGTACTTCACCTTTCTAGATGTCAGCCCCGCCCCCCTCACCTCCCAAGTTTAAATAAGAACTTATTTTAGACTACATGATCCTGTTTTCAATTTTTAAGAGTTCTGTGATTTTGAGATGATCTCTCTTTAGTCCAGAAAAATAGAGAAACGTAGGTCTATGTTTGTTTCTCAAAAAAATATTTGAGGAGGACAGCTGTTACAAAACAGCTGGAGAACTCCAAATTTTTATGGTGGTTAGCTAGGTGCAAATGGGTACAATTTTAGGTTTGTTCAAATAAACATAGGGGAAAAGTAAAAGTACAGGAAAATTACGTTATACATATAAGTGTGTCCATCATTTCTGATTTTTCTAAAAATTTACTTTTTTATTTGACAAGTACTTTTTGGCTCCTTCCGTGTATGCATTAATATGTATATAAGGTGTTATGGGAAATACTAATAAAAGGAAAATATTGGGCATAAAGAGTTTGTATTTTGGTGTGGCAGAGTGGAAGTTTTACTTACATTAATTCAGATGTAAAGAAAATGTAGCTTGTTTATTTTCTGTAATTTTAACTTCAAGTCCCCACATCATCTCAATTTTTTAAAAAACATAACTGCTTTCACCTTTTATTTCCCCAACTCTCCTTCTAATATATTAATGGGAGGGGCGGGGTTTAGGGTTGTTATATGTGGTATAAGGGGTATCTTTTACATACCCTAGATTTCTAAGTTTATTGCAACAATTCTCTGACATATGGCAGTAAAATGCCTTGTTTTAGCAAAATTAGTATATTATGACAATTTCCTGATAGATGGTAGTAAAGTGTCTTGAGAAAGGAAGCACCTTTTTCAAATTCACAGAGTAACTGGTAGGGTGGTAGCATCCCTGAGGAATAGGGAGGTTTACAAGGGCATCTAAGCCACTAATGCCAGTCCTTATGTTGTCTTCTGGCGTGGAGTGGCTAGTATTGTCTGATGGCAGCCACTGTCGTTTATCATTTATTACTCATAAAACTGGTCATTTCTGTACTTTTGAGGCTGATTTCTTTTGCTGAAATCCATACATGAGCCATTTGCCCCATACACTATAACCTCTTTGTACTGACCCCGAGTCTCCACAGGTCCCTTGATCCTCATGGTTCTCACTGAGACACATGGGTACTTCTGGATTCCCCGAATACCACGTGTAGGCCTTGATGAGCCAGGAGCCTTGCTTTGGGCTTACTAGTTGTTGAGCCACTATCCAACAATGTTGCATTTTTCTCCTTATGTCATATTGAACATGCTGGCAGGCTGAAAGTAGAACTCCTAGACGTCTTAGTGTTTCACAGACATGTCCAGGGACGCAAACCACTATCTCCAACTTTCTTGGATTTCCCTATGTCTCTGTGCATATGTCAACTACATACCCTCAATTCTAGTTTCCACCCTGAGAGGGGATGGAAAGTAAGCACACTGAGTCTGATTAACCTCTTCCTTGTACCCTTTTCTTCTTTCCATCATGCCCCAGGGTTTTTAAGGAATGGATTTTTCTCCTTCCCATTTGTCAGGAACTTTCCTTCTGTACCGTATCCTCTTCATTTTTGAGATTTGGCATTTCTTCTGCTCCCTTTCTTGGAGCCGTGATAGCTGATGAAGTGCTCAAGAGAGAACCCAGTTTAACAATAATGGAACACCTATTGGGAGATATTAAAAAATATTATCCTATCCCTACATTACTGGTTTCTACATATGTTTAGTTTATTTCAGGGATTAAATGTTGAAGTCATCTTTGTGTAAAAGTGTTCAAACTCAATTGTGGAACTTAAGAGTTGTCAGGACGGACCTTGGAGATCATTAAATCTCATTTCTGTATTCAACAGACTAGGAAACTAAACTCCAAAGAAGGGAGGTGACAAAACTATAACTATTTGGTAGCAAAGCCACTGTCTGCCAATCCAGGGCCCTTTCCATTCAGAAGCATTGTAGACAGTATTTTGAGTTCTGGTGAGAACCCAAAATATCCTGGAAGGTTTTATCCATAGGCAGATCCACCTATATTAGTAAATAATTCTGTCAATTAGCTGTCATAAAAGTTATATATGTTAGAAAACAGGAGAAAAATTTAAAAGGATTTCTTTTAGGGGTGGGAGCCACCTAGAATTATTTCAGTAATACTTAGCATAATTTCAGAGGACTGAATTCCCTCAGGGTTTGCTCTCTCTTCAAGAACATTTGTGTTTGTTTTTCTCAGCTAATTACTGGTGCTTAAAAGGTTAGTGTACTTAAAATTATTTGTTTATAAAACCTATCACAATAGCAGTGTGGAAAAAATAAGCTCTTTAATCATTTTAATACCTGGCAGGTGATATTTACTGTGATTCTTAAATTATAATTTTACCATTTCAAAGATTCAGCTTCCCTTTCCTCTGTCATTCTATCATCTAGTCCCAAGCCGTCAGCACTTAGTTACATAAGACACCTCAAAGCTGCTCACTCCTTTTATGTCATTTAAGAAATTAGTTTGATCTGAATATGGTTTCCCTGCAGGAATAACCAGCTCTGTTTAAAATATTCTTGTTAAAGTATGAATGACTTATCTCACTAAGCTGCAAAAATTCATTCTTCAGTACATGCCCAGATAATTTTTTATCAGTTAGGTAGTGAAAATTAACTCGGAACTAAGGATTTAAATTTAACGTATATGTGGGAAAACCTGGTAAGCACACAATCCAATGATACCCAGAAGTTATCTTTAAAGAATTATAGAATCTGACTTTAATACCTTTCCCTGTGAAGTAATACAGAACGCTATTAAAAGAAATCAATTTTGTTCAAGTTTTAGGCTGGACTGTGATACACAGTGGTAAATCTTTGTTTTTTAAGAGCAGAACCAATTTCTTTTTATTATTATTATTATACTTTAAGTTCTAGGGTACATGTGCACAATGTGCAGGTTTGTTACATATGTATACATGTGCCGTGTTGGTGTGCTGCACCCATTAACTCGTCATTTACATTAGGTATATCTCCTAATGTTGTCCCTCCCCCCTTCCCCCGATCCCACGACAGGCCCCAGTGTGTGTGATGTTCCCCTTCCTGTGTCCAAGCATTCTCATTGTTCAATTGCCACCTATGAGTGAGAACATGCAGTGTTTGGTTTTCTTTCCTTGCAATAGTTTGCTGAGAATGATGGTTTCCAGCTTCATCCATGTCCCTACAAAGGACATGAACTCATCCTTTTTTATGGCTGCATAGTATTCCATGGTGTATATGTGCCACATTTTCTTAATCCAGTCTATCATTGGTGGGCATTTGGGTTGGTTCCAAGTCTTTGCTATTGTGAATAGTGCCGCAATAAACATATGTGTGCTTGTGTCTTTATAGCAGCATGATTTATAATCCTTTGGGTATATACCCAGTAATGGGATGGCTGGGTCAAATGGTATTTCTGGTTCTAGATCCTTGAGGAATCGTCACACTGTCTTCCACAATGGTTGAACTAGTTTACACTCCCACTAACGGTGTAAAAGTGTTCCTATTTCTCCACATGCTTTCCAGCACCTGTTGTTTCCTGACTTTTTAATGATCGCCATTCTAACTGGTGTGAGATGGTATCTCATTGTGGTTTTGATTTGCATTTCTCTGATGGCCAGTGATGATGAGCATTTTTTCATGTGTCTGTTGGCTGCATAAATGTCTTCTTTTGAGAAGTGTCTGTTCATATCCTTTGCCCACTTTTTGATGGCGTTGTTTGATTTTTTCTTGTAAATTTGTTTAAGTTCTTTGTAGATTCTGGATATTAGCCCTTTGTCAGATGGGTAGATTGCAAAAATTTTCTCCCATTCTGTAGGTTGCCTGTTCACTCTGATGGTAGTTTCTTTTGCTGGGCAGAAGCTCTTTAGTTTAATTAGATCCCATTTGTCAATGTTGGCTCTTGTTGCCATTGCTTTTGGTGTTTTAGTCATGAAGTCCTTGCCCATGCCTATGTCCTGAATGGTATTGCTTAGGTTTTCTTCTAGGGTTTTTGTGGTGTTAGGTCTAACATTTAAGTCTTTAATCCATCTTGAATTAATTTTTGCATAAGGTGTTAGGAAGGGATCCAGTTTCAGCTTTCTACATATGGCTAGCCAGTTTTCCCAGCACCATTTATTAAATAGGGAATCCTTTCCCCATTTCTTGTTTTAGTCAGGTTTGTCAAAGATCAGATGGTTGTAGATGTGTGGTATTATTTCTGAGGGCTCTGTTCTGTTCCATTGCTCTATATCTCTGTTTTGGTACCAGTACCATGCTGTTTTGGTTACTGTAGCCTTGTAGTATAGTTTGAAGTCAGGTAGCATGATGCCTCCAGCTTTGTTCTTTTGGCTTAGGATTGTCTTGGCAATGTGGGCTCTTTTTTGGTTCCATATGAACTTTAAAGTAGTTTTTTCCAATTCTGTGAAGAAAGTCATTGGTAGCTTGATGGGGATGGCATTGAATCTGTAAATTACCTTGGGCAGTATGGCCATTTTCACAATATTGATTCTTCCTATCCATGAGCATGGAATGTTCTTCCATTTGTGTCCTCTTTTATTTCATAGAGCAGTGGTTTGTAGCTCTCCTTGAAGAGGTCCTTCACATCCCTTGTAAGTTGGATTCCTAGGTATTTTATTCTCTTTGAAGCAATTATGAATGGGAGTTCACTCATGATTTGGCTCTCTGTTTGTCTGTTATTGATGTATAGGAATGCTTGTGATATTTGCACATTGATTTTGTATCCTGAGACTTTGCTGAAGTTGCTTATCAGCTTAAGGAGATATTGGGCTGAGACGATGGGGTTTTCTAAATATATAATCATGTCATCTGTAAACAGGGACAATTTGACTTCCTCTTTTCCTAATTGAATACCCTTTATTTATTTCTCCTGCCTGATTGCCCTGGCCAGAACTTCCAACACTGTGTTGAATAGGAGTGGTGAGAGAGGGCATCCCTGTCTTGTGCTGGTTTCAAAGGGAATGCTTCCGGTTTTTGCCCATTCAGTATGATATTGGCTGTGGGTTTGTCATAAGTAGCTCTTACTATTTTGAGATACGTCCCATCAATACCTAATTTATTGAGAATTTTTAGGATGAAGGGCTGTTGAATTTTGTCAAGGCCTTTTCTGCATCTATTGAGATAATCATGTGGTTTTTGTCTTTGGTTCTGTTTATATGATGGATTACATTTATTGATTTGCATATGTTGAACCAGCCTTGCATCCCAGGGATGAAGCCCACTTGATCATGGTGGATAAGCTTTTTGATGTGCTGCTGGATTTGGTTTGCCAGTATTTTATTGAGGATTTTTGCATCGATGTTCATCAGGGATATTGGTCTAAAATTCTCTTTTTTTGTTGTGTCTCTGCCAGGCTTTGCTATCAGGATGATGCTGGCCTCATAAAATGAGTTAGGGAGGATTCCCTCTTTTTCCATTGATTGGAATAGTTTCAGAAGAAATGTTACCAGTTCTTCCTTGTACCTCTGGTAGAATTCGGCTTTGAACCCATCTGGTCCTGGACTTTTTTTGGTTGGTAGGCTATTCATTATTGCCTCAATTTCAGAGCCTATTATTGGTCTATTCAGAGATTCAACTTCTTACTGGTTTAGTCTTGGGAGGGTGTATGTGTCCAGGAATTTATTCATTTCTTCTAGATTTTCTAGTTTATTTGCGTAGAGGTATTTATATTATTCTCTGATGGTAGTTTGTATTTCTGTGGGATCAGTGGTGATATCCCCTTTAACATTTTTTATTGCATCTATTTGATTCTTCTCTCTTCTTTATTAGTCGTGCTAGTGGTCTATCAATTTTGTTGATGTTTTCAAAAAACCAGCTCCTGGATTCATTGATTTTTTGAAGGGTTTTTTGTGTCTCTATCTCCTTCAATTTGAACAGAACCAATTTCTAAGTGTTGAGAGAAGACTAGGCCAAAACGATAAAAGCATTTATATTAGGGAAGGATTGGTAGGTGATAGAAGTTTGGGCAGATGTGAGAGTGGAAAACCAACAGGGAGCTTTGCCACTTCCTTGGGCAAATTCCTTAACCTCTCTTTGCTTATTTCTGCATCTGTAAAACGGAGGTGATAATAGTCCTCATTTTGTGGGATTGCTGTGAGGATCAAGCAAATTAATACCTATAAAGTGCTTAGAACAGTGTTTGGTGAATAGTCAGGGCTCAGTAAACTGCTGGCCATTACTGTTACTGTTGGTGGTGGTGGTGGTAGTGTCATTTCAGGCTTTGATGATTTTTTTTTTCTAAACGAAGTCTCACTCTGTTACCCAGGCTGGAGTGCAGTGGCGTGATCTTGGCTCACTGCAATCTCCCAAGCCTTAATGAATTTTAAGATTACATGGACGTTGTATGTGGCGAAGCAGGTATGCTTTTTTTTTTTTGAAATGGAGTCTTGCTCTGTCACCCAGGCTGGAGTGCAGTGGTGCAACGTCAGCTCACTGCAGCCTCTACCTCCTTGGTTCAAGTGATTCTCCTGCCTCAGCCTCCTGAGTAGTCAGGAATATAGGCGCGTGCCACCACACCCAGCTAATTATTTTATTTTATTTTATTTTTTTGATACCGAGTCTCATTCTGTCACCCAGGCTGCAGTGCAGTGGCACGATCTCAGCTCACTGCAGCCTCCGCCTCCTAAGTAGCTAGGATTATAGGTGCATGCCAGCACGCCAGGCTACTTTTTGTATTTTTTACAAAAATACATTTGAACATGTTTTATAGGAAGTCAGCTGTGTCCTTATTGAAAACGTAGTGTCACAATTAACCTCTTGATGAGAAATTTATCCCAACTAAATTTAAATTCACATGTAGCAGTTGGAAAATGGACATGTTCTAAAAGGCATCATGGCAATAAGGAAACCAAGAAGATGTTCTCTCTTCATTTTTGTTTCCTCTACATTATTCTTCTTACCCAAGAGAACACTAAGGCTGCTGAGGTCTTTGATAGGTGACAGCAACCAGGGTTTAAACACTGGGTTCTAGGAACATCATTTTGTTTTACAGTGCTGTTACTATAGGAGTCACATCTGCTTCTGCATTTTTGAGACAAGAGAGATTTGGGTGGATTACTTCAATTTTGCAGGTACTAAAAGTGCTACACCCATTGTAATGGAAGAAGATGCAGTGGCTGCTGAATGACTCCGAACCCCAAGGCCTTTGAGGGAGAGCCCTCTCACAGGTACTGAAAAGATCAGGAAACTAGAGAGAAGAGTATCTTGGGCTTTAAGGTCTTTGGAGTTCAGTTGACAATAGGAAGAGGAATTCATTTTGGATTTGAATTTCCCCGGGAATTTAATAATGGGAAGGGCTTCACATTGTTCCATTTTCAGCCACTCTGTTTTTTTATTTGGACTTTCAAAAGTAATCTCTGTTGACCAATTTTGGACAATATGATGACATAATTTCTGATGGCAAATAGACTGGGGAGTGAATATTTGGCGTAGGATGCAGTATGGTCTTGAAGTTAAGTTGATTAATGACCTATCCTGACCCATAAGAAAATCTTGGGAAGAACAGATTAACTGTGCATCTCATTGGTCTCAGGAAGTTACAGTGGTGCAATGGCAATAACTGAGGGAACTGCTAATCTCTCTTAGTTGGACAGTCTTAGTGGAACAAAGGTTTGATTATTTAGCCCATTTGTTAAAGAGAGAATAAGAGGGTCTGGAGAGTGGGGGGCTGGTGGGTATTCAGCTTTTCTCCCTGCATTTCTGCCAGAGCTCATAAAGAAGGGAACCCCCACCTAACCTTCTGCCCCTCTATCTACCCTCTTATTAAATCCTCCACATGGAAGAAGTGACTAGTCTGGTCAGAGACACTGGGGACAGTTCACTAGAGAAAGGGATAGTGACATTGAAAGGCACTCACTTTCATCTCGGACAGGATCTAATGCCTGCTTTTTCATCTCATACTCCTAGGAGCAACAGGCTGTTTTGCACATTTCCCCCCTTGTACTAGGTAAATAAAGAGGCAGTGGGGGTCACAGGGGAAGAGGCAGATGGGCACCTCTGGTGAGAAGCTCCAATCTTCCTCCTCTCCCCTTTCTGTTCCCAACTCCAGGGGTCTGGCAGGCCAACCTCATCCTGATACCTGGAAAGGTAGGTGGACTTGTGCTCTTGATACCTCTCCACTTGAATCTTGTTCTTATCTTATCCTCACTCTCACTCTGAGTTCTGGCACGCTTGGAGGGGTCCTAAGATTTTGTTTTGGAGTTGGAAAAGTAAGAGGCCTCACATAGGCTTTCTAGCCTCTACCCAGCCATGACCCAAGCTTCACTTTAAGTTTGGTTGTTTGCTTACTAATAAAATGGTACTGGAGTTCTCTTATTGGGGTATAGATACAGGTGTGCATGCTCCCTCAGGAAAACTGGTTAGAAAAAGAGGTGGTGGTAGGATTTGTGTTTGGAATTCTACCCCAAAGTTGTAACACTATTTTGGGGGACAGTTGGTTATTTTCTACATTTTAAAGCCAGAACATGTCTACATGAGATTGTCTGGCTCAGAAATTCCCAAAAGAAAAATTAAGAAAGAATAAGTACTTTGGAAAAGTTAGAACTGTTTTTAGGGCATAAAAACTAGGGGAAAAAAAGAACTCGTAAGTAGATTTTTGAGCAAGATTTTGAAAGTATAATTTACCTCTCTGCTTGGTAAGTGAGTAACTATTGCTATTCGAGTGATCAGTAATGGGACAAATGTTAAATGAAAGATAATTCCAAATAAGTGGAAATACTGTGATATTCAGTGCATATAATAAATTCTTTATTTTGACCATAAAGAGCTATACATTTTATATTAATAGAAAATGAATTTCTCTCTGCCCTCAGCTATTTAAAGAATATTGGTTTGAAGGAGTGCCAGATCACTTCTTTTCCCAAGACTCCTGCGTGAATTGAGTCAGTCCATTCTCAGCTTGTCTTTTATCCTATTGCTTAGTTTGGGCTACCTGCTGTGCAGCATGACACAGCCCTCATCTCCCATGGCCCCAAACAAGATAGGCTACTGCAAGGAGTGGTGGTCATGGAGAGGAAGGAAAGGGTGAAAACTGAAAAGATAAGGAGAAAAAAATTTAAGATTTCTATGTTTTGTTTTCCAGAAAAACTATATTACTGAAGAGACTGTTTACACATATGATGGACATTCACTCCCCAAATGCTGCTCTAGAGGAAGAAGGCTGATTAGCCACATACATGTGGCAACCATGTCAAATGGCATCAGCTCCATAGGGTTTTTTTGTTTTTTTTTTTTGAGACAGAGTTTTGCTCTTGTTGGCCACGCTGGAGTGCAATGGCACGATCTCGGCTCACTGCAACCTCCGCCTCCTGGGTTCAAGTGATTCTCCTGCCTCAGCCTCCCAAGTAGCTGGGATTACAGGCACGCACCACCACGGCCAGCTAATTTTGTATTTTTAGTAGAGATGGGGTTTCTCCATGTTGGTCAGGTTGGTCTCGAACTCTCAACCTCAGGTGATTTGCCCACCTCAGCCTCCCAAAGTGCTGGGATTACAGGCGTGAACCACCATGCCTGGCAGCTCCATAGGGCTCTTGTCTCTGTCTCCTAGCTATTCAGTGGACAGTAAGTGAATCATTAAGGTCAGTACATATATTTATATATAAAATAATTTTTGAGAAAATATTAGTAGTTTTTGTACATAGCTGGAGAAGAGGCCTTGGTATAGAGTTCCAGGTTTTGGGGTGTGAAAACATCAAGGTGTCTTACCCAATCCATTCTCATAACTTCTCCTCCCCCACTTCAAGACAGCCTCTGACACTGTAGAAATTTACACTTACGGAAATTGGAAATTAGGGAACTGATCTTTTTGTCTAAGTAAAACCCTTTAAGCTGCTACTTACCGAGAATCACAAATGAAAGGAGTCAGACTTTTGAAAACAAATAGATCAACAGATTAAACACCTTCTAGAGTTCTAATAGCTTTAGTTAAAAAGTAAATAATTATGAGATACTCATCAAAGACGGATAGCTTTTAGCCCAGAAGCTTGTGATTTGGGGTGGGTGTGGGGACAGTGAGGGAGGTGGGGAAACTCTATTTGGATCCATCTTGTCCTAACAAGAAGGAAATGGAGCTCTCTAGTCATTACAGACCACATTTAAAGGACCAGGCCCCACCACAGGATGTGTCTCCCTCTTGATACAGATCAACTTTATTAAGTGACTTATTTTAATGAATGCTTAACATAAAATTGAGGGTATTTTTGTTTTAAAATATAGTTTGTTATTAGACTTCAGGTCAGGATCCTTTGGGGAAGTAAGCAGGCAGGGCAACAATTGTTCACCTACAAACCAGAGTAGGGTGAACAAGTACAACCAGATATTCTTCAAGCCGCCACCGATGAGGCCCCTTTCTAACACTACTTGATGAACCTAAATGGTTTCCCTTCTCCCCCTGACTCCAGCCTCTCGTGTCCTACATTTGATGACTTGGATTCTGATCACTTTTTATTCCTTACCTTGTTTCCTATTTTCTGTATCTGCTTCTCCCAAGATCCTAATCTCTACGTTGTGGACCCTGAGCTGGTAACTTGATCAAGATTTCCTGTTTCCTTGCTTGATAATTTAATTTGGCACTATAATGAAGCAGAAAAACATGGGCTTTGCAGGCAGACTTGGGTTTAAATCAGACTATGCTACTAACTGGTGGTCTGACTTGGGTAATGCACTTCTCTGAGGAAGTTCCTTTTTAGTAAAATGAGGATAATTATACCTACTTCAAAATATGATTGTGATTGGAAATAGTAGCGATGGTTCTACAACATTGTGAATGTACTTAATGCCACAGAATTGTACACTTAAAAATTATTAAAATGGAAAATGTAATGTTGTGTGTATTTTGCCACAATTGGGGCCTCACAGCTCCTGCCTGTAATCCTAGCACTTTAGGAGACAGGTGGGAGGATCACTTGAGCCTGGGAGTTCAAGGCTGCAGTGAGTTATGATCGTGCCACTGCACTCTCCAGCCTGGGCAACAGAGCGAGACCCTGACTGAAAAAAAAAAAAAAAAGCCAAAAAAACACCAAAATGATTGTGAGAATTATTCTTTGTAGAACACTCATTACAATGCCTAGCACATAGTAGGCTCTCAACAAATAGTAACTATATAGCATAAAACATTTTATATTCCAAGTAACAGAAAAAGTAGAACATGAACTGGCTTAAACAATAAAAGAATATGTTGGTTCATAAAATTGAAAAATCAAGAGGTAGTGTACGCTTTGGTGTTAGTTTACGTTACTAAGAATTCAGATTCTTTAAGTCTTACGTCCCTAAGAACACAGCCATATCATTAAGGACTCAATTTCCTTCCATGTCCACTCTGCCTTCTGTAGCTACAGCTTTATTCTAAAGCCAGCAATCCTTATGATCACAAGATGGCTGCCAACAGCTCCATAGAAGTGCACGTTCCCTTGTCCATATCTAGAGAGAATAACTTGGTCCCAAAATATCCTGACATTTACTTGGTTAAATCACATGCCTCCCCGGAACCAAAAGTCGTGCATAGGAAGATGGAATATGATGGTTAGATTTAACGAACCAGGGAATGGGTCAGCTTCCCTGGAAGCACATGGGCTGTGTGGGGAGGAGTGGATTCCCGGAATGAAATAAAAGTGCCATGGAGAAGAGAAGGCAGGACTAACACACTGAGGAAACAACCAGCAAATGTCCACTATGTAGCTATTATCATTATTATTGGCTTTCTTGGCCCTGAGCCCTTGGTTCTTAGCAATTTTTTTAAAATCATTTTTTTAACCCAAAAAACTAAGAGAGTGCTTATTTTGAGTAACTGTAGTCTTTCTAGCAAAGAAAGATCAACAAGTATAAACTAAGTTTAACTAGTTTTTAGCTACCTGGACCACTGGCCAAACAAGCAACAAAATGCACTGAATGGAGCCGTTGAACAGGAATGAATATCAGGAATGGAGTACAGGAAGAAAGCTAGAAAGACAGTGACTTGCCAAAAAGCCAAACCCAGAAAAGTGAGGTTAGTTATTGACTTGTTCTTTACTGAGGCCAGGTTAGAAGCCATGACATGTGTTAGGACAAAGGGACCAATTAATGAGAGGAAGGAACATTCCCCAAAACTGAGTTAACAGAAGTTGTCTGATGAAACCTGATTAAACATGATTTTGACTGCTCTACTCACCCCTTCACAGCTTCTACCTGCCCATCTATGAGATTCCTCTTTCTCTTTTTGCCTCAGCCTCCATCTGAAGACTTGCCAATTTCTGCCTATTTTATTCTGTTCCTCCTGCCAAGAAGGCTCTTCCATACTCCTTTGTCACATTTCATCTTGCTGATTTCTATTCCTTAGTTAAGACTTTAAATTCTGACTTTTCTTTTGCAGGAAGGCCTTCCTGTGTACCACTGCCATCCCATCTTCCACCTCCAAGACACACACTGCAGACTGATTTAAGTAATTCTGTTTGTACTCCCTGCTGGTAATCAATACCTGATAGCCTAATGATTTGTTTACTCATCTGACCCCAAACACTGACTTCTCCCCCACCATCACATTAAAGCTTCTGAAAAGCAAGGACTTTTTTAGTCGTCTTTGGTTCCATGATGCCCAGCACAGTGCCTGGTGCATAGTGTGAGCTCAGTGAACGGAGGCAGTTCCTTTGGTTACTATCTGATATCATCTTACCCAAAGCTTCAGAATAGAATGATACATAAAACCCAAAGTGTTTCTCAACCCAAGGACAGTCTGGCCTCTCTACCTAGAAAGGGGCTTGGAAAGAGATATCCAGAGACATGTTGAAGATGTTTTATAACAGTTTGTATCCAGTTAAGTCTTTGAAAGTAGATTCCAAAGTGAATTCTGAAGGCAGAATCAAAACTGCCAAAAATATTCAAAATGCTGCTTTTCCTTTCTGGTGTTTTTTGTTTGTTTGTTTTGGAGACGGAATCTTGCCCTGTTTCTTAGGCTGGAGTGCAGTGGTGTGATCACTGCTCACTGCAGCCTCAACCTGCTGGGCTCAAGTGATCCTTGAACCTTTGCCTCCTGAGCAGCTGGGACTACAGGCACACACCACCATGACTGGCTAATTTTTTTATTTTTGTTTTTTTGCAGAGACAAGGTCTCACTATGTTGCCCAGGCTGGTCTTGAACTCCTGGCCTCAAGCAATCCTCCCACCTTGTCCTCCCAAATTGCTGGAATTACAAGCATGAGCCACCATGCCCAGCCAAAATGCCTCTTTTTTTTTTCCTGTTCTCATCTTCAAACACTGTTCTTACTCCCAAACTGTTAAAAGATATTTGTTTCACTTATTTAGTCACATAGTACCCACAATTTTTATGGTGTTTATTCCAGTTAGAGAATAACGATGTGATTATTACATGAAAGTGGCCATTATAATAGTTCAGACTCACAAACACTAGTTATTGGCTTTTACAGAGTGAAGCAAGCCACCAGAACTAAATACCAGGTGCTCAGTAAACTTCTTGTAATACCTCATTCCTCTTTACAAAAAGCTCATATGACCTTTATGTAGAGAATTTGTTTTCTGTTTAATTTATTTTTTCCATTCTGAAGCAGATTCATCCATTACAGGAAAGGAGCCAATTATTGGGCTAACACAGTAACACCTAATGACTATACCCTCCGATATTTAGTCTCAAAACATTTTGCATTTCTTAACAAATAGAATTAAAAATATTTTAACATTGCACTAAAATGGGATTAAATATAATTTAAAGTGTTCAAGGAGGTGGAACACTCAGCCCTATTTCTCAAGCAGGCTAACTGAAAGGTCATGGGCTTTTTTTGCCTGTTATGTTAACAATAAGCCAGGAAAAGTTTCAGACGTTTGAGAGCCCACCCTAGTAACTTCTTGTAGGTTTCTGGTTATTTATGATGATTTGGGGTCAGAGCCAGACCTAGACCAGTTTCCTGATGTCATGTATCCTTGTGCCCCACGCCTGCATGACCCATGGCTGCCTTCAAGCTTCCTTTCTCTGCTTTTTATATTCTTCCCCCATGTCCTTGAGCTTGAATGCTACACCTTTGTGACCAGAGCTGAGGGCCACCATACTATCCCTACATAGTGACCCACATGTATACCTTTCTGTGACTCCTGTCACTCCCTAAAGTCTTCATAAGAATAACTTTCATAACTCTAATGCATACTTAAATATTTTTAGTGTTTTCTCAATTCTAAGACATTTAGTACATACTTTTTTTCACATTTCGGTGTTCCTGAAATTAGAATTAACTTTAGAGTCTTTTTATTTGTCTCCTAAAAAAGTGATTACTACATTTTTGGCCAATGCTATGATCAAAAGTATCTTGGAACTGGAGATATGCAATATTAATGTACTTTACTGTAAATAACTAGTTTTTTCAAGAGTCAGAAAATGTTGCCTCTCATGGAGATTTTAGTCATCATGCAGCAGAAAAAGGGTTTTAGGGGTATGAATATATGGATAGTTTAGGTAAAACAAACTAACTAGTTGCTCATTGGTTATCTGGATAAACTGTTGTCCAGATAATTACCTTGGCTTCTTTATACCCTTGCATTTTCTAATTTGCGGATCACATGCAAAGAAAATATGATTCTAAATGTCTCCGTCATACAGAAGATAAGGGATCTCAAACTCTCTACATTAATGTCCTAAGGCCTAATGTTTGTTTGTTTGTTTGTTTTTTGAGACAGTCTCGCTCTGTTGCCCAGGCTGGAGTGCAGTGGCGCGATCTCGGCTCACTGCAAGCTCCGCCTCCCGGGTTCACGCTATTCTCCTGCCTCAGCTTCCCCAGCAGCTGGGACTACAGGCGCCCGCCACCACGCCCGGCTAATTTTTTTTTGTATTTTTAGTAGAGATGGGGTTTTACTGTGTTAGCCAGGATGGCCTCGATCTCCTGATCTTGTGATCCACCCGCCTCGGCCTCCCAAAGTGCTAGGATTACAGGTGTGAGCCACTGCGCCTGGCCCCTGAGGCCTAATGTTTCCTAATGTTTGTATTGAACATGAGGCTGGGATTATAAACAGAATTATCTACACAACATTCTTTTTGTTTGTTTGTTTTTTCAGACAGTGTCTTGCTCTGTTGTCCAGACTGGAGTGCAGTGCTGAGATCACAGGTCAATGTAGCCATGACCTCCTGGGCTCAAGGGGTCCTCCCACCTCAGCCTCCTGAGTAGCTAGGACTATAGGCATGCACTACCATGCCCAACTAATTTTTATTTTTTTTTGTAGAGACAGGGACTTACCATGTTGCACAGGCTGGTCTCAAATTCCTGGCCTCAAACAATCCTCTCGCCTCAGCCTCCCAAAGTGTTGGGATTATAGGTGTGCGCCACCACTCCTAGCACTTTACAAAACATTCTTGATGTGGATGACCAGTTATCTCGAATCACCCCTATTGTCTTCCCTGAAAGGATTGTAACTTGATCTCATCTATTCTTGCTAAAGAGATGATGGCTGTTTTGGGGGTAAAAAGGGGGTACAGTATCAACACAATCATGAATATACATGATTCCTGCTGAGGGTAAAATATTCAGAGATATCTGAGATCCAGATATCTCAGATATGGATCTAATATCCAGTAAAAGTATACACTGTTTTTTAAAAATATTTTGGGGAAGACAAATTTAAGTTAAATAAAATTATTATACCGGGAATCCTCACCCAAACATTCTTAGTTGTTAAAATTAAGAATAAAATGGAAAATCTGAGAATAACATGCATGTCCCTAACATTTGCTGTACCCAGGACAAGAGTTCAAGTAGAGGGCTACATACAACAGGTCTAAACCATTAAGATTATAAATGAAGCTAACAAACCATTAAATAAATACGTTCTATCCACCTTCCTTGACAAATTGTCAAGTATACCTTTATGATGACAAAATCTTTTTTTTTTTCTTTTGAGACAGAGTCTCACTCTTGTTGCCCAGGCTGGAATGAAGTGGCGCGGTCTTGGCTCACTGCAATGTCCGCCTCCAGGGTTCAAGCGATTCTCCTGTCTCAGCATCCTGAGTAGCTGGGATTACAGGTACCCACCACCATGCCCAGCTAATTTTTATATTTTTAGTAGAGATGGGGTTTTACTATGTTGGCCAGGCTGGTCTTGAACTCCTGACCTCAGGTGATCTGCCTGCCTCGGTCTCCCAAAGTGCTGGGATTATAGGCGTGAGCCACTGTGCCCGGTCTCAAAATTTTTAAAAATATGTGTAAAGCAATGGTTTTCATATAATTGAAAGTCAGCTAGATAGCAAAAATAATTGGACTTAGTTATTATTGTGCATTTGGGTGTTCCATTGATGGACTGGTAATGTTGGATGACAAGATAAATATGCACATAATTCATAAATTATATATTAATTACATAATAAAATGTATTTTCTTTTTTAGCAAAATAATCATGTTGTTATAATTCAGACTTTCATGTACTTTGTGTTCTGTTGACAATAATAGCAAAATAAACAACTTTTCTTGAATCAGTGTACTTGAAGGGGATTAGAATATGCCACCAAAAACATGCTACTTTGGCATAAGGATTTATTTTGAGCTGAAGGCAATTAAGAAGCAGCAAACACAAAAAGAGTTCTTTGTCCTCCTATCTTCCTAAAATAGGGCATAAATTTCCCTTTGTGAAGGTATTCTCCCTCCCTTTTTCCATACCAGCAGGAGAATAACATCACTGGAGATAGAAAGCACTGAAATGGATCTGCACAAACTTTACTAAAATAACCCTTATCCTCCATTAGTTTCCCCCATATATTTTCCTTCTCACAATTAACAGCTCTTAGAAGACAAACCCCTTTTCACAATTTATTACTCTTTGTTAAAATGATATATAAGTCCCAGGTTATAATCACTTCTTTAGGCCTTCACTTCTTTTCTATGAAGGCCTCCATGCATGTAAAAATTAAACTGTTAACATCAGATGAAGTCTGTATGTCTTTTCTCCTGTTAATCTGCCTTTTGGCAGTTTCATTGGCAGTCTCCAGTTACAGAACCTGTGAGGGTAGAGGAGAATATTTTTTTCCTCTTCCATATGCTTCTTAAATTTTTGTTTAACATTTTATTATGGGAAATTTCAAACATTCACAAATGTATATAATAGAATATAAAGAACTCCTATGTACTTACCATCCAGCCCCAATAATTATTAACTCATGGTCAATGTTGCTTCATTTATATTCCCCAAGTTTCTCTACCCAATTACTTTTTTTTTTTTAATTGAGGCACAGTCTCACTCTGTTGCCCAGGCTGGAGTGCAGTGATGCCATCTTGGCTCACTGCATTCCTGCCTCCTGGGTTCAAGTGATTCTCCCACCTCAGCCTCCTCAGTAGCTGGGATTACAGGCGTGTGCCACCACACCCAGCTAATGTTTGTATTTTTAGTAGAGATGGGGTTTCACTATGTTGGCCAGGCTGGTCTCGAACTGCTGACCTCAAGTGATCTACCTGCCTTGGCCTCCCAAAGTGCTGGGATTACAGACGTGAGCCACTGTGCCCAGCCTTCTCAATTACTTTGAAGTAAATCCTAGATATCGTAATTTTATCTATGAGCATATCAATATACATTTCTAGCAAAGAAAAACTCTTAAAAATTTTCCTTAATAATATTTTCACATAAAAAAACTACTGAAGCTGGGCCGGGCATGGTGGCTCACACCCGTAATCCCAGCACTTTGGGAGGCTGAGGCAGGCAGATCACCTGAGGTCAGGAGTTTGAGACTAGCCCAGCCAACATAGGGAAACCCCCTCTCTACTAAAAATACAAAAATAAGCTGGGCGTGGTGACATGTGCCTGTAATCCCAGCTACTCAGGAGGCTGAGGCAGGAGAATCACTTGAACCTGGGTAGTGGAGGTTGCAGTAAGCCGAGATTGCACCACTGCACTCTAGCCTGAGTGACAGAGCAAGACTCCATCTAAAAAATGAAAGAAAGAAAGAAAGAAAAAATACTGAAGCTGGGCACAGTGGTGTGTGCCCATAATCTCAGCTACTCAGAGACTGAGGTGAGAGGATCACTTGAGTCCATGAGTTTGAGGCCACTCTGGGCAGCATAGTGAGATCTTGTCTCCAAAAAATAATCCTTAATATTAGATGTTTTCAAAATGAATTTTTTTTTGAAGTAAAAGCCAGTTTATAAAGAAAGTAAAGAAATAAAAGAATGGCTAATAGACAAAGTAGCCCCGAGGGCTGCTAGTTGCCCATTTTTATGGTTATTTCTTGATTTAAAAATGAATTTCAATGGAATTGGAAATATTTTATTCTGTGGAGGCAGTAGCAACAGGCATTGTTAATAGAATGTCTAAATCAATACTTACATTTGGAAATGAACAATGAATTTTGCATATCATATTCAGACATTGTAATAGGACTGTAATAATGATAATTATCATAGAAAATATTATAAATTTTTAATTTTATCACATTAATTCTATTACTTATATTGTGATCTTTTTTTGCCAGCCCTTAAAGCAATATCTATTTATATAGTATTAAGTTGTTCTTTCAATTTTTCCAATGCTGGGATATCATAAAGAAAAAGAGAGAACAATATGTGGTTCAATTTGTTCAAATCTCTCTTTAGGGAGACTATACTGCTACCTGGAAAGAATAGAAAATAATATGTAAATATAATACATATATACAGATTTGTATGTGAACTTTATAATCATGCAATCATTTTTGTTTTCTTGTTTCTATTTTGTGGAATATTTCATTGTATATGCTATATTTAGTATCTTTCAATTTAGAAAAATCATTTTCTTTCAAAATTTAAAAAGTACTTTACTTTTTAAAAATTGTGCTTTTCTTTTGTTCTTTTATGTTTTTCTTTCATTTCATAGAACAGCCAAATGCAATAAAAAGTATTTTAAATGATTTAAAAAGCGAACTAGGCAAACTTAGGTAAGTCTGCATATTTTGTAAGCTTTTGCTAACATTATTAATAGCAAGCAATAGTCCATACCAAATAGCTGTGGTTAGCCCAAAATCAAAAGTATTTCCCACCATAGACCACAATTCCTTAGTTTTTTTTGAAGATCCTCTATTGTTTCACACAACTGTCCTAGCGCAGCTCACTATCTTGTTTAGGTTAAACTAACTGCTCTAACAGCATTTAAATGACATCTCCATTGTTAACCAAGAGTGGCTATGAAATTATGTTTGATATGTGTTTAAACAAATTGACCTATTTTGAGGCATATATAGAAAATATTATATATAATCACTGAATCACTTCAAAGAATGTCATTGCTATTGTCAGAGTTGAGGCCATGTCTCCTAGGAACATATTGACAGATATTTAATCAATTTTTGGGCATTTGTGTTTGTGCTATGCAGGGCCTTCTGAAGTACAAGGCTCAGGGCAGGCGTCCCTCTTGCTGAAGTCCAAGAGTGGCATTGCAGACCAATAATAAATATAAGTATTAATAATACCGTATAATATGCATGTGCTACATTTTTTGAAGTGCTTCCATACATGTGATTCCTTTTGATCTTCATTATAACCTACGGACTAGATTAATTAGAGATGAGAAACAGAGGTCTAGAGAGGTTAAGTGATTTATCTAAAATTACACATCTAATTAGTGGTAGAAATAAGAGTAGAACCTAGGTCTCTCCAGACACAGGTCTTCCTGTTTTTTTTTGTTTTTTTTTTTTTTTTTTTGAGACGGAGTCTCGCTCTGTCGCCCAGGCTGGAGTGCAGTGGCACGATCCCAGCTCACTGCAAGCTCCGCCTCCCAGGTTCACGCCATTCTCCTGCCTCAGCCTTTCGAGTAGCTGAGACTACAGGCGCCCACCACCAGGCCGGCTAATTTTTCGTGTTTTTAGTAGAGACGGGGTTTCACTGTGTTAGCCAGGATGGTCTCGATTTCCTGACCTCGTGGTCGGCCCTTCTCGGCCTCCGGATTACAGGCATTAATTTTTTTTTTTTTTTGAGAGCGAGTCTCACTGTCGCCAGGAGTGGAGTGCAGTGGCAAAATCTCGGCTCACTACAACCTTTGCCTCCCGGGTTCAAGCGATTATCCTGCCTCAGCCTCCCAAGTAGCTGGGACTACAGGCTCATGACACCACGCCCAGCAAATTTTTGTATTTTTCGTAGAGACAGGGTTTCACCATGTTGGCCAGGATGGTCTCAATCTCTTGACCTGGTGATCCTCCGGCCTTGGCCTCCCAAAGTGCTGGGATTACAGGCATGAGCCACCGTGGCCCGCCAGGTCTTCCTGTTATACTATGCTATACATAATGCTTCTGAAACAAAGAGACTTAATAGTTGGACAGGTTGCATCCCAACATTTTTTATTCCTTAAAACCCCTGGGATTTTAGTAGAGAATATAAATATTGGACAATGAATGAAAAGAAAGCCTTATGCTCTTTCATATCTTTTCAGCCCACGTGGGACCAATATATATATTGACCAATGTTTCAGAAACTAGAGATTTATCTTCTTCCAAGCAAAGATTCATTTGAGTAATACAGAATAAATCTTCCAAAAGGTGAGGTTCACATTCTATAACCTACTCATAAGGTACTAAGTACAACTTTGGGAATATAAACAGTATCTTCTAAGATCCAGAGCTTTTTGGAATGGTTACCTCATAGTTTGATATACTTAGAAGTACGCCTAGAAGTACAAAACATTAGCATGAAAATGAATAGAATCCTCTTTTCTTGCTGATTCCCCTGTCCAGTTTGCTCAGGCCTACCTCATTGCCTCTACTTTTTGCTCATACAGATTCAAGACTTCAAATGCTTACAAAAGTCCTTTTTGTTCTCTACTTTTCAGCACCCTTGAATTTAGAATGCGTCTTATAGTCAGTGGCATCTTAGATGACATAGAATATAGCAAACTGTTAATGATGGTTGCCTCTGGGGAATTCTGTATTGTTTACACCTTCTGCAATAAGAGTACTTTGGGAGGCCAAGGCAGGAGAATCACTTCAGCTCAGAAGTTCAAGACCAGCCTGGGCAAAATGGTGAAACCCCATCTCTACAACAAATACAAAAACTAGCCAGGTGTGGTGGTGCACACCTGTAGTTCCAGCTACTTGGGAGAATCTCTTGAGCCTGAGAGGTTGAGTTTGCAGTGAGCTGATTGCGCCACTGCACTTCAGCCTGGGCGACAGAGTGACAGCCTGTCTCAAAGCCAAAAAAAAAAAGAAAAAAAGAAAAAAAATTTAAATTTGCATTAGTTAATTTTTATTTTAAATAGAAAATAAAAAGAATGCATTACTTTTATAATGAAAACAAATTTAAAAAATTTTTGACACAAAATCTTAGGTGGTTTATGTACCTTGTCTCTTAGTACTAAAAGAGTACTGAGACTGTAATAACAGTAATTAATATTTTATGAGGTTTTATATTCATAATGGATTTTATAAGCCCCTACATGTTAGCAATTGGCATGATACTCAGAGGTAATCTTCACAGCACCTAGCTGTGAATTATCCATGATGGAAACATTCATTAGAGCTCCTTGGTACTCACCATATTGTGCTGCAACTATTTAGTCAGTTTTCCCTCCAGAGTGAGAGCTCCTTGAAGGCAGGAACTGCCTACTCATTTTTGTGTCCCCAGGGCCTAACAAAGCCCATCATGTTTGTAAAATAAAGGAATGAATGAAAGACCTGTAGGTACTCAATATTTTTTTAAATGTTATTTCCACTTATGCACTTTAACAGTTTGCCACTGGAGAGGGCATTTATTCTCTGCTAGGACATGGCTTGTTGGCTTTTCATTTGTATATGATGAATGGATAGGCACAAGCAGGAAATGTTATTTTTTAAAAATGTCTCTACATTCTCCCCTTGGGCATATTCAGCTTTAGCTTTCTGTTGTCAAATCTGTAAATCTACATAATTTTTATGTAAGGAGGTAGAGAAAAACCACTTTCTAGTTTGCTACTAAATTAAATATCTTACTGAGACAAATTGTAAATAGGAGAAGTATGAAATTTTTTTTCTTATTATTTAACCCTGAAGAAGAAATTTTGCCAATGATTTCTTTTCTTTTCTTTCTTTCTTTTTTTTTTTTTAGACAGAGCCTCCTTCTATTGCCAAGGCTGGAGTGCACGATCTCAGCTCACTGCAACCTCTGCCTCCCAGGTTCAAGCGATTCTGTTTCTCGTGCCTCAGCCTCCTAAGTAGCTAGGACTACAGGCGTGCACCACTATGCCTGGCTAATTTTTGTATTTTTAGTAGAGACAGGGTTTCACCATGTTGGCCAGGCTGTTCTCAAACTCCTGACCTCAAGTGATCCTCCTGCCTCAGCCTCCCAAAGTGCTGGGATTACAGGCAGGAACCACAGCACCCAGCTGCCAATGATTTCTTAACTGGACTTTAAACTGTGGTATCATGTTTATGTGATACCATAGAGGAAGCCTGTTCAAGGGGTATTCTTAGCTCGTAAAGCTCCATAGTAAAGGGTTGAGTATAATTTTTTTAGGATCTGGTACATGAATAAAAATAAAAATACTTGGCAACACATGTAATGGGAGAAAATATTTGCAAATCATCTGTCAGATAATGGATTAATATCCATAATATATAAAGAATACCTACAGCTCAACAACAACAAAACCAACTCAATTTAAAAATAGGCAAAGGTCTTAATAGAAATTTCTCCAAGAAGAAAAACCGATGGCCAATAAGCACATGAAAAGACATTCAATATTACTAATTATTAGAGAAATACAAGTCAAAATTACAATGAGATGCTACTTCACAACTATTAGGATGGTTGTTATTAAAACAAACACAAAATTGAAACCAGAAAATAACAAGTGTTGGCAAGAATTTGGAAAAATAGGACACCTTGTGGGATGCACTGATGGGATTGTAAAATGGTGCAACTGTTGTGGAAAAGAGTATGGCAGTTTCTCAAAAAAATTAATCATGGAATTACCATATGATCCAGAAATTTGACTACTGGGTATGTACCCAAAACAATTGAAAGTAGTGACTTGAACAGATATTGGTACATCAATGTTCATAGCAGCATTATTCACAATAGTCAAAAGGGGAAAACAATCCAAATATCCATTGACAGATGGATGGACAAAGTATGGTATATATAGTTAATGGAATATTTTTCAGCCTTAAAGAGAAAGGATATTCTGACATATGCTATAACATGGGTGAACTGTGAAGATATTTTGCTAAGTGAAATAAGCCAGCCACAAAAGGACAAATATTGTATGAGTCCACTTATATGAAGTACCTAGAGCAGTCAAATTCTTAGAGACAGAAAGTAGAATGGTGGTTTCCAGGGGATAGGAAGAGGGAGAAATAGGAAGTTATTGTTTAATGAATTTACAGTTTGGGAAGATGAAAAAGCTATAGAGATGGATACTGGTGATGGTTGCACCACAATGTGACAGTACTTAATACCACAGGACTGTATGCCTAAAAATGGCTAAAATGGTGAATTTTATGTTAAAAATATTTTGCTACAATAAAAAAGTAAAAATAGGCTGGGTGTGGTGCCTCACGCCTGTAATCTCAGCACTTTGGGAGGCCGAGGCGGGCAGATCACCTGAGGTCAGAAGTTTGAGACCATCCTGGCCAACATTGTGAAACCCAGTCTCCACTAAAAATACAAAAATTAGTCAGGCATGGTGGTGTGTGCCTGTAATTCCAGCTACTTGGGAGGCTGAAGCATGAGAATCGCTTGAACCCAGGAGGTGGAGGTTGCAATGAGCCGAGATCACGCCACTGCAATCCAGCCTGGGCGACGGAGTGAGACTCCATCTCAAAAAAAAAGTAAAAATAAAAGTACTTGGTAGTTACTTAGCACTTTACAGTTTGTAAAGCACTTTTCACTTGCATTATTTGTTCCATACAACTCGGCAAGGTAGGCAAGTCAATTATTATCTTCATTTTACAGATAAGAAAATGAAAGCTCATTTAGTCTAAGTGAATTGCCAAGAGACACTAAGCTAAAAAGTGACAGGGTCAGAATTAAGACCCAAGACCCTAGTCCAGTGCTCTTTTCTCTCAACCTGCCTTTCACAGAAGGGTTCCCGGCCGGTGACAATTGACAAACTTTCACTTGCAAGTGCACATGTAAAACCTGATTCCAAAGAATGGTCTTGGAAGGGTTTTCTGGAGAATATGGGCAAAACAACAGGCACAGAAATCATTAACTAGGTGTACTTTTCCCCATCACAACAAAAATGTTGTGAGGGGGAAAACACAACAGATGGGAAATGCTCAATAGCGCTTTTTTTTTTTTTTTTCCTTTTGAGACAGAGTCTCACTCTGTTGCCCAGGCTGGAGTGCAGTAGTGCAATCTCAGCTCACTGTAACCTCTGCCTCCTGGGTTCAAGCGATTCTCGTGCCTCAGCCTCTCATGTAGCTGGGATTACAGGCGTAAGCCACCACGCCCAGCTAATTTTTGTATTTTTAGTAGAGATTGGGTTTCACCATGTTGGCCAGGCTGGTCTCAAACTCCTGACCTCAGGTAATCTGCCTGCCTCAGCCACCCAGAATGCTGGGATTACAGGCGTGAGCCACCATATCTGGCCCTCAACAGTCGTTTGTTAATTCACTATTATAGCTCTAGTTCCTTTATAACAGTGTTTTTTGTTTTTGAGATGGAGTTTTGCTCTTGTTGCCCAGGCTGGATTACAATGGTGCAATCTTGGCTCACTGCAACCTCTGTCTCCTGGGTTCAAGCAATTCTCTTGCTTCAGCCTACTGAGTAGCTGGGATTACAGGCATGCACCACCATGCCCAGCTAATTTTTGTATTTTTAATAGAGATGGGGTTTCTCCATGTTGGTCAGGCTGGTCTCAAACTCTGGACCTCAGATGATCCACCCACCTCGGCCTCCCAAAGTGCTGAGATTACAGGTGTGAGCCACCACACCCGGCCATTTTTTAACAATATTTAAGGGACAATATTTTGCTGGACTAGAATTTTTATTTTGTCAAACATTCCTCAAAGTTCATTTGCAGGCTGTCAGATGATTCTTGAGAATGTTTTTATTGTTGTTAAAGAGGGGTTTTATAGCTGCCTTGTAACATAATTTGATCCTTATCCGATAGCCTTTTTGAAAAATAGTTATGATTTAAAAAATATGGAGACATGAAAAATAACAAAACACGGTTTTATCGTATGACCATGTGTTTGCATTGTTAATTCAGTCCCGTAAAATCTTTCCAGTAAATTAATTACAGCTAAGAATCAGAAGGGACCATAAAGCAAAAACTGCAGAGGAGTCACAGCGAGCTGTTCTTTAAAAATGGAATGCTGATTTTTATTTTTAAGTATTCAGTGAACATTCCTGAAGCACATCCTCAAGAATCTTAATCATATATTGTTGGTGGACTATGAGGTTTTTGTTTTGTGTACTGAAGAATATGTGATATAGAATTTTAATATATTCTACTGTTTTCAGGTTATTTTTATGGCAGGCTGAGAGCTGAAAGTTTGTGGTGGCAAAAACTTTGGAAACTTAAAATGTAATAATTATAGAAAGAAGGCCGGGCATGGTGGCTCATACCTGTAATCCCAGCATTTTGGGTGGCCAAGGTGGGCAGATCACCTGAGGTCAGGAGTTTGAGACCAGGCTGGCCAACATGGAGAAACCTTGTCTCTGCTAAAAATACAAAAATTAGCTCAGCATGGTGGTGGGTGACTGTAGTCCCAGCTACTGAGGAGGCTGAGGCAGGAGGATCACTTGAACCTGGGAGGCGGACGTTGCAGTGAGACAGGATTGTGCCACTGCACTTCAGCCTGGGTGACAGAGCAAGGCTCTGTCTAAATAAAATAAAATAAAATAAAAGATAAATAAAATAATTATAGAAAGGCAAAGATCAAATACTTCAAAATTTTAATAGTGAGTTTCTTGGAGTATGGAGTTGATTCTCCACTCCATGTGACCATACTTCTTCTTTTCAGTATTTTCCATATTTTCTAGATGAGTATATCTTACATCTATAATATAATAAAATACGTGGGGCATGGTCACTCACACCTGTAACCCCAGCACTTTGAGATGGAAAAGGATTGCTTGAGGCCAAGAGTTTAAGAACAGCCTGGACAACATGGCGAGAACCCCCGTCTCTACAAAAAATAAAAATTATTACCTGGGTGTGGTGACACCTGCCTATGGTCCCAGCTACTATGGAGGGTGAGGCAGGAGGATTGCTTGAGCCCAGGAAGTTGAGGCTGCTGTGAGCCATGTTCATGCAACTGCACTCCAGCCTGGGAGACAGAACAAGACACAGTCTTGAAAAAAAAAACAATTTTATTTTAAAATAATGGCAATTAGAGGATCATGCAGGCCAGGTCACTGGGCAGGGTTTTGTTTATTTTCTTAATTAAAATTAACTGAAAGGGGCCGGGCGTGGTGGCTCATGCCTTTAATCCCAGCACTTTGGGAAGCCAAGGCAGGTGGATCACCTGAGGTTGGGAGTTCGAGACCAGCTTTACTAACATGCAGAAACCCCGTATCTACTAAAAATACAAAATTAGCCAGGCGTGGTGGTGCATGCCTATAATCCCAGCTACTCGGTAGGCTGAAGCAAGAGAATTGCTTGAACCCGGGTGGCAGAGGTTGCAGTGAGCCGAGATTGCGCCATTGCGTTCCAGCCTGGGAGACAAGAGTGAAACTCCATCTCAAAAAAAAAATAAATAAATAAATAAAATAACTGAAAGGAACCAAAAGGTAAATAATTTAGTCTCCAGCTGTCAAATGAGTAAATATATTATTAATTTCGTTTTATAGAAGAAAAGACTGAGGCTCTATAAAGTTAAGAGCTTGGGCTAAGATCACCCAGCCAGTAAGCCACAGAACAACAGTAAACTTAACCTTCGGCCCACTGGTGGAGACACAGTTTAGGGGTGAAAATTGGTAGTTCGTTTTACTGTACAACCTATGTCCTGCCTGGTGATTCTGAGCAGGGTAGGAATATTTTAAGCCAAACATCAGTACACCATGATGATCTCTGGTTTAATAAGCTTGCATATACTTTTTTTGGTGGGGGTGGACAGGGTCTCTCTCTGTCACCGAGGCTAGAGTGCAATGGCCTGATCATGGCTCGCTGCAGTCTTGACATCCAGGGCTCAAGCAGTCTTCTAACCTCAGCCTCCTGAGTAGCTGGGACTACAGGCGTGCACCACCATTCCTAGCTAATTTTTCTATTTTCTGTAGAGATAGGGTTTTGCCATGTTGCCCGGGCTGGTCTCAAACTCCTGGGCTCAAGCGATCTGCCCTTGCCTCAGCTTCCCAAAGTGTTAGGATTATAGGTGTGAGCCACCGTGCCTGGCCAGCTTCAGTATAATGAAAGAAGCTCTTATATCACAGAAACATGATTCATTTGCTCTGAAGTATCTTTCTGTTTAATGATTTAAGATCTTAGTTCATGGGCTGCAAATGGATCATGCCTGCAACCCCAATGAGTTTCCACACGTTTTGCAAAATTAACATATCAATACATCTCATCATCCATGTGTGCATTTATATAGTACCTATCACAAGAGATATCTTGCCAATACTTTTGGGGCCCTTCAAGTCATCCTCCATCCCCTTTCA
Source organism: Homo sapiens (assembly GCF_000001405.40). Lineage (NCBI taxonomy): Eukaryota > Metazoa > Chordata > Mammalia > Primates > Hominidae > Homo > Homo sapiens. The sequence continues at coordinate 47,935,196 of NC_000002.12, forward strand.
GTGAACGCCCCATTTATCCTCTTCTCTTGTTTAAGTTATTGCTACATCCTATGATTGTAGGTCCCAGTTTAGACTATAAATCTCACTTCCTTAAAGTTGTCCTCTAGTTCTCTTTCTATGACACATCAAATTAATAATGATATCTACCATTTATTGAGTGCATATCATGTACTAGTGACTTTATACCTAATATTTCTTTTCTTTTTCTTTTTTTGAGACAGAGTTTCACTCTTGTTGCCCAAGCTGGAGTACAATGGCGCGATCTTGGCTTACTGCAACCTCTGCCTCCCGGGTTCAAGCAAGTCTCCTGCCTCAGCCTCCCTAGTAGCTGGGATTACAGGCAGCTGCCACCAGGCTCAGCTAATTTTTTGTAGTTTTAGTAGAGACAGGGTTTCACTATGTTAGCCAGGCTGGTCTTGAACTTCTGACCTCAGGTGATCCACCCATCTCAGCCTCCCAAAGTGCTGGGATTACAGGTGTGAGCCACCGCACCCTACTTTTTTTTTTTTCAGGGTCTCACTGCAGCCTCAATTTTGTGGGCTCAGGTGATTCTCCTACCTCAGCCTCCCAAGTAGCTGGGATTACAGGCCTGCTTCATCACGCCTGGCTATTTTTTTTTTTGTATTTTTTTGTAGAGTTGGGGTTTTGCCATGTTGCCCAGGCTAGTCTTGAACTCCTGGGCTGAAGCCATCCTCCTGTCTCAGCCTCCCAAAGTGCTGGGATTACAGGCGTGAGCCACCGCACCTGGCCACTTATCTTCTTTATTGTTTACACAAGATCATAAATTTCATGAGAGCAGGGATTTTCATGTTTTGTTCACTACTATACTCCTAGTACCTAGAACAGTACCTGACACAGAGAGTGCAGTAAATATTTTTGGAAAGAGTGAATTAATGAAAACATCTCACTCAAGGGCCTCCTCCATGAAACCTTTCCTGCAGCACTCAAGCTGAATTACTCCCTCCTTCCTCTGTGCCAGTGAACATCTATTACCGCATTTACTACAGTGAAGATCAATGACTGGTTTGTGGCCACATGGCGGTAGCTCAGGCCTGTAATCCTAACACTTCCGGAGGCCAAGGCAGGTGGATTGCCTGAGCTCAGGAGTTTGAGACCAGCCTGGGCAACATGGCAAAATCCCATCTCTGCTGAAAATACAAAAAGTTAGCTGGGCGTGGTGGTACGTGCCTGTAATCCCAGCTACTTGGGAGACTGAGGCAGGAAAATCGCTTGAACCCAGGAGTGGAGGTTGCAGTGAGCCGAGATCTCACCACTGCACTCCAGTCTGGGCAACAGAGCAAGACTCTGTCTCAAAAAAACAAAAACAAAAAAAAACAAAAAAACAACTAAACAGATTGGTTTGACATATCTATTTGCCCTTCTAATCTGAACTTGGTTTATTTGGGTATCCCAGTGTCTAGCACAGATCTTGGTACATGATAAATACTCATTTAATGTTTCCTAAGTGAATGAATAATTGCTCAACATTAAAAAGTATTTCTATTTTTTAAGAAGATGCTTCTCAGAGATTGATTTAAACAATAAATGATACTTAAATTGGAATTTGATTGAAAACAACAAAAGCAATCATGCTTGCTTTAGACTGTAAAACCACTGGAGGCAGTCTTTTTTGTTTGTTTCTTTTTCCTTTTTGAGACAAGGTCTTGCTTTGTTACCCAGGCTGGAGTACAGTGGTGTGATCTCGGCTCACTGCAGTCTCGACCTCGTGGGCTCAAGTGATTCTCCTGCCTCAGCCTCCTGAGTAGCTGGGACCACAAGTGTGCACTACACCATACCCAACTAATTTTTCTGATTTCTAGTAGAGACAAGGTCTCACTATGTTGTCCAGGCTGGTCTTGAACTCCTGGGCTCAAGTGATCCCTGCCTTGGCCTCTCAAAGTGCTGTGATTACAGGCATAAGCCATCACACCCAGCCAGGCTCTGGGTTTTATTGAGGCTTTAGCACCATTTTCCACATGTCACAGAACATGACAGAGAGTGCGCCTGGTCAGTTACCAAGGTGCAGTGTTTACCTGGTGGTCTCCCAGCTACACAGCTTGCTTACATCATAAATGAAGACTACTGGTGTGTAGAGAAAATCCCTATTTTTATTTGTTTGTTTTCTATCATGACCTGCAAGCCCGGCTAATTGGTGAAGTGGAAAAGAATAAAGATCTTTAATCACTGTTTGAATGTAAAATGCCGTTATTGGTTTCCTGTCTTTAAATAACATTTTTCCATCAGTGTCCAGGAAGTAGTCACATGTCAACTAAATAAAACTCTTTCAGTTGTTTACTAAAAACAAGTATTTACTGAGAGATCATTGATTAGGGTCTGGCTGGGGCAGTCAGAGAGAGCTGATGGTGGTAGTTGGGTGGGAGTGGGGGATGCTGTAGTAGCAGATTTGGAAGGAAGATTGTGCAAGGAAGGAAGCCGCAAAAAAAAAGCCAGGTCTCAGGCACGTCAGCATTCTAGTCAGGGGTCACTAGTGAAATTATATTGGGGTTAAACGATGTATTTGATAATTTTGCATTCTCTTCTAAGTGATTTTGTGTACTTTTCCTTGAGTTCGATGAAATGCAAGTAAGGTAGTGAGGACACTATTTCCAATTTACAGGTGGAGAAAATGAGACAACAAGAGGAGAAGTGGTGGCTTGCCTAAAGTCAGTGACTGATCAGGATGAGAACTGGGTACCTGTTGCATTGGCCCTTTCTACTAAACTATCTTCTGCTTGCTTCAGGGTTTTCTTGTTTTGTTTTGTTTTTGTTTTTGTTTTACTGTTGTTGCTGTCATTTAATTGCATGTGTATAGAGAAAGAACTAGAAATGTCTTATATGGCGGTGATATGCAGTGTCTGCTTTGTGGTCAAGCACTGACATAGATTCAAAGAAAGGTAAAACACAGTCCTAGTCCTCCAGATATTTATAGCCTAGTTGAGAGAAAGACAATATACACAAACAAAAAAAATGAAACAATATTGTAAAGTGAAAAACAAGTTACAAAAGTGTTTATGCTAAAAATACTTATTAATTTTTATTCATTTCATTTATTTCATTTTGCTAAAAATATTTATATGATCAGTAGTGGGAACACAGACTATTCACTAATCTACTCAGAAGCAAGGACATATGGGTTCTTTATTTTTCTTAACTGATCTAATCTTCTCCCACCCTTCTAATTAAAGTTATCTGAGTCTCCTCTAGATTAAATAATCTCTGTTGATTTAACAGTCTATTTTGATTTAAAAGATCTCTATTGGGTAAATATTCAGTCAATTCAAAATTCAATTCCCTAACAAGGCTCTCTCGCCCCTCCTCCTCCTCTTTCCCAAGCTGGCTTCTATGCCTGGGGGTACTTACCAGTCCTCCTGGCCTTGGAGTCAGGGAGGTGGGGGTTGTTGAGGGGTGGGGGTGGGGGCAGAGCTGGTTTTCACGGTGGGAGGCTAATCTGGTCGATGTGCACTAGCTGCTTCCCAACTGAGGCTGGGCTAATCTTTATTTTTTATTTTTTGAGACGGAGTCTTGCTCTGTCGCCCAGGCTGGAGTGTAATGGCACAGTCTCGGCTCACTGCAACGTCCACCTCTTGGGCTCAAGCGATTCTCCTGCCTCAGCCTTCCAAGTGGCTGGGATTACAGGCACCTGCCACCCCACCTGTCTAATTTTGTATTTTTAATAGGGATGGGGTTTCACCATGTTGACCAGGCTGGTCTCAAACTCCTGACCTCAAGTGATCTGCCCTCCTCGGCCTTCCAAAGTGCTGGGATTACAGGCATGAGCCATCGCGCCCACTCTGGCCTAATTTTAGATTCCCCTGGAGGGGTCCCTTCTACCACACTGCCTCAGTCTCCCAAGTAAACTGGGAGCCAGTTTAGGATTGCTATTCAGCCTCATCTGTCTAGCCTCTCCCACTGTTGCTTTGTCACTCCTAACCCTACCCTCATTCTGGCCTGGAATCTTCCTGAGATCCAGTTTCCTCCCGGATTTCTTTTAGGGAGTGAGGCAAAGACTCCTTTACCTTTTAACGTACCCCTTAATCTTTCCAACATGATTTCCCCTTTCAGGTATTCAGTCCAGAAAGTGGCAGTCAGAATATATGTGTCTATCTGGTTCCCCTTTCTGGATTTCCTTCTTTTTCACCATAATCCCATAAGCCAAAAGCTACAACCTCCTGGCACAGTACACTTCCTACATCTTGATATTTCTCTACTCCTGGCTTTTAGTAAAACTATGATTTAGTTGATTGGTTCTGCCTCTTCTTATGTTAATGGGAAATAAAGTCATTTTAAACATTATTTTCTCTGTTCTCAAAGTTTAGCTTTCAGAATTTGTTTTTTTTGTTAGTTTTTATATCATAATCATAAACTTAACTCTGTAATCCAGCTAGACATGGAAGGGAATAAGATAAATATGAAACTCAAAGAACTGCAGTGACAGCACAAAGATTATAGGATTTTACAAGCAAATGGGGTGGAGGGGTGCTCTCCTGAGCTACAGAAAGAATGGTCTGGTGGCTATGATAAAACACAGGTCAACTTTATTAGAGTTGTCCATAGTCAGTAATGGTGATCTTCTTTCTGGTCTTGCCATTCCTGGACCCAAAGTGCTCCCTGGCTTCCATGAAATTTATGCCCTCCTTTACCTTTCCAAGACCACATGTTGCCATCCAACCACTCAGTCTTGGCAGTGTAGATTAAAAACTGGGAACCATTTATATTGGGTCCAGCAGTTGCCATGGACAAGAGGCTAGGACCTGTATGTTTCAGGAGGAAGTTCTCATCATCAAATTTCTCCTGTAGATGGACTTGCTGCCAGTGCCATTAGGGCGTGTGAAGTCACCACCCTGGCACAGAAACCCTGGAATAATTCCGTGAAAGCAGAAACACTTATAACCAAATCCTTTCTCTCTAGTACTCAGAGCACAAAAGTTTCTGCTGTCTTTGGAAATTTGTCTGCAAACAGCTCAAAGGAGACGCAGCCCAAGGACTTGCCATTGACCACAGTGTCAAAGAACTCAGTTGGCTGGTGCCAGGGGACTTTGGGCAGCAGCATCTGCAAAGCACTCACAACTCTTAATGTTTGCTCAGAAATCTTATTCTTGAAGTAAAATCTGGATATTGGCTCTTTTTCCACTCTGCATTTCTGCTATAAGAAAAAAGGATGCTTCATATAGAATGAGATGTGGTAACATACAAGGAAGAGCAACAGAGAAAATCACAATAATATAGTTCAAAAGTATTTTCCCTGTTATGTATGCATAGAAAAATAACCTGAAAAAATATAAACCAAAATGTTAATAGTAGTCTTCTTTGGGTGGTGGTTTTTCAAGTTGTTTTATTCCTTATATCCTCTTGGACTTTTTGTTTTGTTTTGTTTTTGTTTTTGTGGGTTTTTTTGGTTGTTGTTTGTTATTTAAAAATATGATGTCACCCAAGCTGGAACCCCTGGACTCAAGCAGTCCTCCTGTATCAGCCTCCCAAGTAGCTGGGACTATAGACACATACCACTGTGCCCAGCTTTATCTTCTTGTATTTTCTGAATTTTAAAAAGTATATATATATATGTGTGTGTGTGTGTGTGTGTGTGTATAGTTTTGTAAACATATACATATAACTATATATATATATATAGAGAGAGAGAGAGAGAGCTTTGTAAACAGAAAAGCCAGTAAGATAATATCCATTGGCTGAGGTGGAGTCAGGGAGTTTAAGCAGCATGGACCTATACATAGAACTATCTCAAGACTGTGCCCCCAAATTAATTGCCAAATAAGTGACTGAGCTATAACTGTGAGGAATCCTTTTTGAATAACATCTTTTTTCTTCTTTTTAAAAACTGAGATATATTTCATATATGATAAAATTCAGCCTTTAAAATTGTACAACTCAGTGGTTTTTGGTACAGTCACAGAGTTGTACACCACTACCACTATCTAATTTCAAAACATTTTCATTACCCCAAAAAGAGAGCCCATGTCCATTAGCAGTGACTCCCCTTTCTCTCTTCCCTTATCCCCTGGCAATCACTCATCTACTTTAGTTTCTTTGGATTTGCCTATTCTTGACATTTCATGTAAATGGAATCATACAACGTATGGTCTTTCACGTTTGCTTTCTTTCACTTAGCATAATGTTTTCAGGGTTCATTCATGTTGAGTCACATTTTTCTTGATCTCTTCTGAAAATGTTTTCCCTCGGTGCCCCAGTAATACTCATATTGGTCCCTTCACCTTTGCTGTACAGTCTATATGATGCAAAAATAAGTTAGACTACCGTTTTTTCCAAAGTTGCATTGCCTGTTCTATGGATAGGCTCAGTGGAACAGAAATTAATCACAACGAGCCACCAAAAAATTATATTTGGCTTTGGAATACACCATAATACTGGAGGGGAAGTGGGGAAAAAATCAGTGGTAGTGTTAGGCCCAGTGATTTAGGTTCCTTGGAATCTAAGGTTGATATTATTAAAAGCTTATAGGAAACAGTACAAGTGCATGCTAAGGATCATGGTGTACAGACTGGATTCCACATTTTATTATGGATAATAAACTCTCAGGTGGATATTAGCAACATTGGACAAAGAAAATATGTGTATCCTCTTGAATCTTTCTTATTTCATCATATTTGTTAGTACTCTTAGATGTTGGTCATGCAAGTACGGAATGAAGGCCAGGACTAGGATCCCCAATCCTCAAGTTTCTTGTGGTTCTACAGGATAAGAACACAAGGGCCACTCCGTCAGTGGTATATAATCTTTTGGGAGTCATAGACTTGGTCTTTTGACTCTCCGATGAGAGTTATGACCCCTTTTCAGAAAAATATTACTTATAATGTCCAAGGATGTGCAAGCCTCCCAGGCATGCAAGGTATCCACAGTGTCTTAGTCAGCTTGGGCTGCTGTAACAAAATACCATAGATGGGATTGCTTAAACAGCAAAGATTTCTCACAGTCCTAAAGGCTGGGAAGCCCAAGATCAAGGTGCCAGCAGATTTAGTGCTTGAGGGACCTCTTCCTGGTTTGCAGACAGACATCTTCCTGAAGTATCCCAGACGGTGGAGAGAGAAAGAGAGGAGAGCTAGCATAATTGGTAGAGGGATCTTGTGTCTCTTCTTGTATGGGTACTAATCCCATCAGAAGGGCTTCACCTTCATGAACTAATCTAATTCTAATCATCTCCCAAAGCCCCACCTCCAAATACAACCACAATGGGGACTAGGGCTTCAACGTCTGAATTTTGGGAGGACACAAAATTCAGTACACAACACACAGATAGCCCCCAGACTGAGAACTTCTGCTTTAGGAAACTTCCCCTCTTTATCACTCACTAGAGTTTCAACTCCAGGTCACAATTTTGTCTCTTGTTTTGGTAGCTGGATGGGACAACACAGCCTTTGAAAACCTCTTGACCCTATGGAGGAGCCTATATATCCTCCCTTGAATCTTACTCTAGAGGCAGGAGGCACCGCTAGGTGCCTCTTCATTATACACCATCCAGACGAGGTAAAGGGGAAGAAGATACTGAAGAGCAAGGAGGCTGAGAATTTTGACATCATCCCTTTATATGGTTACCATATGTTCTGCATGTACACTTGATTCTGTCTGTGCTCTTCATCAGTGCTTCCATCCCTTGAGAGTAGAGTGAAGTAGGGGAAAGCGTTAGTCCAGTAGTGTGGATTGTAGAAAGGCTCTTGGTAAACAGTGGATGCCACCAACCAGATCCATTAATAAATTGAAGGCAGATTCAAGTTCGACAAGAAGGCAGTGACCCTGGAGGATGGGGGAAACATCTGGAGGACATGAACTTGAACTTAAGCAGCAGATCTTTCTCAATGGACAGCTCAAGTCTTTGAATTCCCTTTGTTGCAGGGTCTGGCAAAATCAAGTTGGTTAATTTTTTTTTTTTAAGAGACTGGGTCTCTGAGTGTGGTGGCATGATCATGGCTCACTGCAGCCTCAACCTCCCAGGCTCAACTGGTCCTCCTGCCTCAGCCTCCCGAGTATCTGGGACTATAGGTGCGTGCCACCATGCTCAGCTAATTAAAAAAAAAATTCATTGTAGAGATGGGGTTCTCACTATGTTGCCCAGGCTGGTCTTGAACTCCTGAACTCAAGTGATCCTTCTACCTAGGTCTCTGAAAGTGCTGGGATTATAGGTGTGAGCCACCACACTTGGCCTCAAGTTTGCTAATCTTTAAAGCATTATATAAGTTAAGCATTTGTTTGTTATTGTTCCAGGGAAGAGACAGGGCATTTTCTCAAATAAAAAGAAGGAGGGATTCTGTTTTCTTAGTGTCTGCTTTGGTTTGTCCTATTTATATGTAGTCCTCTTCTACCTTACCTTAACTTGGCTTCTTGGAGTGGCTGGATGGATTTATCATCCCATCTCCTTGGTAATCAAGTTCAAAGATTCCCTCTTCATTCTAGCTCAGAGAAGAAAATGCAGGACCATGTTATTTGCAGGAGACTCAGGCTGGGACCAAATCACCAACTGACCTTGTCCTGAATATTGAGTTATAGGTGATGCTGTCACAAGACACAGCAGGACAAACAACTTCTAATGAGCTCTGTTGTCCAAAGATGCTATTTTAAATTACAAGATGTTACTATTATTATTATTATTATTATTATTATTGAGACAGGGTCTTGCTTTCTCATCCAGGCTGGAGTGCAGTGGTCTTATCTCAGCTCACTGCAGCCTCAACACCCCGGGGCTCAGGTGATCCTCCCAACTCAGCCTCCCAAGTAGCTGGGACTACAGGTGTGCACCATCACGCCCAGCTAATTTTTGTATTTTTGTAGTGACAGGGCTTCACCATGTTGCCCAAGCTGGTCTCAAACTGCTGGACTCAAGTGATCTGCCCACCTTGGCCTCCCAAAGTGCTGAGATTATAGGCATGAGCCACCACACCAGGCTGAGATATTATTTTTAGTATAAATAAACTTGATAACGCCCATCAATGTAAAATCTCTCTTGACCCTATCCCAAGAGGAGTTGTCAAGGAAAACAGTTATTTACATTTTCCTAAGTTTGGTAATCATTTTTTAGTCCTCATCTTACTTGGCCCATCAGTAGCATCTGACACAGTTTATTACTGTCTTCTTGAAATACTCTTTGCACTTGAGTTTGGGGACATCTTGCTCATCTGGTTTCCTCCTATTTTATGGCTGTTTCTTTTCTAATTCCTTTATAGTTTCTCTTCATCTTCCTGAGTCTAAACACTCAGTAATTTGTTGAAAATTCTGGTAGTCCCTACCCAGATAAATTCTGATTCCATTGATCTGGGTTGTTGCTCAGGCTTTTCTCTCTCTCTCTCTCTTTTTCTTTTTTCTTTTTTTTAAGAAAAAGCTCCTTGGGTGCTTAGATTTTTAAGAGCAGCCAGGATAGAAACTTCTGATCTATCTGTTGACAATATTAAAGTTTATATCTCTACCCTGTACCTCTTCCATAAATGCCAGAATCTTCTATCCAACTGCCAACTTGACATTTCTACTTGAACATCTAATAGCAAGCAGGCTGAGAATTTTGAGAATTGAATAGGCTTCTCAAACTTAACCAAAACCAAATTCCTGATTCCCCCACACCACACCTGCTTCTCCCACAATCCTCCCCCAAAACTTTGGCATCATTGTTGACTCTTCTCTTCTCCATTCTACACTCAAACCATCAGCAAATTTTGTTGGCTGTCTTCAAAATACATCCTGAATCTGACAGTCTTTCAACACCTCCACTGCTGCCAGCCTGGCCCAAGCCACCATTATCTCTCACCCAGATTATTGCAATGGCCTCCTAATCTCTCTGCCTCTGCCCTTACCCTTATGCAGTCTTTATACTAGTCAAAACAAATCACTTTATTTACCTGCTTGACATTCGCCAACTGGCTTCTCCTGTCACTCTGAGAAAAACTCGCAGTCCTTAAAATAGCCCACAGGACCTGTACAATCTGCCTCTCAACACTCACCTCTCTCATCTCCTTCCACACCCTTCCTACTCTGTGCTGCAGTCACGCTGGCTGCTTTGCTCTGTGAACATGCCCGTGATGAGCATGTTCCTATGCCAGGGCCTCACTGCAGTCTCTGAAGCTTCAAGTGGTTAACCTGTCCAAGATCACACAACTAGTCAGTGGCAGAGCTGGGATTGATTCCAACCCACCTCTGATTCTAAATTCAGTGTTTTAATTAGCGTACCATATGGCCTTTCTACTGTAAACAATATTCATTCAGTCATTTACCAATTGCTGTTCCGGGTCCTAAAGGATATAGTAACTGACAAGACAAAGCTCTTAACTTTGTGGAGCTCATATTCTCGTTAGTGGAGGCAAACAATAAATAAATTCAAAACGTGGTACAGTAAGTCTTCACTTAATGTGTCCACGAGTTCTTAGAAACTGCAACTTAAGCAAAATGATATATAACAAAATCAATTTTACTATAGACTAATTGATGTAAACAGGAGTGTACATCAGTTAAGTTCCCATGGCATATTTCTGGTTACAAAAACATCACCAAACTTTCATTTTTTATTTATATAAAAATAAATGTTTACAAAATAGAGATGGTGTCTCACTGTGTTGCCCAGGCTGGTCTCAAACTTCTAGGCTCAAGCGATCCTCCCTCCTCAGCCTCTCAAAGTGCTGCAATTTTAGGCGTGAGCCACCGTGCTCTTCCCAAACTTTTACATAAGGACCAAAACACTTCTGATGTTAAAGATTGAAATAAATGTGAGCTATACATACACTTAAGAAAGAATAAGAACAAGTAAGACATTTACTCAGTTATTCCAGTTCAGGGTTGCTGGTGGCTGGAGTCCATCATGGCAGCTCAGGACACTGGTGGGAACCAGCCTTGGACAGGACCTCATTCTTTCGCAGCAAACACACACACACACACACACACACACACACACACACACACGCTCACTCAGACTGGGACAATTTAAACATATCAATGAACCTAACATGCACATCTTTGGGATGTGAGAGGAAACCAGAGTACCTGGAGAAAACCCACACAGACATGGGGAGAACCTGCAAACTGCATACAATGACCCAGGCTGGGAAACATTTTTTTTTCTCATTCATGTTGCAATGAAATGACATTGAAAGAAATTATTCAAGGACCTGATGTATAACGATGGTGTTACATGCTATGGAGAAAAATAAAGCAAGGCAAGAGAGAAAGAGAGATAAGAAGGGCAGGGCAGGGGGTGCTATTTTATTAATCTGTTGGTAGTCAGGAAGCCCTCACAGTAAGACATTTGAGCAGAGACCTGAGCAGAGAAGAAAGTGCGGGAATAAGCCATTAGGGATAGAGAAGGAGAAAAACTCAAGTTAGAGAAAGCCAAAGGAACGCACATTTTCTGTCAATTTATTTTCAATGTAAGTATTAACATACTGAAATATTTCTTTTTTTCTTTTTTTTTTTTTTAAGAGTGAGCAGCAGCAAGATTTATTGCAAAGAGCGAAAGAACAAAGCTTCTACAGTGTGGAAGGGGACCCAAGTGGGTTGCCCAATATTTCTAAACTATCTTGGCTCACCTGTGTTTTGAATATTTTTGGAAATAGTGTGAACAGATTGCTCTTAGCAAGACATGCTTGTGATTGAACAGCTGGTAGGGACTTACACAAGCATCTGGAGCAAAGTCTCTCTGGCCTACAGCAGCATGTATCAGGTGGCTGAGAATGTGGGCTCTAGAGTTAGACTGCATGCATGAAACGCCCAGCTCGACTATGTGTACTGTTTGTATATCTAGGTTAATTTACGCCCCTATTCTAAGCCCAGTTCCCAAATCTATAACGTGGGGTGATCACAGCAGTTTGATTTTCAACCGTATACATCTATGCTTTGTGTGTTCTGATTGGTCATATCAATTGTTAATTATTTTCAATATCATCCCTTTATATGAGGATTTACTTCATGGGAGTTCATTGTAATAATTAAATGAGGGAAATACTCGTTATATTTATTATTATTATTATATTTATCATTATCATTATAGTCTAAATCAGGAGTCAGTAAATTATGGCCTGTAGGCTAAACCCAAGCCCCCTTCCATCTTCGTAATCTTTGTAGGTAAAGTTTTATTTAGGGACTCAGCTATGCCCATTCATTTATATATTGTCCATGGCTGCTTTCACACTGCAAAGGTAGAGTTCATCAGTGAAGATGAAATGACCCTTTACAGAACAATTTGGTGACTCCTGGCCTAAATGGAGATTGAGCCCTACTTTAGCTTTATCACAACGTAATCTAAACAACTTTGCTTTGTATCAAGATATCGTATTTTCAAATGGTTCCCGGAAAGGAGTTGTACTTTGCCAAACTTTTCAGGACAGTTCGCTAGGGATCTACTTGGAAATGAAGGAATCTTCTTTCCCATTCCAAGATGAGGATGTTGAGGATGGGCATCCCTGATTAGTTCTGAGATTAAATTCTCAGAAATAAAAAGCCACATGTGGCCGTGTGATGTTCATGCATATAGTGAGATGCATTAGTGTGTTTGCTTTCTGTTTTTCCCTTGCCCTCTTGTCTCCCCTTCTGGTGTCAGCTTTTACCTTGCAATGCTGGGTCAAGGCAGGGGATAGAAGAATGCTTCCAGGGAAGGCAGAGGAAAAAGACACATTCTCTGCCACCTTAAGTGAAGGTCAGGGCCATACTTACTCCTCACAGAAACTGGGACCTTCTAAAAAATTATTCAGGCCTTAGTTTAGATTTTGCTTCTTTAGAATGAGTAAGAAAGTTTAAGAATTTTAGTATTTTTAAAAAGAGTTAATTGGTTTTTTAAAAAGTGATCATTGCCTGGGCGCAGTGGCTCACGCCTATAATCCCAGCACTTTGGGAGGCCAAGGCGGGCAGATCATCTGAGGTCAGGAGTTCAAGACCAGCCTGGCCAACATGGTGAAACCCCGTATCTAATAAAAATACAAAAATTAGTTGGGTGTGGTGGCACACACCTGTAATCCCAGCTACCAGGAGGCTGAGGCAGGATAACTGCTTGAACCCGGGAGGCGGAAGTTGTAGTGAGCCGAGATCATGCAACTGTACTCCAGCCTACATGACAGAGTGAGACTCCATTCCAAAAAAGAAAAAAGTGATCATAGCTTCAAGCACTTGAAGAAATCAGGCTGAACCCAAAGGAGATCAGGCAGTGAGGTCATAAAATAGTAGAGACAAAAAAATCCAGCCCTCACTCACCTGAAGTGTTTCCACACGCATGTAGGCTGTGAGGGGTAGAGGAGAGGATTAAAAACAAAACAAAACAACAACAACAAAAAACAAAATACCAAACTAAACCAAATTAAAAAAATCCAAAACATTAAAAATTCACATAATCCTTTCTATTCTTTCTAATTTGATTTGACCCTTTTGGGAGTTTGTGTCTCTGGTAAAGCCGACAGTGTAATTGAGCTCTGGGTAATGGTCGCACTTCCCTTCAGAAACATGTAGCACAGTAAGAGGGAATGGAGTCAATAAACGTGCTTAATTAATCTCAAGAGAACACCTGCTATGCACAAAGCACTGTGATCATCTATTTTATATGGATCCAAAGAGTTTTCAAACATACATGCAAAGTATATCAACTCTATGTTCATAATTCAGCCTTTCAAGTATTATGACTTTGGCTGGGCAAGGTGGTTCACACCTGAAATCCCAGCACTTTGGAAAGGTGAGGTGGGAGGATTGCTTGAGCCCAGGAGTTTGAGACCAGCCTGAGTAACATAATGAGACCTCATCTCTACAAAAAATTTAAACATTAGCTGGGCATGGTGGCACACACCTGTAGTCCCAGCTACTCAGGAGGCCAAGGAGGGAGGATTACTTCAGTTTGGGAAGCAGAGGTGGCTGTGAGCTGAGTTTGTATCATTGCAATCCAGCCTGGTTAACAGAGCAAGACTGTTTAAAAAAAAAAAAAAAAAGACTCGTGACTTCAGTTTTTCAAAAAGAAAACCTTGAGATGTTTCTTAATTAATATTTGGTTTCAGAAGACCAAATGTATTTTATATTTAACCAAAGACTCTTATGCTTAGTATACAAAAATCTTTTTTTTTTTTTTTTTTTGAGACAGAGTCTTGCTCTGTCACCCAGGCTGAAGTGCAGTTGTGTGATCCACTCACTGCAACCTCTGCCTCCCCGGTTCAAGCAATTCTCCTGCCTCAGCCTCCCGAGTAGCTGGGATTACAGGCACCTACCACCACACCCAACTAATTATTGTATGTTTAGTAGAGATGAGGTTTCACCATGTTGGCCAGGCTGGTCTCAAACTCCTGACCTCAAGTGATCCACCCACGTAGGTCTCCCAAAGTGCTGGGATTACAGGTGTGAGCCACCGTGCCCAGCCAGTATATAAAAACCTTGTAAACTTGGTTTTCTAGGAAAGATCCAATTAGAAATCAATTGTTTCTTACAGGACATCAATTGTTTCACAGAAGTTGAGAGAGAGTGGGCTGGGTGCGGTGGCTCATTCCTGTCATCCCAGCACTTTGGGAGGCCAAGGCGGGCAATCCCGAGGTCAGGAGATCGAGACCATCCTGGCTAACGCGGTGAAACCCCATATCTACTAAAAATACAAAAAATTATCTGGGTGTGGTGGCGGGCGCCTGTAGTCCCAGCTACTCGGGAGGCTGAGGCAGGAGAATGGTATGAACCCAGGAGGCGGAGCTTGCAGTGAGCCAAGATCGCGCCACTGCACTCCAGCCTGGGCGACAGTGCAAGACTCCGTCTCAAAAAAAAAAAAAAAAAAAAAAAAAAAAAAAAAAAAAAAAATTGAGAGAGAGAGTGATGTATAGTAAAAACACTCACAGTGGCAGAAGTTGAGTTGTGCCTTTGCCTGATGTACCAGGCCCAGGGTGAGCTAAGCAGCTGAGCCAGGATGAGGCTCAACACAATCTTTGGAAGCCTTTGGCTCTCTCTGTGAAGGCAATGCAAGATGACTACCCAGTCTTAAGGAACCCTGAGTGTGTGTCTCCAGCCAAGAGATGTTTCCTTGTCTCTCATTTTCCCAGGCTTTTCCCTTCCGAAACATGGTTTTCTTTCCTTACCCCAACGTTATCCTTGCTGAGAAAAACCAATTTATCCTGTTGGAAGAAGAAAGGCAGCATAAAACACAGGTGTGTTTTGCAGGGTACGTGTAGAGCAGACTGCCATTGTGCCTATTTTCTAGTTGTGTCACAGGCTCTGTACTTCTTCCCAGCTGCTTCTTGCTTCCTTTGTGATCCCCTAAGTTGAGGCTGGCTCCCAGCAGAATGTGTAACTTCTTACTGTCAAAGCTAGCCCTGGGTACCAGGAAAGGGAGATGGAAGCAAAAATAAATGAAGACGAAGAAGAAGAAGAAGAAGAAGAAGAAGAAGAGGAAGAGGAAGAGGAAGAGGAAGAGGAAGGAAGAAAGAAGAAGAAGAAGAAGAAGAAGGGGAAGGGGAAGGGGAGGGGGAGGGGGAGGGGGAGGGGGAGGGGGAAGGGGAAGGGGAAGAGGAAGAGGAAGAAGAAGAAGAAGAAGAAGAAGAAAAAAACAAACAGTAGCCCTGGAGAGAATGCCTGGTAAAGCCATTCATGCAGAGGTAACAATAATTAGCATTAACCTTTGAGAATATTGCATTTAATCCCAGGAAAACCTTGTTAAAAGGCAAAACTCCAGTACAAACTCTCAGATTTTAGATAGTAGATAGGGAAGTCATCCAAGGGCAGCAGAGCTCCCTCTGCACCATTAAAATAACCATCTACCAAGGCTGCAGTTAATCTCAAATATAAGACTGTATGTGAATATATGAACATAATTTACCATAACTTTAAGAAGAAGGAAAAATCTGTCACCATCTAAACTGGTTTATTCTAGCTTTTTTGAAAGCTAGATATTTAGAGAGTCAAATAGTAAAGCCAAAGGAGATAATCATCTTTTAGCTTTGCAGAAGATTATTTCAGTCCCGTTTGGCTTTCTTCCAAGGATGTCTGAACAGGACACTAAGTTACTGAAAAGCCAGAGTTTTCAATGTTTCATAACTGCAATCAGTCCTATGCATTAATTTTTGGGAAAGACTGAACTATGAAAAGTTTCATATTAGTGCAAGTACTTCTGTGGGTTTTCTTCTTTTTCTTTTTTTTTTTTTTTTTTTGGAGGAGGTGGCAGACTTTGTTTTAGTTAATGTTTTTGTTTTTGTTTTTAAAACTATGGATGGAGGAAAAGAAAATGCTTTGCTGGCACAAGCAAACTTTCCCATAAAACTCTCTTTGGCCATGGACTAAATATAATACACATAGTGCCAAGAGGGGTTTTATGCCTTTCCTCTTTTTCCTCCTGCAAAGAAAAAAATGAGCACAGGATCAAAATAAATCTAGAATGAAAACCATATTTCAATCACATCAGCTGGGCTTCTATCCGGCCTCTTTTTTTGAGATGGAGTCTCGCTCTGTTGCCGAGGCTGGAGTGAACCCGGGAGGCAGAGCTTGCAGTGGCCTGATCTTGGCTTATTGCAACCTCCACCTCCTGGGCTCAAGCGATTCTCCTGCCTCAGCTTCCCAAGTAGCTGGGACCACAGGCACCCGCCACCACACCGGCTAATTTTTGTATTTTTAGTAGAGACAGGGTTTCACCATGTTGGCCAGGCAATCCTGAACTCGCCCGCCTTGGCCTCCCAAAGTCCTGGGATTACAGGTGTGAGCCACTGCCCCCAACCCCCAAATGATGCTTTTTTTACTGACGGTTTTGTAAGAAAGACAGAGGAATATTTTCCAGTCCAGGGCAATTCCTGTATTTCCTTCAGTTGTGTCTCATCTCTCAATTCTTTCAAGCTACAAGCCAAACAAGGCTTTCCCTTTGTTTTCCTTCTTTTGGGCAGCACCTAGACAGGCTGGTTTCTGGCTTCCTCTATTCCAGACAGTCTTGCTCTGTTGCCCAGGCTGGAGTGCAGTAGCGTGATCTCAGCTCACTGCAACCTCAGCCTCCCAGGTTCAAGTGATTCTCCTGCCTCAGCCTCCTGAGTAGCTGGGATTATAGGTTCACGCCACCACGCCAGACAGTCTTGCTCTGTTGCCCAGGCTGGAGTGCAGTGACTTGCCTGCCTTGGCCTTCCAAAGTGCTGGGATTACAGGTGTGAGCCACCGTGCCCAGCTGGCTCTTCCTTTCTTAATGGAGTACAATTCACTTCTCCAAATATGCATACATCTATCACTCCACTTAGCAAAAACAAAAATTTTTGTTATAAGCAATTTTCAGATTTTCTATAGTAAATTCATATTACTTTGAGAATCAGAAAATTATGAATACTCATAGCAGTTCAGTTTGGGGAAATTTTTCTCTAGGCAGCAGAGGTATTGAACGCATGTAATTTGCAAGACCAAGTCCAACTGGTTAAAATTAACCTTAGGGCTAGAAATTCCTCAACCTAAAAGGAATATGCATATCGGGTACAAATTTATCTGATATTTTGAATTATCTGTGCAGTAGTTCCTCTTAGTAAGAACAGAGACTGAAGGATTATTTGTATAGTACATAGCATTGATCAATAATTAGATGAGACAGTTAATTCTGAACTCTCAGAAAATAGTGGCATGAGCAAACATAAGACATAGGTGGTTAGAAACAAATTCCTGCTTGGTTTTATAATTTTTTAGCAGCAGTATAATTGACTTCCTAAAGTCACTCTGAACTGTTGTGGGATGAGGTTGTGCCCCATCCATACCCCAACCCAGGAAACAGGGATGCCCTTTCCATGTGCCAGGCACTGCTGTAGGAGCTAGGGTGCAGCAATAAACAAGGTACACGAAGCCCCTCATTTATAGAGTATATGGGGAAGAGAGAATGAAGCAGAGGAGACATTTTGGAAATACTGTCAGATATATTTCTTTATTCTGTAAATCTTACTGCCATGGGACTTCCCATCCACTGCAGCAGTTGAGTTTCAGAGCCTAAGGAAAATAATAGATACCTGCTTTTTTCCCCCTAAGCCATTACTTGGCCTTTTTTCCTCCAGCAAGAAAATTGTGGTAAAAGCCTTGTGTCATTTAAAAAAAAAAAAAAAGATTTTTCGAAATTACTTTACACATCAATGGCACTGAAGGACTCTTACACCATACTATTTTTTCCATAATGCAAAGAATACTTCTATCCAAAGCTTGCTGCCTTAGAGTAAGGAGTCCAGAGAACACCAATGCCAGTGTCTGGGGAGGTGGGGAGTGGGGTGGGGAAAGAGAGGGGTTGGGAGAATTGTATTTAAGAAGAATGGAGGGTAGAATAAAAAGAGCCCCAGCAGGTGGGACCAAGAGCTCATGGTTGGGACCTGGGGCTCCAGTTGTAACTGTCAGCGTATCAGCCCCAAGAGTCAGATAGGACCAGTTTTCCCTTTCCTATTATCTCCAGTCTAGGAAACTGTCTGGTCTAGTCACTCTACAACCAAGACCAACAAGGAGCCAAAGGACATTGCGGCCGGGTGCGGTGGCTCACGCCTGTAATCCTAGCACTTTGGGAGGCCAAGGCGGGTGGATCGCTTGAGCCCAGGAGTTTGAGACCAGCTTGGGCAATATGACGAAACCCTGTCTGTACTAAAAACACAAAAATTAGCCAGGCATGGTGGTGCACACCTGTGGTTCCAGCTACTTGAGAGGCTGAGACACGAGAATCGCTTGAACCCGGGAGGCAGAGGTTGCAGTGAGCTGAGATCGTATCACTGCACTCCAGCCTGGGCGACAGAGTGAGACTCTGTCTCAAAAAAAAAACCAAACGATAACAAAAACCAAACAAAGGACATCGCATGGATCCCAGTAATGCCTCCGCTGCCATGTGGTCATGCAAGTTATACCCCAGCTCGGCATGCCATTTGTTATCTTAGAAGGGAGCAGGAGGAAGGAGAAGAAATCTGAAATACTGAACATTTTCTCCCCGCAAAACTCAACATTTGCTAAAAGAGCTCTGACTAGAAAAGGTTTGGCCCTGAGAACCCTCCTCCAGGCCGGGCGCGGTGGCTCACGCCTGTAATCCCAGCACTTTGGGAGGCCGAGGCGGGCGGATCATGAGGTCAGGAGATCGAGACCATCCTGGCTAACACAGTGAAACCCTGTCTCTACTAAAAATACAAAAAAATTAGCCGGGCGCGGTGGCAGGCGCCTGTAGTCCCAGCTGCTCGGGAGGCTGAGGCAGGAGAATGGCGTGAACCTGGGAGGCGGAGCTTGCAGTGAGCTGACATCGTGCCACTGCACTCCAGCCTGGGCGACAGAGCAAGACTCCATCTCAAAAAAAAAAAAAAAAAAAAAAAAAAAGAGCCCTCCTCCTTCTGGACCTGAAAGAGTGGGCTTGGTTGTGTCCATTGTGCCCCTAATGTCCTCTCTGTTACCTAGGATATGCCCTTTACTCCCTAATTTCTTCTATATCTGAACCCCAATTCTCAAGCAAAATATTCATTTTCTCTTTGACCTGATTTCAGTTAATAGTCCAAAGGTAAAAGAACGAGCAAATTTAATCTAAAATGTAATGAATTCTGATAAGAATTTTAAAGTTATAGGTACATATAGAGACTGGATAATGGTCAAACCCTAATTGGAACAATACTAAGAATTAGGAGAATGGAAAGAAGTATTAACAGAAATTAAAAGCTAAAAGGACTTCATAACGAAAGTATTCTAAACCTGAATTGTGATGATGGTTTTACAACTGTCTAAATTAACTAAAAATCATCTAATTCTGTGTTGTTCAGTAGTGGTAGCCACTAGCCACATGTGGTTATTTAAATTTATTAAAATTGGCTGGGTGCAGTGTCTCACGCCTGTAATCCCACCACTTTGGGAGGCCGAAGCAGGTGGATTACGAGGCAAGGAGTTCCAGGCCAAGCCTGGCCAACACGGCGAAACCCTGTGTCTACTAAAAATACAAAAATTAGCCGGGTGTGGTGGCAGGCGCCTATAATCCCAGCCACTCGGGAGGCTGATGCAGGAGAATACCTTGAACCCAGGAGGTGGAGGTGGCAGTGAGCCGAGAACGTGCCATTGCACTCCAGCCTGGGAGACAAGAGCGAAACTCTGTCTCAAATTTTTTTTTTTTTTTTTTTACAGGGAATCAAAAAAGAGCCTGAATAGCCGAGGCAATCCTAAGCAAAAAGAACAAAACTGGAAGCATTATGTTACCTGACTTCAAACTATACAACAGGGCTACAGAAACCAAAACAGCATGGTACTGCTACAAAAACAGGCATATAGACCAATGGAACAGAACAGAAAGCGCAGAAATAAGGCCACATACCTATGCCCCTCTGATCTTCAACAAAGTGACAAAAACAAGCAATGGAGAAAAGACTCCCTATTCAATAAATGGTGCTGGGATAACTGGCTGGCCATATGCAGAAAATTGAAGCTAGCCTCCTTCCTTACACCATATACTAAAATCAACTGAAGGTGGATTAAAGACTTAAATGTAGAACCCCAAGGTATAAAAACCCTGGAAGACAACCTAGGCAATACCATCTTGGACAAAGGAATGGGCAAAAATTTCATGACAAAGACACCAAAAGCAATTGCAATGAAAGCAAAAATGGACAAATGGGATCTAATTAAACTTAAGAGCTCCTGCACAGCAAAAGAAACTATTAACATAGTAAACAGACAACCTACAAAATGGGAGAAAATATTTGCAAACTATACATTTGACAAAGGTCTAATATCCAGCTCTTTTTTTTTTTTCTTTTTAGATAGACTCTTGCTCTGTTGCCCAGGTGGGAGTGCAGTGGCAGGATCTTGGCTCACTGCAACCTCTGCCTCCCATGTTCAAGTGATTCTTCTGCCTCAGCTTCCCAAGTAGCTGGGATTACAGGTGCTCACCACCATGCCCAGCTAACTTTTGTATTTTTAGCAGAGACAGGGTTTCACTATGTTGGCCAGGCTGGTCTCCAACTCCTGACCTCAAGTGATCTGCCCACTTCGGCCTCCCAACATGCTGGGATTACAGGTGTGAGCCACTGGACCCAGCCTAATATCCAGCATCTGTAAGCAACTTAAATAAATTTATAAGAGAAAAACAAACCACACCATTAAAAAGTGGGCAAAGGACATGAACAGACACTTTTCAAAAAAAGACATACCTGCAGCCAAAAACGTGAAAAAAAGTTCAATATCACTGATAATTAGAAAAATGCAAATCAAAACCACAATGGGGCAGGGTGTGGTGGCTCCTGCCTGTAATCCCAGCACTTTGGGAGGCTGAGGCAGGTGGATCATTTGAGGTCAGGAGTTTGAGACCAGCCTGGCCAACACGGTAAAACCCCCTCTCTACTAAAAATACAAAAATTAGCCGGACGTGGTGATGCACGCCTGTAGTCCCAGCTACTCGGGAGGCTGAGGTAGGAGAATTGCTTGAACTGGGGAGGCAGAAGTTGTAGTGAGCTGAGATCATGCCATTGCACTCCAGCCTGGGCAATAGAGTCAGACTCCATCTCAAAAGAAACAAACAAATAAAAAAAGAAAACCACATTGGGATACTATCTCACACCAGTCAGAATGGCTATTATTAAAAAGTCAAGAAATAACAGATGCTGGTGAGATTGCAGAGAAAAGGGAACACTTATACACTGTTGGTGGGAGTGTAAATTAGTTCAACCATTGCAGAAAGCAGTATGGTGATTTTTCAAAGAGCTAAAAGCACAACTACCATCCAATCCAGCAATCCCATTAATGGGTACATACCAGAAGAATATAAATCATTCTAAAGACACATGCACATGAATGTGCATTGCGGCACTATTGACAATAGCAAAGATATGGAATCAACCTAAATGTCCATCAGTGACAGTCTGGATAAAGAAAATATGGTCCATAAACACCATGGAATACTATGCAGCCATAGAAAATAATGAGATCATGTCTTTTGTGGGAACATGGATGGATCCGGAGGCTATTAGCTTTAGCAAACTAACACAAGAACAGAAAATCCAATACTGCATGTTCTCACTTATAAGTGGGAGCTAAATGATGAGAACTCATGAACACAAAGGGAACAACAGACTCTGGGGTCTACTTGAGAGTGGAGGGTGAGAGGCAGGAGAGAAGCAGAAAATGTTATTATTGGGCAATGGGCTTAATATCTGGGTGATGAAATAATCTGTAAAACAAGCCCCCATGATACGAGTTCACCTATGTAACAAACCTTCACATATACCCCAAATCTAAAATAAAAGTGAAAAAAAAAAAAAACCATGAAAATACATCGTCAGAGGAGACAAAAGAAAAAAGAATAAACAACAATGAAGCACACCTACAGAATGTAGAAAACAGCCTCAAAAGGGCGAATCTAAGTGTTATTGGCCTTAAAGAGGAGGTAGAGAAAGAGATAGGGGTAGAAAGTTCATTCAAAGCGGTAACTTCCCAAACCTAGAGAAAGATATCAATATCCAAGTACAAAAGGTTATAGAACACCAGTCAGATGTAACCCAAAGCAACTACCTCAAGGCATTTAATGATCAAACTCCCAAAGGTCAAGGATAAAGAAAGAATCCTAAAAGCAGCAAGAGAAAAGAAACAAATAACATACAATGGAGCTTCATTATGTCTGGCAGCAGACTTTTCAGTGAAAACCTTACAGGCCAGGAAAGAGGGGCATGACCTATTTAAAGTGCTGAAGGAAAAAAAACTTTTACCCTATCCAGTGAAAGTATCCTTCAAACATGAGGAGAAATAAAGATTTTCCCAGACAAACAAAAGCTGGGGGATTTTAGCAATACCAGACCTGTCTTGCAAGAAATGATAAATGGAGTACTTCAATCAGAAAGAAAAGGCCATTAATGAGCAATAAATAATCACCTTAAAAGGCCATTAATGAGAAATAAATAATCACCTGAAGGTATAAAACTTACTGGTAACAGTAAGTACACAGAAAAACACAGAATATTATAACATCGTAACTGTATCCTAAGTAGAAAGACTAAATGATGAACCAATCAAAAATAATAACTTCGACAACTTTTTAAGACATAGTCAATACAATAAGATACAAACAGAGACAACGAAATGTTAAAAAGTGGAGAAATGAAGTTAAGGCATAAGGTATTTATTAGTTTTCTTTTTGTTTGTTTATGCAAATAGTTTTAAGTTGTTATCAGGTTAAAATAATGGGTTATAAGATAGTATTTGCACACCTCATGGTAATCTCAAACCACAAAACATACAATGGATACACAAAAAATAAAAAGCAAGAAACTATATCATATCACCAGAGGAAATCACCCTTAAGACAGGAAGGAAAGAAACAAAGAAGAGAAGACCACAACACAACCAGAAAACAAATAACAAAACGGCAGTAGTAAGTCTTTAGTTAGCAATAATAACATTGAATGTAAATGGATGAAACTCTCCAATCAAAAGACATAGATTGGCAGAATGGATGAAAAAAACAAGATCCACTGACCTGTTGCCTACAAAAAAACGCACTTCACCTATAAAGACACACATAGACTGAAAATAAAGGGATGGAAAAAATATTCCATGCCAATGGAAAACTGAAAAAGAGCAGGAGTCACTATACTTATATCAGACAAAATAGATTTCAAGACAAAAGCTATAAGAAGAGACAAAGAAGGTCACCATATAATAATAAAGGGGATGATTCAGCAAGAGGATATAACAATTTTAAATTTATATGCACCCAACACTGGAGCACCCAGATATATAAAGAAAATATTATTAGAGGCCCCAATACAATAATAGCTGGAGGCTTCAACACCCCATTTTAAGCATTGGACAGGTCTTCCAGACAGAAAATCAACAAAGAAACATCAAACTTAACCTGCACTACAGACCAAAAGGACCTGATAGATATTTACAGAACATTTCATCCAAGAGCTGCAAATACACATTCTTTTCATCAGCACCTGGATCATTCTCAAGGATAGAGCATATGTTAGGTCACAAAACAAGTCTTAAAACATTCAAAATATAGAAATAATATCAAGCATCTTCTTTGACCACAATGGAATAAAACAAAAAATTAATACAAGAGGAATTTTGGAAACTATACAAATACATGGAAATTAAACAATATGCTGCTGAATAATCAGTGAGTTAATGAAAAAATTAAGAAGGAAATTGAAAAATTTCTTGAAACAAATGATAATGGAAACACAACATATCAAAAATGATGTGATACAGCAATAGCTATATTCAAGGGAAAGTTTATAGTTATAAATACCTGCATCAAAAAAGAAGAAAAGCTTCAAATAAAACATCTAATGATGCATCTTAAAGAACTAGACAAGCAAGAGCAAACCAAATGCAAAACTAGTATAAGAAGAAAAATAATAAAGATCAGAGCAGAAATCAATGGAATTGAAATTTAAAAAGCAATACAAAAGATCAATGAAACAAGAAGTTGGTTTTTTTAAAAGTTAAACAAAATTGACAAACCTTTAGCCAGTCTAAGAAAACAGAAGATCCAGATAAATAAAATCAGAAATGAGAAAGGAGACATTACAACTGATACTGCAGAAATTCAAAGAATCATTAGTGGCTACTATGAGCAACTATATGCCAATACATTGGAAAATCTAGAAGAAATAGACAGATTTCTAGACACATATAACCTACCACATTTGAACCAGGAAGAAATCCAAAACCTGAACAGACCAATAGAAAGTAATGAGATTGGAGCCATGATAAAAAATCTCTCAGCAAAGAAAAGCCTGGGACCCTGTGGCTTCACAACTGAATTCTACCAAACATTTAAAGAAGAACTAATACCAATTTTACTCAAACTATTCTGAAAAAATAGAGGATGAGGGAATACTTCCAAACTCATTCTATGAGGCCAGTAATACCCTTGTACCAAAACCAAAGACACATCAATAAAAGAAAGCTACAGATCAATATATCTGAAGAATACTGATGCAAAAATCCTCAACAAAATACTAGCAAATTGAATTCAATAATACATTAGAAATATCATTCAGTATGACCCAGTGGGATTTATCCCTGGGATGCTAGGATGGTTCAACTTATGTAAATCAATCAATATGATGCATCATATCAACAGAATGAAGGATAAAAATTATATGATTATTTCAATTGATGCTGAAAAAGCATTTGAGAAAATTCAATATCTCTTTATGATAAAAACCCTCAGGCTAGGCACAGTGTCTCACGCCTGTAATCCCAGCACTTTGGGAGGCTGAGGTAGGTGGATCACCGGACGTCAGGAGTTTGAAACCAGCCTGGCCAACATGGCAAAATCCTGTCTCTACTAAATATACAAAAATTAGCCGGGCGTGGTGGCAGGCACCTGTAATCCCAGCTACTTAGGAGGTTGAGGCAGGAGAACTGCTTGAACTCTGGAGGTGGAGGTTGCAGTGAGCTGAGACCTCGCCACTGCATTCCAGCCTGGGCGACAGAGCAAGACTCCATCTCAAAAACAAACAAACAAACAAACAACAACAAAAAACAAAACGAACAAACAAAAACTTCTCAAAAAACTGGGTATAGAAGGAACGTATCTTAACATAATAAAAGCCATATATGACAGACCAAAAGCTAGTATCATATTGAATGGGGAAAACCTGAAAGCCTTTCCTCTAAGATCTGGAACATGACAAGGATGTTCACCATCACCACTGTTGTTCAGCACAGTACTGGAAGTCCTAGCTAGAGCAATCAGACAAGAGAAAGACATAAAGGGCATCCAAATTGAAAAGGAAGAATTCAGATTATCCTTGTTTGCTGATGATATAATCTTGTATTTGAAAAAACCTAAAGACTGCACAAGAAATTGACTAAAATTGATAAATTCAGTAAAGTTGAAGGATGCAAAATCAACATACAAAATCAGTAGCATTTCTATATGCCAACAGTGAACAATGTGAAAAAGAAAGTAAAAAGTAATCTTATTTACAATAGCCACACACAAAATTAAATACCTAGGAATTAACCAAAGAAGTGAAAGATATCTATAATGAAAACTATAAAACACCGATGAAGGAAATTGAAGAGACCACCATAAAAATGGAAAAATACTCCATGTTCATGGATTGGAAGAACCAATATTGTTAAAATGTCCACACTATCCAAAGCAATCTACAAATTCAGTGCAATCCCTGTCAAAATACCAATGAAATTCTTCACAGAAATAGAAAAAAACAATCCTAAAATTTATATGGAACAACCAAAGACCCAGAATAGTCAAAGCTATCCTAAGCAAAATAATAAAATTGGAGGAATCACACTACCTGACTTCAAATTACACTACATAGCTATAGTAACCAAAACAGCATGATCCTGGCATAAAAACAGAGACATAGACCAATGAAACAGAATAGAGAACCCTGAAATAAATCCATGCACCTATAATGAACTCATTTTCATCAAAGTTGCCAAGAACTTACACTGGGGAAAAGATAGTCTTGTCAATAAATGGTGCTGGGAAAACAGCATATCTGTATGCAAAAGAATGAAACTAGACTCCTATCTCACCATATACACAAATCAAATCAAAATGAATTAAAGACTTAACTCTAAGATCTCAGCCTATGAAACTACTACAAGAAAATATTAGGAAAACTCTCCAGGACATTGGACTGGGCAAAAATTTCTTGAGCAATACCCCACAAGCACAGGAAACCAAAGCAAAAATGGACAAAATGAGATCACATCAACTTAAAAAGCTTCTGCACAGCAAAGAATACAATCAACAAGGTGAATAGACAACCCACACAATGGGAGATAATATTTGCAAACTACCCATCTGACAAATAATTCATAATCAGAATATGTAAGGAGCTTAAACAACTCTACAGGAAAAAAAATCTAATAATCCAATAAAAAATGGGCAGATTATTTGAATAGACATTTCTCAAAAGAAAGCATACAAATGGCAAACAGGCATATGAAAAGGTGCTCAACATTATTGATCACCAGAGAAATGTGAATCAAAACTACAATGAGATATCATCTCATCCTAGTTAAAATGGCTTATATCCAAAAGACAGGCAATAACAAATGCTGGAGAGAATGCGGGAGAAAAGAGAACCCTTGCACAATGTTGGTAGGAATGTAAATTAGTAAAACTACTATACAGAATAGTTTGGAGGTTCCTCAAAAAACTAAAAATTGAGCTACCATATGATCCAGCAATCCCATTGCTGGGTATAGACCTGAAAGAAAGGAAATCAGTATATTGAAGAGATCTCTACACTCCCATGTTTGTTGCAGCACTGTTTACAACAGCTAAGATTTGGAAGCAATCTAAGTGTTCATCAGCAGATGAATGGCTAAAGAAAATGTGGTACTTACATGCAATGGAGTACTATTCAGCCATAAAAAGAATGAGATCCAATCATTTGCAACAACATGGATAGAACTGGAGATTATTATGTTAAGTGAAATAAGCCAGGCACAGAGAGACAAACATCACATGTTCTCACTTATCTGTGGGATCTAAAAATCAAAACAATTGAACTGATGAATACAGAGAGTAGAAGGATGATTACCAGAGGCTGGGATAAATAGTGCAGGGCTGAGGGAGGAGGTGGGAATGGTTAATGGGCGCAAAAAAAGTAAGAAAGAATGAATAAGATCTATTATTTGGTAGCACAATAGGGTTACTATAGTTAATAATAAATTAATTGTATGTTTTAAAATGACTTAAAAATGTAATTGGATTGTTTGTATCTCAAAGATAAATGCTTGAGGGGATGCATACCTCATTCACCAATGATGTGCTTATTTCACATTGCATGCCTTTATCAAAACATTGCATGTACCCCATAAATATATACACTTATTCTGTACCACAAACAATTTTTAAAAAGAATATCAAAATTTTATTTTACCTTCATTAATTCTTTCTCTAACAGTCTTTGTTTTTTAAATGTAGATCTGAATTTCTGACATAACTTTTCTGTTTGCTGGAGAACTTTTTTTTAACAGTTCTTGCAAGATAGGTCTAATAGTGACAGATTGCCTCAGTTTTTATCAGCCTGAAAAAATTTTTATTTACCTTTTACTTTGGAAAGACAATTTCCAAAGTAAAATACCAATGAAATTCAAAATACCAATGAAATTCTTCACAGAAATAGAAAAAACAATCCTAAAATTTATATGGAACAACCAAAGACCCAGAATAGTCAAAGCTATCCTAAGCAAAAATACTGGATACAGAATTCCAGGTTTGTGGGTTTTTTTTTGCCTAACACTTCAAATATTTCACTCCACCCTCTTCTTGCTTGCATGGTTTCTGAAGCGAAGTCCAATGTAATTCTTATTTTCATTCATCATTATTAAGTTTTTTCATCCCTAGCTTCTTTCAAGATTTTCTCTTCTAAAGGCAAATATCAAATAGACTTGTCTGAACAAAAATAATACATTTTTATGTGAGCAACATACAAAGCAAAACAAATACCACAAAGACATAGACAATAGACAAACTAAAAAAATACTTCCAACACACATGGTTAACAAAGGGTTAATATAATAGTCTCGATATATAAAAAGCTCTTATTAATAAACAAGGTAATTGTTTATAAAATAAGAAAAAGAAAAATAGGCAAATAACATGAAAAGGAAACTCACAAAAATTAAAATGGTCAATAAACATATCTAACAAAAAATCTTTGATAACTGAAAATGAAATCAGTTCAAGAAAAAGATACTTTTGTTTTGTTTTATTTTGTTTTGTTTTGTTTTGTTTTTGAGACGGAGTCTCACTCTGTTGCCCAGGCTAGACTGCAGTGGCGCGATCTTGGCTCACTGCAAGCTCCACCTCCCGGGTTCACGCCATTCTCCCGCCTCAGCCCCCGAATAGCTGGGACTACAGGCGCCCGCCACCACGCCTGGCTAGTTTTTTTGTATTTTTAGTAGAGACGGGGTTTCACCGTTTTAGCCAGGATGGTCTCGATCTCCTGACCTCATGATCCTCCCGCTTCGGCCTCCCAAAGTGCTTGGATTACAGGCGTGAGCCACCGCGCCCGGCCCCTCTTTCATTCTCTTTCTATCTCTCTCTTTCTGTCAATTAATGCCCAGGATTCCATAGGAAGATGATGTTCTGTTCGATATCTGTAAGTGGGGATTGACCCAGGTGTGATTCAGCCTAAATGGAAATGGACCACGGGTCTAGTCCATGTCTTAGTTTCTCTTATAGGGAGGAAGGAAATGTTCATTTACTTTCTAAAGCTCTCTCCTGCATGTTTGTCATCCTCCTTCTGGGGAGAACCAAGCTGGTTTGGTGAGGTCCTAGCTTAGAAGTTGATGACCAGGGTGGCCAGGAGCAGAGGGAGGGAGGCAGAATGAAAGTCCAGACACATTTCTGAGAGGATACTCAGGGTTACACCAGGAGAAGTCCCACCTCTCTGTGAAAGGGAGGCAGGGCCCAAAGGTCAAGGGCCAAGTAAATATAGGAAAGGATTTTGGTGGTTCTCAGGATGGGGTAGGTGGATTGTGGAGATGAGGTATTTGAAAGGTGTAAGGAGGGATTGAGTAGAGAGGAGTTAGGGAGTACTTGATATGTGGGTGAATGAGGCTGAAGTACACACTCCTTTGTGGGTGGCAACTAAAAGCGTGAGGTGAGTTGACCTAATTAAAAGCTCAAAGGAGACAACGTGGACTTGTCCAAACCTCCTAGCTGCCAACTTCCCACCTGCAGTCAGAGAACACGGCACGACCTGACGACCAGATTGAAAGTCACACAGAGCTCGATTTTGTAAATAGTTACAGAAAGGATTTATAGCCATGAAAATTTCTCTAGACTTCTTCCTGCTACTGTCCCAGCCATAATGCTCTACATAGAGAGGTGCACTCACGGATTTCCCTATAATCCCTAGAGCATTGCACATCTCACTGAAGTAAGAGAATAGGGTCTGGAGGCAGGGAACCTAAGGATGATTGACACTGACTTCCTAGAACTAAATCAAAAGGAAACCCAACTTTCCACACCCAGGTAACAAAAGAATAGAAGCTACTCCCCTTTGCAATCTCCTGCTTTCTGTGTCACAGATGAGAAACGGAAAGTACCTCTGATTGCTCCCCTCTGGCAACCAGTCAGACTGGTCATGGACCTAGTTTTCATTTGCATAGGGGTGTAAGTTTTTAACTTCACTTCAGCCTCTGATTGGCCCCCTCCCATAGCCAATCAGATGTTTGCATAGAGTGTAATTTTGTAATTTCCCTTCAGCCTCTGATTGTTTGGTGTTCAGACTGGTCGCAGGCCACTCCTACATTTAAATAGGGTGTAAACCAAGTAACCAATGGGAAACCTTTAGAGGGTAAACCCCAGAAAATTCTATAACCAGTGCTCTTGAGCTGCTTGCTTGAGCCTGCCCCCACTCTGTAGAATGTACTTTCATTTCAATAAATCTATGCTTTTGTTGCTTCGTTCTTTTGTTGCTTTGTGTGTTTTGTCCAATTCTTTGTTCAAAACACCAAGAGCCTGGACTACTCTCAGTCAAGACCCTCCACGGGTAACATCGCCATTCCTTCTCATTCAACCATGGAAATCTATCTCATTATTTTTCCTGAAACCAGATTCCCTAAATGTCTGTACCACAAGCTAAAGTCACACTACTCAAACCCCTGGCGTCAGCTTTGACATTCTCTCATTTATTCATTCACTCATTCATTTTTCCTTTCATTGAGCAAACATTATTGAGCCTTACTACATCCATACACTGTTCGAGGGTCTGGGATACCGTGTAGTTAACCAAACAGACTGATAATTGTCTCACAGGACATACTATCAAGCATTCGTCAAATCTTACTGTCTCTGCCACAGATCTGTATGTCTACTCTTTCAACAACAGCACACTGCCTTGATTTCTGTAGCTTAAAAATAACCCTATAAATTAGGGTTATGTAAGGTTTTTTGTTTTGTTTGTTTGTTTTTGAGACAGAGTCTTACTCTGTTGCCCAGGCTGGAGTCCAGTGGCATGATCTCAGCTCACTGCAACCTCTGCCTCCTAGGTTGAAGCGATTCTCCTGCCTCAGCCTCCTGAGTAGCTGGTATTACAGGCGCAAGCCACCACACCAGGCTAATTTTTGTATTTTTAGTAGAGACAGGGTTTCACCATGTTGGCCAGGGTGGTCTTGAACTCCTGACCTCAAATGATCCGCCTACCTTGGCCTCCCAAAGTGCTGGGAATAGAGGTGTGAGCCACTGCGCCTGGCTAATATTAATATTTTAATTTTTGCTTCATATACTGTGGTTATATTAATCCTTTCTTTTCTACTACCATTCCAGTTCAGTAGTCCAGCACACTGGGCCAGAACTTTTCCAGAGGCCTCCTGTCTCCCTGTGTGCATCATCTCCTGCACTGTATCCATCCTATATTTCACCCATTCCTAAAGTGGTAGAGCATCAGAGACATGTAAGATTTACAAATGCAGACAGAGCCTTGGACCCCAGCCTCCAGCCCAAACTTACTGAATAAGAACGGTGGTAGGCCCAAGGAATCTATATATCTTTAAAGTTAGTTCTATGATTCTGATGCACAGTCAGGTTTGAGAACCACTTCTATACGTTAGTGCCAAATACAATTCTGCTCGCTAAAAATTCTTTGAGAAATTCTCATTCTCTACAGAATAAACTAAAACATTAGCCTGGTATTCAGTATTCCAATGTATGTATCCCAACTTTTTTTTTTTTTAACTAAAATTCTAGTTTACCTTCAGTTTGTAACCTTGATAAAAATCACTTAACCCTTTTCCTGTTTGCCCCGAGAATACTTGCCAGCAGTGCTTGTGGCTGCAGCTTTTACTCCGTGATAACTTTGCCACGAAGTATCTTGCTTTTATTATTTTTATGTCGCTGTAGTATATCGACTTTGGAAATGAAAGATATCATTCTATTCATAGCATTCTGTTTTCAAAAGTGGTATTTCCATTTAAAAAATATAGTAATTCTCGATCACTGAAAATGTCAAATCCTAGAAAATGCAGCATTTCTACGCATGATGTTAACATCGTTCTCAAACTGTTGTTGGCTGAAGCTTCATTTGATGAATCTTATTTTTCTGAAACAGATGATTCTGATGATTCAGGCAATTCTGGTGTTAGTTCTGTTTAGAAATAGCTCCAAGAACAGTTTTTATATTTTATTTTCACGTTGAAAAATCAGTCAGATTTGCTTCAGCCTCAGAGCGCGTTTATGTACAATTATATGAACTCTGGCAGTGAGCTGCACTTTTTTTTTTTCTAAATGGGAAAAGGGTTAAATAAGCAAGTACAAAATAAAGGATACAGTCTTTATTAGTTACTCTGTGCTACAAAAACGCTTCTGGAACTAGTTTTTAAACATTTGAAGTCACAATGTATTTACTTGTTTCTCCTAACACCTTTTTGATGGTAATTGTTGTCCTCTACCCTATGTTCTTTTTCTTTCCTATCTCCCTTCCCTTCTGCTTCTTGGTTCTCTTCCAAATCTTTTTCTCATTTAAATAGTCATACTCACACTTGCCAAAGCAAATTAGTTCATTTTCTTTTTGTTAATCACAAAGTAATACATATTTGTTGTAAAGAATTTTGATGACATAGAAGAAAAATACAATAAAAAGTAAAAGTGCTCTCTCCCCTTCTACCCCAAATTCACTCCTTGGAGGCAACCCCTATTCACAGTTTTGATGCAAAGCTCTTAAACATGTCTTACATTTGCACTTTCCGCAGGAATTCTGCACCTCCTCTCAGGATTGGTTCTACCATGCCAACCACATTTGTCTCTGCCGGCTTTTTCTCCCTGTCTTAAACACTCGTGAATCACAACACACCCAGGACAATTCTTGCCCATGACCTTCTTTCTGACCATAGAAAACAGATTGACCAGTTGCACGCTATTATTTTTCCAACTTCATCTCAAAAACAGTATTTTAATTGCCACTAACCTTTCTGCTATCACATACTTTGGGACTCCCTGCTGCACTCAGGACCAGGCATTTCTGAAGTGCCCTTTAACAACCAGCAGAAGAGGTGACTGACTACATGAGATGATTTCCTGAGCTCTAGAAAGATTTTTCATCACTCTTCCTACCAGATATTTCCTCTGCCAGAGGCCAAGATTTGGAATCCCTCCAATTTTTTTTATTGCAGCTTTATTGAAATATAATTCACATACCATAACTTTAAAGTGTATAGTTCAATGGATTTTAGGATATTCACAGATCTGTGCAACCATGAATACAGTCAATTTTAGAACACTTTCATCACCCAAAATAAACCCCATACCCATTAGTAGCCATTCCCTATTTCTCCCCAACTCTCTAAGTCCTATGCAACCACTGATGTACTTTCTCTCTTTATGGATTCATCTATTCTGTATATCTCACATAAGTGGATTCATAAAATATGTGGTCCTTTGTGACTGGCTTCTTTCACTTAGTGCAATTATTATTATTATTATTATTTTTGAGATGGAGTTTCACTCTTGTTGCCCCGGCTGGAGTGCAAAGGCACGATCTCAGCTCACCGCAACCTCTGCCTCCCAGGTTCAAGTGATTTTCCTGCCTCAGCCTCCCAGGTAGCTGGGATTACGGGCATGCACCACTATGCTTGGCTAATTTTGTATTTTAGTAAAGATGGGGTTTCTCCATGTTAGTCAGGCTGGTCTCGAACTCCCGACTTCAGGTGATCCACCCGCCTCAGCCTCCCAAAGTGCTGGGATTACAGGCATGAGCCACTACGTCCAGCCACTTAGTGTAATTTTTAAAAAGTTCAGGCTGGGCGCAGTGGCTCACACTTGTAATCCCAGCACTTTGGGAGGCCGAGGCGGGTGGATCATGAAGTCAGGAGTTCAAGACCAGTGTGGCCAACATGGTGAGACCCCGTCTCTACTAAAAAGATACAAAAAATTAGCCAGGCGTGGTGGCACACACCTGTAATCCCAGCTACTTGGGAGACTGAGGCAGGAGAATTGTTTGAACCTGGGAGGAAGAGGTTGCAGTGAGCCGAGATCACGCCATTGCACTCCAGCCTGGATGACAGGGTGAGACTCTGTCTCAAAAAAAAAAAAAATAATAATAATAATAATTAAAAACTTCATACCTGTCACAGCATGTATCAGTGCTTCATTCTGTTTTATTGCTAAATCATATTCCATTGTAGGAATATACCATATTTTACTCATTTACTCATCAGTTGATGGACATTTGGGTTGTTTCCACTTTTTGCCTATGATGAATAATGCTGTTATGAACTCTCACATAAAAGCTTGTGTATGAACATATGTTTTCATTTCTTTTGGGCAAATACCAAGGAGTGAAATTTCTGGGTCACATGGCAACTCTATATTTAATGCTTTTAGGAACTACTACATTGATTTCCAGCATTGCTGCACCATTTTATAGTCCCACTAGTAGTTTATGAGGGTTTCAATTTTTCTGTATTCTTACCAACACTTGTTATTTTTCATTGTTTTTATAGCCATCCAAGTGGTATCTCATTGTGGTTTTAATTTGCACTTCCCTAATGACACGATGTTGAGCATATTTTCATGTGTTTTTTAGATATTTTTATATGTTTCTTGGAGAAATGTCCATTCAGATCCTTTGACTGTTTCAACTGGGTTATTTTTTTTTATTATTGAATTGTAAGAATTATTTATATATTTTGGATACAGATCCCTTATTAGATATATAATTTGCAATTTTTTTTCATTTTGTGTGTTTTTTCTCACTTTCTTGATGATGTCCTTTGAAGCACAGAACCTTTTTACTTCTGATCACGCCCAATTCATCTATTTTTTCTTTTGTTGCTTGTGATTTTTGTGTTATATGCAAGAAATCGTTGACAAATCCAAGGTTAAGATGAATTATACCTATGCTTTCTTCTAAGAATTTTATAATTCAGTTCTTACATTTAGGTTTTTGATCCATTTTGAGTTAATTTTTGTATACGGTGTTAGGTAGGGATCCAACTTCATTCTTTTGGCTATTCAGTTGTCCTAGGACAATGTGTTGAAGTAACTACTTTTCCTCATTGAATTGTCTTGGTACTCCTTTAACAATTTAAAAAGACAGAGCACCATAAAATCCTATGTTTTCAGTGTTGGAAAAGACCTTGGGAATCTGTATTGATCAGACTTCTTAGGTGCAGACGTCAGAAAACACTGTTTTGTTTCTTTCTTTTTAGAAACAGGGTCTCGCCCTGTCACCCAGGCTAGAGTGCAGTGGTGCAATCATAGCTCATTACAGCCTTGAACTCCTGGGGGTCAAGTGATCCTCCTGCTTCAGCCTCCTGAATAGTTGGACTGAATAGGACTACAGACACACAGCACCAGAGCTAATTATTTTAATTTTTTTTTTAGTAGAGATGAGTTCTTTCTTTGTTGCCTAGGCTGGTCTTGAACCCCTGGCCTCAAGTGATCCTCCTGCCCTGGACTACCAAAGTACTGGGTGATAGGTGTGAGTCACCACGCCCAGCATACTGTAGCTATTTTAATTGGGAAAAAATTTATAAATTGTCGTTGGAACAAAAAAAAGACACAGGCTCAAGTCTAGAGATTCTCAAACTTGGCTACACATTGGAATCACCTGGGAGCTAATGCCCATGGCACACCTCATCTCATAAATCAGATTGTTTGCAACAGAACCCAGGCATCAGTATATTAAATAATCTCCTCAGGTGATTCCAATAAACAGCTAAGATTGAGAATCAGTACTCTAGACTGAGCCCTTAGGAGTAACATCTAGACCCACATTGCTGAACTGGCCCAATGAGGAAGCTGTTCAGCAAGCTGTAGCCACTGCTGACAACCCCAGAAACACTGCCTCTGCAGTCATCTGTGCTAGCAAAGAATGTACCCTCAGTGGCCAGGCTGTTTCCTTAGGTAGCTCTTTCTGAATCAAAGTCTTACATAGGTGCATCTGAATGGTACATCCTATCACATGCCCTCACCCTAATGCTAAAGTAACCTTGGAAAATAGTTTATTTAGATTTTTCAATTGGAAGGTGAGACTCGTAATATGAACTATTAAAATGTGATGAGAATGTTAAAATAAATTTTTTTTGGAGCAAATAAGAAAAGTAGGGTCAATTGGTTGGTTACAAATCTGGATGCGAAGAATTACATATCCTGAGCAGACCAATAACAAGTAGAGAGATTGAAATGGTAACTTAAAAATTACCAACACAAAAAAGTCCAGGACCAGATGGATTCACAGCAGAATTCTACCAGACATTCAAAGAAGAACTGGTACCGATCCTTTTGACACTATTCCAGAATATACAGAAAGAAGGAAGCCTCCTTAATTCATTCTATGAAGCAGCATCACCCTAATACCAAAACCAGGAAATGACATGACCAGAAAAGAACACTGCAGACCGATATCCTTGATGAACATAGATGCTAAAACCCTTAACAAAATACAAGCTCACTGAAACTAACAACATATTAAAAAGATAATCCACCATGATAAAGTGGGCTTCACACCAGGGATGCAAGGATGGTTTAACATACGCAAGTCAATAAATGAGATACACCACATAAACATAATTAAAAACAAAAATCACATGATCATCTCAATAGATGCAGAAAAAGCATTAGACTAAATCCAGCATCCCTTTATGATTAAAACCCTCAGCAAAATCGGCATACAAGGGACATACCTTAATGTAACAAAAGTCATCTATGACAAACCCACAGCCAACATAATACTGAATGGGGAAATGTTGAAAGCATTCCCTCTGAGAATGAGAACAAGACAAGGGTGCCCACTCTCACCACTCCTCTTCAACATAGTACTGGAAGTCCTAGCCAGAGCAGTCAGACAAGAGAAAGAAATAAAGGGCATCCAAATTGGTAAAGAGGAAGTCAAACTTTTCCTGTTTGCTGATGATATGATTGTTTACCTTGAAAACCCTAAGGACTCCTCCAGAAAGCTCCTAGAACTGATAAAAGGATTCAGCAAAGTTTCAGGATACAAAGTTAATGTACACAAATCAGTAGCTCTTTTATACACCAACAGCGACAAAGCGGAGAATCAAATCAAGAACTCAACCCCTTCTACAATAGCTTAAAAAAAAAAAAACAACTTAGGGATATACCTAAAAAGGAGTTGAAAGACCTCTACAAGGAAAACTACAAAACACTGCTGAAAGCAATCACAGATGACACAAACAAATGGAAACACAACCCATGCTCATGGATGAGTAGAATCAATATTGTGCAAATGGCCATACTGCTAAAAGCAATCTACAAATTCAGTGCAATCCCCATCAAAATACCACCATTATTCTTCACACAGTTAGAAAAAACAATTCTAAAATTCATATGAAACCAAAAAAGAGCCCGCATAGCCAAAGCAAGACTAAGAAAAAGAATAAACCTGGAGGCATCACACTACCTGATTTCAAACTATACTATAAGGCAAAAGTCACCAAAACAGTGTGGTACTGGTATAAAAACAGCCACATAGACCAATGGAACAGAATACAGAACCCAGAAATAAACCTAAATGCTTACAGCCAACTGATCTTTGACAAAGCAAACAAAGACATGAAGTGGGAAAAGGACACCCTTTTCAACAAATGGTGCTGGAATAATTGGCTAGCCACGTGTAAGAAAATGAAACCGGATCCTCACCTCTCACCTCATACAAAAATCAGCTCAAGATGGATTAAGGACTTAAACCTAAGACCTGAAACCATAAAAATTCTAGAAGATAACATTGGAAAAATCCTTCTAGCCATTGGCTTAGGCAAGGAATTCATGACCTAGAACCCAACAGCAAATGCAAGAACAACACAGATAAATAAATAGCTGGGACCTAATTAAACTAAAGAGCTTTTGCATGGCAAAAGGAACAAAAAAGCAGAGTAAACAGATGACCCACAGAGTTGGAGAAAATCTTCATAATCTATACATCTGACAAATGTCTAACGTCCAGAATCTACAACAAACTCAAATCAGTAAGAAAAAACAAAAAAATCCCATCAAAAAGTGGGCTAAGGACATGAATAGACAATTCTCAAAAGAAGATACACAAATGGCCAACAAACACAAGAAAAAATGCTCAAAATCACTAATGATCAGGGAAATGCAAATCAAAACCACAATGCAATACCACCTTACACCTGCAAGAATGGCCATAATCAAAAAA
This sequence comes from Homo sapiens, assembly GCF_000001405.40. NCBI lineage: Eukaryota > Metazoa > Chordata > Mammalia > Primates > Hominidae > Homo > Homo sapiens. The sequence continues at coordinate 47,973,217 of NC_000002.12, forward strand.
TTAAAAAAAACAGTAGATGTTGGCATGGATGCAGTGATCAGCGAACACTTACACACTGTTGGTGGGAATGTAAACCAATACAGCCACTATGGAAACAGTGTGGAGATTCCTTAAAGAGCTAAAAGTAAAACTACCACTTGATCCAGCAATCCCACTACTGGATATCTACCCAGAGGAAAATAAATCGTTATTTGAAAAAGACACTTGCACATGCATGGTTATAGCACAATTCACAATTGCACAATTGTGGAACTAACTCAAATGCCCATCAATCAAAGAGTGGATAAAGAAACTGTGTGCATGGCGCTCCGTTCCAAGATGGCTGAATACGAACAGCTCCGGTCTGCAGCTCCCAGTGTGATTGACGCAGAAGATGGGTGATTTCTGCATTTCCAACTGAGGTACCTGGTTCATCTCACTGGGACTGGTTGGACAGTGGGTGCAGCCCATGGAGGGCAAGCCGAGCACGGTGGGTGTCGCCTCACCTGGGAAGCACAAGGGGTCAGGGGATTTCCCTTTCCTAGCCAAGGGAGGCTGTGATAGACTGTACCTGGAAAAACAAGACACATTCGCCCAAATACTGCAATTTTCCCATAGTCTTAGCAACTGGCAGACCAGGAGATTCTCTCATACGCCTGACTTGGCAGGTCCCATGCCCACGGAGCCTTGCTCACTGCTAGCACAGCAGTCTAAGATCAATCTGCAAGGCTGCAGCCTGCTCGGGGGAGGGACACCCACCATTGCTGAGTCTTGAGTAGGGAAACAAAGTGGCTGGGAAGCTTCAACTGGGGCAGAGCCCACCACAGTTCAGCAATGCCTACTGCCTCTATAGACTCCATCTCTGTGGGCAGGGCAGAGCTCAACAAAAGGCAGCAGAAACTTCTGCAGACTTAAAAGTCCCTGTCTGACAGCTCTGAAGAGAGCAGTGGTTCTCCCAGCATGGCATTTGAGCTCTGAGAATGTACAGACTGCCTCCTCAAGTGGGTCCCTGACCACCGTGTAGCCTAACTGGGAGACACCTCCCAGTAGGGGCCAACAGACACCTCATACAGGTGGATGTCCGTCTGGGATGAAGCTTCCAGAGGAAGGATCAGGCAGCAATATTTGCTGTTCTGCAATATTTGCTGTTCTGCAGCCTCCACTGGTGATGCCCAGGCAAACAGGGTCTGGAGTGAACCTCCAGCAAACTCCAACAGATTTGCAGCTAAGGAACCTGACTGTTAGAAGGAAAACTAACAAACAGGAAGGAATAGCATCAACATCAACAAAAAGGACATCCATACGAAAACCTCATCTGTAGGTCACCAACATCAAAGACCAAAGCTAGATAAAACCACAAAGATGGGGAGAAACCATAGCAGAAAAGCTGATAATTCTAAAAACCAGAGCGCCTCTTCTCCTCCAAAGGATTGCAGCTCCTTGCCAGCAATGGAACAAAGCTGGACAGAGAATGACTTTGATGAGTTGACAAAAGTAGGCTTCAGAAGGTCAGTAATAACAAACTTCTCTGAGCTAAAGGAACATGTTCTAACTCATTGCAAGAAAGCTAAAAGCATTGAAAAAAGGTTAGACGAATGGCTAACTAGAATCAACAGTGTAGAAAAGACCTTAAATGACCTGATGGAGCTGAAAACTATGGCACGAGAACTTCGTGACACATGCACAAGCTTCAATAGTCAATTTGATCAAGTGGAAGAAAGGATATCAGTGATTGAAGATAAAATTAATGAAATAAAGTGAGAAGACAAGATTAGAGAAAAAAGAGTAAAAAGAATTGAGCAAAGCCTCCAAGAAATATGGGACTATGTGAAAAGACCAAAACTGCATTTGATTGGTGTACCTGAAAGTGATGGGGAGAATGGAACCAAGTTGGAAAACACTCTTCAGGATATTATCCAGGAGAACTTCTCCAACCTAGCAAGGCAGGCCAACATTCAAATTCAGGAAATACAGGTAACACCACAAAGATACTCCTCGAGAAGAGCAACCCCAAGACACATAATTGTCAGATTCACCAAGGTTGAAATGAAGGAAAAAATGTTAAGGGCAGCCAGAGAGAAAGGTTGGGTTACCCACAAAGGGAAGCCCATCAGACTAACACCAGATCTCTCAGCAGAAACCCTACAAGCCAGAAGAGAGTGCGGGCCAATATACAATGTTCTTAAAGGAAAGAATTTTCAACCCAGAATTTCATATCCAGCCAAACTAAGGTTCATAAGTAAAGGAGAAATAAAATCCTTTACAGACAAGCAAATGCTGAGAGATTTTGTCACCACCAGGCCTGCCTTACAAGAGCTCCTGAAGGAAGCACTAAACATGGAAAGGAACAACTGGTACCAGCCACTGCAAAAACATGCCAAATTGTAAAGACCGTCGATGCTAGGAAGAAACTGCATCAACTAATTAGCAAAATAACCAGCTAACATCATAATGACAGGATCAAATTCACACATAACAATATTGACCTTAAATGTAAATGGGCTAAATGCCCCAATTAAAAGACACAGACTGGCAAATTGGATAAAGAGTCAAGACCCATCAGTGTGCTGTATTCAGGAGACCCATCTCACGTGCAGAGATACACATAGGCTCAAAAGAAAAGAATGGAGGAAGGTCTACCAAGCAAGTGGAAAACACAAAAAAGGAGGGGTTGCAATCCTAGTCTCTGATAAAACAGACTTTAAACCAAACCAACAAAGATCAAAAGAGACAAAGAAGGCCATTACATAACGGTAAAGGGATCAATGCAACAAGAAGAGCTAACTATCCTAAATATATATGCACCCAATACAGGAGCACCCAGATTCATAAAGCAAGTCTTTAGAGACCTACAAAGAGACTTCGACTCCTACACAATAATAATGGGAGACTTTAACACCCCACTGTCAATATTAGACAGATCAATGAGAGAGAAAGTTAACAAGGATATCCAGGACTTGAACTCAGTTCTGCACCAAGCAGACCTAATAGACATCTACAGAACTCTCCACCCCAAATCAACAGAATATACATTCTTCTCAGCACCACATCACACTTATTCTAAAATTTACCACATAATTGGAAGTAAAGCACTCCTCAGCAAATGTAAAATAACAGAAATCACAACAAACTGCCTCTCAGACCACAGTGCAATCAAATTAGTTCTTAGGATTAAAAAACTCACTGAAAACCACACAACTACATGGAAACTGAACAACCTGCTCCTGAATGACTACTGGGTAAATAACGAAATGAAGGCAGAAATAAAGATGTTCTTTGAAACCAATGAGAACAAAGACACAACACACCAGAATCTCTGGGACACATTTAAAGCAGCGTGTAGAGGGAAATTTATCGCACTAAATGCCCACAAGAGAAAGTGTGAAAGATCTAAAATCGGCATCCTAACATCACAATTAAAAGAACTAGAGAAACAAGAGCAAACACATTCAAAAGCTAGCAGAAGGCAAAAAAAAAAAAAAAAAAAAAGAAAAAAAACTAAGATCAGAGCAGAACTGGAGGAGATAGAGATGCCCTTAACATTTTTTCCTTCATTTCATCCTTGGTGAATCTGACAATTATGTGTCTTGGAGTTGCTCTTCTTGAGGAGTATCTTTGTGGTGTTCTCTGTATTTCCTGATTTTGAATGTTGGCCTGTCTGGCTAGGCAGGAAAGAACTGCATCAATTAATGGGCAAAAAATCAGTGAATCCAGGAGCTTGTTTTTTGAAAAGATCAGCAAAATTGATAGACTGCTAGCAAGACTAATAAAGAAGAAAAGAGAGAAGAATCAAATAGATGCAATAAAAAAAATGGTAAAGGGGATATCACCAGCAATCCCACAGAAATACAAACTACCATCAGAGAATAATATAAACATCTCTATGCAAATAAACTAGAAAATCTAGAAGAAATGGATAAATTCCTGGACACATACACCCTCCCAAGACTAAACCAGGAAGAAGTTGAATCTCTGAACAGACCAGTAACAGGCTCTGAACTTGAGGCAATAATTAATAGCCTACCAACCAGAAAAAGTCCAGGACCAGACGGATTCACAGCCGTATTCTACCAGAGGTACAAAAAGGAGCTGGAACCATTCCCTCTGAAACTATTCCAATCAATAGAAAAAGAGGGAATCCTCCTGAACTCATTTTATGAGGCCAGCATCATCCTGATACCAAAGCCTGGCAGAGACACAACAAAAAAAGAGAATTTTAGACGAATATCCCTGATAAACGTCGATGTGAAAATCCTCAGTAAAATACTGGCAAACTGAATCCAGCAGCACATCAAAAACCTTATCCACCACGATCAAGTTGGCTTCATCCCTGGGATGCAAGGCTGGTTCAACATACGCAAATCAATAAAAGTAATCCATCACATAAACAGAACCAATGACAAAAACCACATGATTATCTCAATAGATGCAGAAAAGGCCTCCGACAAAATTCAACAGCCCTTCATACTAAAAACTCTCAATAAACTAGGTATTGATGGAACATATCTCAAAATAATAAGAGCTATTTATGACATACCCACAGCCAATATCATACTGAATGGGCAAAATTTGGAAGCATTCTGTTTGAAAGCCGACACAAGACAAGCATGCCCTCTCTCACCACTCCTATTCAACATAGTGTTGGAAGTTCTGGCCAGGGCAATCAGGCAAGAGAAAGAAAGAAAGGGTATTCAATTAGGAAAAGAGGAAGTCAAATTGTCCCTGTTTGCAGATGACATGATTGTATATTTAGAAAACCCCATCGTCTCAGCCCAATATCTCCTTAAGCTGATAAGCAACTTCAGCAAAGTCTCAGGATACAAAATCAATGTGCAAAAATCACAAGCATTCCTATACACCAATAACAGACAGAGAGCCATATCATGAGTGAACTCCCATTCACAATTGCTTCAAAGAGAATAAAATACCTAGGAATCCAACTTACAAGGGATGTGAAGGACCTCTTCAAAGAGAACTACAAACACCTGCTCAACGAAATAAAAGAGGACACAAACAAATGGAAGAACATTCCATGCTCATGGATAGGAAGAATCAATATTGTGAAAATGGCCATACTGCCCAAGGTAATTTATAGATTCAATGCCATCCCCATCAAGCTACAAATGACTTCTTTCCAGAATTGGAAAAAACTACTTTAAAGTTCATATGGAACCAAAAAAGAGCCCACATAGCCAAGACAATCCTAAGCCAAAAGAACAAAGCTGGAGGCATCATGCTACCTGACTTCAAACTATATTACAAGGCCACAGTAACCAAAACGGCATGGTACTGGTATGTAAAACAGAGACATAGACCAATGGAACAGAACAGTGGCCTCAGAAATAATACCACCCATCTACAAACATCTGATCTTTGACAAACCTGACTGAAACAAGAAATGGGGAAAGAATTCCCTATTTAATAAATGGTGCTGGCAAAACTGGCTAACCATATGTAGAAAGCTGAAACTGGATCCCTTCTTAACACGTTATGCAAAAATTAATTCAAGATGGATTAAAGACTTAAATATTAGACCTAAAACCATAAAAACCTTAGAAGAAAACCTAGGCAACACCATTCAGGACATAGGCATGTGCAAAGACTTCATGACTGAAACACCAAAAGAAATGGCAACAAAAGCCAACATTGACAAATGGGATCTAATTAAACTAAAGAGCTTCTGCACGGCAAAAGAATCTATCATCAGAGTGAACAGGCAACCTACAGAATGGGAGAAAATTTTTTCAATCTACCCATCTGACAAAGGGCTAATATCCAGAATCTACAAAGAACTTAAATTTACAAGAACAAAACAAACAATCCCATCAAAAAGTGGGCAAAGGATATGAACAGACACTTCTCAAAAGAAGACATTTATGCAGCCAACAGACACATGAAAAAATGCTCATCATCACTGGTCATTGGAGAAATGAAAATCAAAACCACTATGAAATACCACCTCATGCCAGTTAGAGTGGCAATCATTAAAAAGTCAGGAAACAACAGATGCTGGAGAGGATGTGGAGAAACAGAAACCCTTTTCCACTGTTGGTGGGAGTGTAAATTAGTTCAACCATTGTGGAAGACAGTGTGGTGATTCCTCAAGGATCTAGAACCAGAAATACCACTTGACCCAGCAATCCCATTACTGGGTATATACTCAAAAGATTATAAATCATGCTACTATATAGACACCTGCACACGTAGGTTTATCGCAGCACTATTCACAATAGCAAAGACTTGGAACTAACCCAAATGTCCATCAATTGTAGACTGGATTAAGAAAATGTGGCACATATACACCATGGAATACTATGCAGACATAAAAAAGGATTAGTTCATGTCCTTTGCAGGGACATGGATGAAGCTGGAAACCATCATTCTCAGCAAACTATCACAAGTACAGAAAACCAAACACTTCGTGTTCTCACTCATAGGTGGGAACTGAGCAATAAGAACTCTTGGACACAGGGTGGGGAACATCACAACCAGGGCCTTTCAGGGGTTGCGGGACTGGGGAACGGATAGCATTAGGAGAAATACCTAACGTAAACGATGAGTTGATTGGTGCAGCAAACCAACATGGCACATGCATACCTATGTAACAAACCTGCACATTGTGCACATGTACCCTAGAACTTAAAATGTAATAATAATAAAAAAGAAACTGTGGTATGTGTGTATATATATATATATATATATGTATATATATGTATATATGTATATATATGTATATATATGTATATATGTATATATATGTATATATATACACACACACACATATGTGTGTATATATATATATGAAGGAATACTACTAACCCATAAAAAGGGATCATTTACAGCATTTGCAGTGACCTGGATGAGATTGGAGACTATTATTGGAAGCAAAGTAACTCAGGAATGGAAAACCAAACATTGTATGTTATTACTGATATGTGGGAGTTAAGCTATGAGGACACAAATGCATAAGAATGATACAATGGACTTTGGGGACTTGGGGGGAAGTGTAGGAGGGCGGTGAGGAATAAAAGACTACAAATATGGTGCAGTGTATACTGCTTGGGTGATGGGTGCACCAAAATCTCACAAATCACCACTAAAGAATTTACTCATGTAACCAAATGCCACCTGTACCCCAATAACTTATGGAAAAATAAAATAAAAATAAAAATAAAGAAAAAATAAAACCTGGATGTACATCAGAGTCACCTGGAAAAATTTGCAGTAATAAAGATTCCCAGGCCACACCTCTGGAGAAGTTGATTCAGTAGGTGTGGGTGGGTTCTGGATTCTGTAAGATTTGGAAATTTTGGGAGTCCAATCTTCCACTTTGAATATCTATTTCCCCAATCAGAAGTCTTTCACTTCTAATCAGGGATAAAGCTTTCTGTTTACATATTTACAGAGAAGCAACAGAGTGACAGATTCATACTAAAGCATAAATGACCAGGATCTTAAATACAAGAATGGTGCACAGAAGGATGGCAGGAAATGGGGTCTAGATTGGTGAATGTCAGGAATATGGTATTTCTTGATCTTCTAGGATGGCCATTATTCATTCACCCTTAGAAGAACTATACAGTTTGAAAAATCATTTTCAATATTTGAAAACATTTATTTGCAAATAAAAACAATCCTTTTTTCTTTTTCTTTCTTTCTTTCTTTTTTTTTTTTGAGATGGAGTCTCACTTTGTCACCCAGGCTGGAGTGCAGTGGAGCAATCTTGGCTCAGTGCAACCTGCACCTCCCGGGTTCAAGCAATTCTCATGCCTTAGCCTCCCGAGTAGCTGGATTGCAGGTGTACGCCACCACACTCAGCTAATTTTTGTGTTTCTTCGTAGAGATGGGGCTTTGCCATGGTGTTCAGGCTGCTCTCGAACTCCTGACCTCAGGTGATCTGACCGCCTCGGCCTCCCAAAGTGCTGAGATTACAGGTGTGAGCCACCGCACCCGGCCTCCCTTATTATTTTCATAATAAAACAACTGCAAATAAAGCTAGATAGAATCAGCCGGTGGGGGATGCAGAAGGTAGTGATTCTTGTTGTTGTTGTTGTTGTTGTTGTTTTTCAGTGAGAGTCTTGCTCTGTTGCCCAGGCTAGAGCGCAGTGGCAGGATCTTGGCTCACTGTAACCTCTGCCTCCCAGGTTCAAGTGATTCTCAGGCTTCAGCCTCCCGAGTAGCTGGAATTACAGGTGCCTGCCATCATGCCCACCTAATGTTTGTATTTTTAGTAGAGATGGGGTTTCACTGTGTTGGCCACGCTGGTCTTGAACTCCTGACCTCAAGTGATCCACCTGCCTCAGCCTCCCAAAGTGCTGGGATAACAGGTGTGAGCCACTGAACTCGGCTAGAAGGTAGTGATTTCTAAGCTGAGTGTGTGTAGAGGCCATCAGAATCTCTGTGGGAGTATGTGTATGAGATTTTTATATTTATCTGAATAAGGCGTGTGTTCAAAAAGTTCAGTAACATTGCCCTAAACCAACTAGTTCTTCCTTTCTGGGGAAGAGGTGTGAATTCAAAGCAAAGCAGGAGGAGGTGAGTTCTCTGATGGCCGCAGATTCCAGCAGCTGCCCCTGGTGCATGGCAAATGAAGTGCTTTCTCCAAAAGATTGTAATTTTAAAGCACTCCCTGGAGTCTTCAACATAAAACTTTAAAAAAATTATTGGAGCCACCCGGCTGTAGCTCAGGTGATCGTCGCCTCTTATTTAATGGGCTGTATGTTCACCGTGTCCTAGGTCAGGCCTACTTCAAATCACACCTTCCGGGAAAGCTCATTGCTTTTTATCAACAGCTCGATTTACGACCAGCAAAAATCCATAGCCCTCTGTGACCCTTCTAAAAAGCTTGCCTTTCACATCGTGTCCTCTTCAGAGGGAATAAAACACTCTAATTTCTTATATCAGTGCATTGGCTAGAAACACTACTTTCACCAGTGGTTTATTTGAGAGAGACTTGTGCTGAGGGTGAGAGGCCTCAGAGATAGGGCTGATCTCACAATGCACTGAGATCAATATGTAAGAACCTGTTCTCTGTGGAGAAAACAGAAACAGGAATTTGTACACAATCACAAAGGCAGCTTAGGCTGGCAGACAGTGTGTTCTGAACCTTACTGGTTCTCATAACCTCTCTCCATATGTTTTCATAACCTCAGGACTGTTATGTCATGAGGGTGAAGGTCGGGGAGGAAAGATTGGCCCCCAAAAAAGTCAGTTAGGTACTTAATTTGTTGGAAAAAAATTCCTACCAGTATGATAAATCATTGCTAACACTTATTAATCCAATTGAATCTTTTAAGAATGAAAGATGGAGTCACCTATGGTGTGGTGTTTCCTCTGTGTTTGTCTAACTATATGTCAGGCAGCTGGCAGGAAATCATGATGGAAAGGAATCCAAATAAAACAGAATCTTCTCTATCCCTCTCTCAATCTCCTTTATCACTAGTAAAGTCAAATTATACCTAAAAATCAAGTGTTAGAGAATTAAAGTGCGGAAAGACTTTATTTTACATAGCCAAAAAGAGGAGCAGTGATGAATTAACTTTAGTTGCTCGGGATTAAATAGAGAATTTGAATGAATACCTCCTAAAGCTGGAAGTGCAGTATTTAATTGGAAAGCCAGCTTACTACCGCAGTAGGATGAAGAGAGGGAGCGGGTGTGGCTGGCTGCGTCCTCTCAAGTGTTGCTCTGACAGCCAGGAGGCACAGGCTCATAGTGGTAGGTTCCTGTCCCCTCAGAAATGGGGGAAGGGGCTTGGCATGGCATCTCATGTCTGTAATCCCAGCACTTTGGGAGGTCGAGGAGGAAGGATTGCTTGAGGCCAGGAGTTTGAGACTAGCCTGGGGCAACATAGCAAGACTGTGTCTCTATCCTCCAAAAAAAAAAAAAGAAAAAAAAAAAAGGAAAAGGAAGCTGCTACCTCTGGAAATACTGAAATGGTGGTAGAGCACCTCTCAGGTATAGAAATGCAAACATAGCATTATAGGAGATCCTGTAAAATGTCAGGAAGGATTGATTGGCAAAGACTGAAATAAACGCCAACGCTTATGTTGGGAAGGAAGAATGCAGTGACAGACATTTTCATATAGTGCTAGTGGGAGTAAAGATTGCTGTCATCTTTCTGGAGGGCACTTAAACAGTTTTATCAAAACTTTGTGCATTTCCTTTGATTCAGAAATTTCATTTCTAGGAATTTCTTGAACAAATAAAGATGTATGTCCAAGGATGTTCATCCCAGTATTTTTACAGTAGGAAACTAACTATGGAAAGAATTGTTAAGTTAGTTATAGTGCATTCATACACAGGCATAGTACACAACCATTATAAATGATATCTGGAAAGACGTACAGAAAAATGTTATCAGACATTTTCTTCTATGTAGAAAAATTCCAGGATTTTTTAAATAAGAGGAAAAGAAAGAAATTCAGGAGAACTCCTTACCCTTCAATAACTGCAAAATAAAGCTATTTCCCTTCTTTAATATTAGGGCTACACCGTGAGGCACGTATGCTAAGGATTAAGAAAGCTATTTGCTATAGTTTTCCCATTTAGAGGGGAAGCCTCGAGTAATTAATTCTCAACTCTTGGAGTCAAGAGACCATTAGAGAGTTCTGCTAAGGGAAAACTTTCTAGCGATTATGCGTTTAACAAAGCCTTAGAGTGCTTTGCTAACAGTGAATATATTAAGGTTATTTATAGAATAAATGTACATGCAATGAATGAACGAATGCAGTGAATGCTTTGTAGGGATAGAAGGGACAAGAGAAACCATCAAAACTCTCATTCTACAAATGAGATACTCAGAGTGGGCAACTAGAGACTTGCACAGGTGCACACAGCTAGTAGGTGGCAGTGACAGAACTAGAGTCCAGGGCCCCTGACCCTTAGCACTTAACACTGCTAAGATCTGTTGTGACTTCACAGAATCAAGAAGGAGCTGTGGTGTGTCAGATCCCTTCTGTCTCCAGGCCAAGTCCAGTAAGGGCCACTTGGATGCAATCACTAGCTGTTGGCAGGACACTGTTTAAGGCTGTGGTTTAACTGAGGGCTGCTGATAACCACAGTATTTCATACATGGATGATTCCCAGTAAACACTGGTGGTAATAGTGGTGAGAATGCTGTTTCTTCTGCCCTGGGAAGAGACACACTGAATATCTCCTACACATCATCCAAGTCACCTGTGACTGCAGCCACTGAAAGCAGTCAGGGTGGGCTGAGGTTTGCAGTTGGGGAAGTCCAGTAACCTCTTTCCTCTTGAAGGACACACCCCTAGCAAAGTCCTGGAGAATGTGGTTTTCGACTGTTTTAATATTCCTTCCCATGATTCCCCTTTTCTATCTGTTACATTTCCTTCTCCCTACCTCTTTCTTCCCATGTTTTCCAAAAGCCTCCCAGCATGTATATCAAAGGACTATAAATGGCATCAAATAAATCTATGGTTCTTAAACCATATTAAAAAGTGTTTTAGTATGGAAAATTTCAAATATACACAAAAGTAGAAATCATGCCTATGTCCATATTACTTACTCTCATCAATTGCCCAAAATTTGCCAAACTTGTTTCAACTATTCCCCCTTTGAACTCTTCCTTTTGAGTATTTTAAAACACATTCTAGACATCATTGAATCTCTGAGAAGGAATTTTTTAAAAACACAATCTCTTAACACAAACAACTTAACAAATTAACAATAGTTCCTTAATATCATCTAACATTCAATTCACGTTCAAGTTTCTCCAGCCACCTCAGAAATGTATTTTTATAATTGCTTTGACTCAGAAACAAAACAAGGTGTAGGTCTATTGTACTTGGTTGATATATTTCTCAAGTTTTTTTAAAAAATCTATCAATCATGAACTTACCTATTTTATTGAGTAAAATTTACATAACATAAAATTAGCCTATTTATTTATTTATTTTTCAGACAAAGTTTTGCTCTTGTTGCCCAGGCTGGAGTGCAGTGGTGCAACCTTAGCTCACTGGAACTTCCGCCTCCTGGGTTCAAGTGATTCTTCCACCTCAGCCTCCAGAGTAGCTGGGACTACAGGCATGAGCTGCCACACCTGGCTAATTTTATATTTTTAGTAGATACGGGGTTTCACCATGTTGATCTGGCTGGTCTTGAACTCCTGACATCAAGTGATCCACCCACCTTGGCCTCCCAAAATGCTGGGATACAGGTGTGAGCCACCACACCCAGCCAAAATTAGCCATTTTAAAGAGAAGATTTCGGGCATTTAGTGTAGCCACAAAGTTGTGCAAATACCACTTCTTTCTAGTTCCAAAACATTTTCCTCATATCAAAAGGAAACCCAAAACCCTATTTGTTAAGCAGTTGCTTTTCATTCTCCCCTCCCACCAGCTCCTGGCAACTATCAATCTGCCTTATGTTTCTATGGATTTACCTATTCTGAATATTTCATAAAATAGAATTATAAAATACGTGTCTTTTTGTCTGGCTTTTTTCCCTTAGCATGCTTTTGAGTTTCATCAATATTGTAGCATGTATCAGTACTTCATTCCTTTTTATGGCTGAATATTTCATTGTGTATATATACCACACTTAATACATTCATTTGTTGATGGATGTATTAGTCCATTCTCACACTGCTATAAGGGTTGTACCCAAGAAGAGGTAATTTATAAAGCAAAGAGGTTTAATTGACTCACAGTTCTGCATGGCTGGGGAGTCCACAGGAAACTTACAATTATGGCAGAAGGGGAAGCAAACACGCTCTTCTTCACATGGCAGCAGAGAGAAGAAGAATGGGCGCCCAGGGAAGGGGGGAAGCCCCTTATAAAACCATCAGATCTCGTGAGAACTCACTCACAATCAGCAGAACGGGATGGGGGAAACCGCCCCCATGATTCAATTATCTCCACCTGGTCCTTGTCAATTATGGGAACTGCAATTCCAGCGGAGATTTGAGTGGGGACACAGTCAAACCATATCAACGGACATTTCGGCTGTTTCCATCTTTTGGCTATGGTGAATAGTGCTGCTATAACATGCATATACTTGTATTTGTTTGAATACCAGTTTTCAATTCTTTTGGTTATATACCCAGAAGTGGAATTGCTGGGTCATATGGTAACCTTGTTTAGCTGTTTGAGGAGCCACCAAACTGTTTTCCACAGAGATGGCACCATTTTACATTCCCATCAGCAACGTGTGAGGGTCCCAAATGTCTCCACATCCTTGCCGCACTTGTTATTTTCTGTATTTTTGAGCAGAGCCATCATACTGTGTGGAGTGGTGTGAAGTGGTACCTCCTTGTGGTTTTGATGTGCATTTCCCTAGTGACTAATGATGTTGAGCATCTTTCATGTGCTACTTGGCCATTTATATATCTTATTTGGAGAAATGTCTATTCAAGTCCTTTGTCCATTTCTAAATTGGGGTTTTTGTTGTTGTTGTTGTTGTCTTTTAAAATCTAATAGTTCTCCTGTTCTGTCTCCTTTTTTATGCTATTTATTTACTGAATGAACCAGGTCATTTGTCCTGCAGAATTTCCCTCATTCTCCACTTGGCTGTTTACTCATGGTAAATTATTTGTGGTGTAATTTAACTCGTTTCTCTATCCTCTTACTTCCTGTAAACAGATAATTTAGAAGTAGAGGCTTGATTAGATTTGTTTGTTATTGTTTTACGGGGGTACTTCACAGATGGTAAAGGTCCATGCCATTTCTAGTGCATTACACTGAGAGGCACATGATACCTAGCTGTCCACTTTTTAATTATCCCCAGTGTATGCTGAGGAACCCTAAGGTTCTGCAGGGTTGCTTAAGGGACACTGAAAACGTTTAATTCAAATTTTGTTTTAAAAACACACAATTGACTATTGTTTTCTGGACTTCCTTAGGTTGGAGAGGAAGCCAAGTAGGTGAGCCGTTGCCCTCCATCCTCCTTCAGAGTTGCTCTGCATTTGTGTATTTGGGTTCTAGGTAAGATTTCATCAGAAAAAGTATTATACTAATTTTTAAAAATATAAAATAAAATGAACAGTATAATAAAATACACCTCTTAGCTGATTATGTTACTCCATCATAACTGGAGACTTTCGAAGTCAGCAAGACCTTAAGACTCAAAGAGAAAAAAGTTATTTAATGAAGCAATAGGTACACTTAATGGGAGACAGGGTGGAATCTTTTTGGTGTCCCTGAAATCATACAATAAGGGAATCATCATAGTCTCCCCAGATCATACTCCCCAGATTGCCTCCCATTCATATCATATGTTCCTGCCTCATTAAATGAAAGTGGACTTTTAATAAAAGCAATCCACATTTTACAGTACAGCCCAAAGTTTTATGAGAGAACCACAATAAAAAATGGAAGGTGATGTGGTAAGAATAGCTGAGAACCTGGCAATTGCCTCTGGTGTAGTACATAGTTGCCCTTCAGATGCCTTTTGCTGGAAAGATCTCTAATTCTGGTCACAAGAAAAGATCCTCTATCTTTCTGACACAGAATATACACACTTTTTGTAATATCTTAAATCAATACCTGATAGTCCACTAGGCCTCTTTCCTTGGCATTCTATTAAAATTGAGCTCCTCTCTGTAACTGAATGTTGAACACATCAAGGTGATGGATAGTTCATCAGTCCCTGTTCCCAGGATTCTGGAGGCAAAGTCTCTAGCCTTCTTGTGGCAAGAAGGAGATTTATGAATCTTTGCCTCAATTCCAGTTTAATCCTCAAGTATCTGCTTTTAAATTGTCGAAGACCTGTAAAGTCTGCCCTTCATGAAAACAGGAACAGCAGGATGGACACAGAACTGGATCACATTGTAAGGAGACAGAATGATCACTGAATCCCCGTATTTCTTCTGGGATGAGAAGACTTCGGTTCTAATTATCCTATTCGTCTGCTCTGTAGTATTGTTTCTGGACTAGAAGATTTTGCCAGTAGAAGGAACACTTTAGCCATGGTCATTGCTTATTCATTGAATACAGTCATACGCCATGCAATGATATTTTGGTCAACGATGGACCCCATATACGAGGATGGTCCCATAGGATTATAATTGAGCTGATAACTTCTTATCATCTAGCAACATTGTAGCCACTGTAACACGTAGTGCAACACATTACTCATGTGTTTGTGATGATGCTGGCATAAACAAACGTACTGCCCTGCCAGCTGTATAAAAGTATAGCACATACAATTCTGTACAGTACATAATACTTGATAATGATAATTAACTAAGTTACTGGTTTATATATTTACTATACTATATATTTTTTACTATTAGAGTATACTCCTATTTTTTTTTTTAAAGTTAGCTGTAAAACAGCCTCAGGCAAGTTCTTCAGGAGACGTTCTAGAAGAAGGCATTGTTATCATAGGAGATGACAGCTCCATGTGTGTTATTGCCCCTGAAGACCTTCCAGGGAGACAAGATGTGAAGGTGAAAGACAGTGAAATTGCTGATCCTAACCCTGTGTAGGCCTAGACTAATACATGTTGCTTGTGTCTTAGTTTTTTTTTTTTTTTTTAACAAAATTTAAAAAGTAAAAAATAAAAATAAAAAAATTAAAAATTAGAACAAAGGTTATAAAATAAGGATATAAAGAAAGAAAATATTTTTGTACAGCTGTATATGTGTGTTTTGAGCTAAATGTTATTGCAAAAAAGAGAGTTTTTTTTTTTAAGTTTCTAAGGTAAAAATGTTACAGTAAGCTAAGGTTAATTTATTACTGAAAAAAATTAAAAATCAATTTAGTGTAGCCTAAATGTACCATGTTTATAAAGTCTACAGTAGTGTACAGTATGTCCTAGGCCTTCCCATTCACTCACCTCTCACTCACTAACTGAACTCACCCAGAGCAACTTCCAGCCTGCAAGCTCCATTCGTGTTAAGTGCCCTATACAGGTGTGCCATTTTAAAAAGCTTTTTATAAAGAATTATTACTATACCTTTTCTATGTTTAGATACAAGATATTTACCATTGTGTTACAGTTGCCTATAGTATTCAGTACAGTAATATGCTGTACAGGTTTGTAGCCTAGGAGCAATGGCTATATCATACCCTCCAGGTGTGTCTTCACTCAGACATGATCAAGTCCCCACTCTACCCCTTGGTCAGTGTCTGATTTTAGACCAACCACTTACTCTCTCTGTGCTTAAGTTCTTATCGTTATAATGGCAGCAGCTGCCTCATAGATTTGTGAAGAATAAAAAAGTTACCCCACACCTACTGTTCATAGCAGCGATGAATACATTGTAAGTACACTTTAAATGGTACACATTCATATATTGGAAACCTGTTAATAATAGAAAAAACTTCAGCTAATATTTCTAAGTGTGAAACTAATGGTCAGTGAAGAATACTGGATTTTAGTTGACATTTTAACTGTAGCACAGGCCTCACGTTCCCCTGCGGGTCCTCTGGCTCTGATGATAAATATCGGTCTGTGGGAACTGACAGAATGGCTGCCAAAGATCTGGCAATAGGAAGGATCTTCTTATCACAGGCTGTGCTTCAAATCCTGGGGAATTTCTGTTTTCTTTACCGTTATCTCTTCCTTTACTTCACTGGGCTCAGGTTAAGGTCTACAGAGTTGATTATCAAGCACCTGATTGTAGTCAACTCCTTATTCTTCCTCTCTGGAAGAGTTTGGCAGATAATAGCAGTTTTGGGGTGGAAACCTTCCCTGAGTGATTTCAGATGCAAACTTCTTTTCTATGTTCACAGAGTGGCCGGGGGTGTTTCCACTGGCACCACCTGCTTCTGAGTGTCTTCCAAGGAATCACTATCAGTCCCAGGAACTCCAGGTGGGCAGAGCTGAAAGTAAAAGCTCCTAAGTACATTGGTTCCTCCATATTCCTGTGGTGGATCCTCTAAATTGTGGTAAACATCTTTTTTCCTATGTACGTGACTGGCAAATTGAGTAACAAAAACATCACAAAGACAAAAGATTTAGGATACTACTCTCCTGTTCATCCTGACAAAAGCAGAGAGTCACTCCGTGCCACATTGCTACTGTTCCCAGATGTTTTATGTTTGGGGATCGTGCCAGTGGCATCATGGCTTTCATTCTTTACAGGAACAAGCAGCAAGTCCAATACATACATAGGACCAATATCCGCCCCCAGATTCTTCCCTGAGTCCAGAGCTACCAAAACCATCCTCCTTCTGGTGAGTACTTTTTTTTTCAATCAACTTTATGCCTGCTTCTTCAACTTTCAAGTTTGTTTAGCTCTTTTTAATACTCCTGGTTGGCTGATGGTGCACATTTGTGTAACAACCAAGTCAAGTTTCCCAAATGTCAGCCCTTTGTTCTTAGGAGCAGAGACTCCAATGTATTCAAGCTTTGCTTTTTCTGGGTAAGTAATACAAAACTCCCTAATCTCAGAAATGTGTGAATTATATGTGTATGTACAATCTAAGTCTGTATAGGTACAATCTATGATGTTCTCACAATGATGACACCTAACAATCCATTGCTGAGAATGTATCCCCAACATTAGGTGACATATGATTGAAGTTCTATTATCATTGCTGACATCATCATCATCATCATCGTCATCATCATCATCACCATCATCATCAATACGCCTGTATTCCAACATAATGTTGGAAGAGAGGACAACTAATGCCTCTCTTAACCTTCTGTAACTCAGAAGAAAAGGGCTCAGAAGCCAAGGAAGAAAAAGCAGCCAGTCCAAGGCTCAGATCAGCTGCTGGCCCCACAAACTCCATATATACTGTAGGAACTTGATTGCCTTTTTAATTGCCCAGACAGAATTCTCATGGATTGGCCATGAGAATTTTGGCTCGATTTCACCCGCTTTTATTGAAACTGATAAAAAGAAGTATATACAATAAAAGTGAATTTTTAGACACAAATATCAAGGTTTATCAGGCCCCAAGCCCTTTCCCCAAGTCAGTCCCCAACTATGACTGTAAGCCAAGGTGAGCAGATATTGTTAAAAGAAAGGTCACCTCAGGCACACACACAAAATAAAGCTGCATAACAGGCCTTCTAGGGGCCTCCTCCCTATTTACCAAGGCTGTGTTCCTTATAATATAGAAATCATGCTTTGTGTGTACAGAGTTAGGTGTAAAATGTTCATCATGTCCAACAACTGGAGAAAACCTATATGCTCAACAGTGGGAAGACAGGGAAGTATAAGTGAATTTTGAAACATTAAAAAGGATGCTACAGAAAATGAATTGATGGGGGAAGGTTTTCATGATAAATTACTTACAAAATAAGGCAGGGGGCATTTTATATATTTGTACTATTTCTTTTTGGTTTTAGATATGTTTAGTCTTGAAGGAACTATGTATAGTTTATTTGGGAAGAGAAAGGAGATTCTACTCTAAGCCTTTTGGTATATTTGCATGGATTGGCTTATCAGGCTAGCTAACTGTAGAAGGCACAGACATTTTGGAGCAACGTGAATGAGGCAGAGAGTGAGAATGGCTCCACTTGGGAAGAGGAGGGAAAGGGCTTGGGGAACAAGCCTAGATCACATAGAAGCAGTGCTGCCTGGTTAATGGGGGAAAGTGCAGATGGAAAACTCGGTGGAGTAAATGAAGGCTTGGTGTGATGCACCAAACTCCAGACTTTGAGCCCTTCTTAGTTTGGAATAAGTATGTGGGGTAGTAGGGTAATGTCAGGGCCTGGGCTCCAGCTGATATGAGGTGGGATAGGAGCGACCCTGTGATGTTTCTATTTTGGTGGTATTGTTTTGACCTCTATATTCTTTCTTTAACCTACTTGGTTCTGAGTGGGGAGACTTGACTGTCCCCTCTTGAGTATCTTAAAGCCCAGGAGTGATGCAACAAACATCAGCTAAAAGAAAACAAGTGGGTTGAGAGGGAGGGTGATAATGGCGACAACACATATACGGATCCTTTTCTCAAGTAGCAGTTCACTGCCCTAAATGTACTGCCCCAGGTAGAAGGTGGGTTAGGATTCAGAGCCTAACATCAAAGATAGGGTACTTTGTTTCAACAAGTTAAAAAGAAACTCATGGTGTCACTGCAACTATATCTGAAAGGTGTTGGCAGCTTCAAAGGGATTCATTAAGAGATTTTCCCATTAAAATACTTGGAAGTTTACTAAACTGCATAAAGGTGCTTTTATAAAAGCAGGCCCAGGAGGCATTTTAATAAAGACCTCCAGTTAGATAACTGGACCAAGAGAGCTGTGATAAAGGCTTGGAAGGGAGAGCAGTTTGTTGTAATACATCTTCAAGGGTGAAGTTCTTAACCCTTCTCACCTCGGCTTTCCCTTCTTTAAAATGGTAATAAGAATACCCAGCCTAAACTGGGTGCTGTGTGGAGTGCCTGTTGTCCCAGATACTCAGGAGGCTGAGGCAGGAGGATTGCTTGAGCCCAGGAGTCCAGCCTGGGCAACATAATGCAGACGTTTGCTCTAACAATAAACAAACAAACAAACAAATAAAATACTCAGCCTTACAGTGATGTTGAAAGGATTAAATACTATTTTTATTTATTTGTGAACAAAGTCTATTATTACATTGTCACTAATTAATGTTAATTCTTTTATAGGTAATACAAAAGGTACTCAACATTACCATCTGAACCAAAATCTGTGGCACTTGGTTTAGAAAGATCCTAGGTTTTCTCTCAGTGACTCATACCTAAAAGACAAGTGATAGAAGAGGAAGGTTCAACTCAACCCACTCCTCAAGGCTCAGAAGGATGAAAATGGTGAGATGTTCAAGGAAGGAGGTAGTCAGAAGGTCAGGATTTGAATAAGAATGGAAATATTTTCTCATCCCCATCATGTTCAAGTGATACTTGGTCTTAAGAAGTGAAACCTATAAGGTCTGATAAAATTTTGGAGCTTTCTGAAAGAGTGCTCAAAAAAGATAAGAAAGAAGAGAGGAGCCATTGTTGAAATGACATACACACACTGTAATAGTGAACCCTGGACAAAGAGATACACCATGATTACAATTTGGCTTCCAGTCCAGAGACCAGTTCAGCCAAATACTTTGTTCATGTTTTTTAAAACTCAGTGGCGAGTACATAAAAATGTCTGCAACCCTGAAGAGGTTGTTAAATTCTTTCTTAAGAACAAGACAGAAAGGAGAAGTGATTTACTGGAGTAGGTTGCTGGGTTTTTTATTTTTATTTTTGCTCTTCTAATTCCCAAGCCCACAGCAGCCTGTCTAGTTGAATCTTGATTTGTTTTTGTCTTATATGAATGTGAACATCCATCCTCCCAGCAGAGATGGTAAATAGCTGTACACATGTCTGTCATGAAGTAGTTCATAAATAACCATCATTTATGGGGCTGGTGGGAGGGCAACCTTTGGGCTTACAGAACTACCTGCAGAAACATTGTTCTGTGAAGTTTTTTTGTAACTAAAGGAGAAAAAACATTGATTTTTGTTGTGGTTGCTTAAAAGTATTATTTTAAAGTAATACATATGTGCAGTAAAAAAAAAGAAGTTGCTATGTCATAGAGTGGCATTAAATGAAAAGACTGTGTCCTGTGTGGTATCCACTTCTCTGCCCCAGCGGTATCCACTTATGGATTATAAGTTTTAGGTTACACAAATCATGCGTGAACATGATTGTAAAAATTTCAAACCATACAGCATACAGATAAGCTTGAGTCCCTCTTGACTATCACCCCAATTACATTGCCCTTCTCAGAGGTAACCACCATTGTTAACACTGATTGGTTTTCTCCCAGATCTCTATGATCTTTATAAGTATGCATGTTTTGGTTTTTATTTTACAGAAATGGTACACCACATTTGTTATCTAGCTTCTTGCTTTTTTGACTTAACAATATGTTTTGAGCATCTTTCCATGTCAGTAAATATATCTTCATTTTGCTTCTTTAAACTGCTGTACACTATGAATGTGGGATAATTTATTTATGTACAATAAACATTTAGACACTTCCAATTCTTTGTTATTACAACACGGAGCTGCAATGAACATCATTGTCCCTACTTTTTGGTATATATGTGGAAGTTTTTCTCTGAAATAGATAAAAAGTATCAATTTTCAGTTTGTAATCCCGGCTATTCAGGAGGCTGAGGTGGGAGGATCACTTGAATCCAGGAGTCGGAGGTTGCAGTGAGCCGAGATGGCGCCACTGCACTCCAGCCTGGCAACAAAGTGAGACTCCGTCCCCTCCCCCACAAAAGTATCAATTTTCAGTTATTTGTATTTTTAGTTTTGTGGTTTTTGTTTGTTTGTTTTTTGAGACAGGGTCTCATTCTGTTGCCCAGGCTGGAGTGCAGTGGCGCAATCTCAGCTCAACCTCTGTCTCCCAGGCTCAAGTGATTCTCCTGCCTCAGCCTCCCAAATAGCTCGGACTATAGGCATGTGCCACCACGCCCAGCTAATTTTTTTTGTATTTTTGGTAGAGACAAGGTTTCGCCATGTTGGCCAGGCTGGTCTCGAATTCCTGACCTCAAGTGATCTGCCCGCCTTGGGCTCCCAAAGTGTTGGGATTACAGGCGTAAGCCACCACAGCTGGCCTATTTTTAGTTCTTTTGTTGGCTAGTTATCATGATCATTTAGAACAATATGCCAATTATTTATTTCTTGATTTACCAAATATAGATCTTATCAATTGACTTCTTACTAGGAAAGATGAGGAATTTAGCCATATATATGATGTTTCACTCCCAAGTTTTATTAATTATATTTTTATTATTGGCTCTTCTATTGATTACCTTTACAACTTTATAGAAGAACTTAAGTGTCTAGTTCTTATACAGTCAACTTTAGGCAATATCTTTTCATTCTCTATGATTAACAATGAAGATATTAACATTTCTACTTCATCTGCTCTTCTCTTCTCCCAACCTGGATCAGTTATAGTACTACTTTTCCTCTGTCCAGGTGTATAAATTTTCCATTCTATTCTATAATTATTTCATTACTTCTTATACAACTGTGCCTTCATCTTTTATGTGCTTTTGGGGCTACCAAATGCGCTGCTTTTACCTGTAAATTAAATCTTAATCACTCTCTCTTTTCCAGAAAGTCATCAAATTCACTGGTATATTAATGGATTCTCCCTTCTATTCTTTTTTGTCTATCTTTAATATTGTTTCAGTAAGAATTTGGATGAAGGGATTGTAAATGCATGAGTCCAGACATCCATCTTGAACCACACAAAGCAGGAATTTTAAAAAGATCCTCTTTAGTATCGCTGTTTCTTTTAAGGCATTTTCAACATTTCATGGCAGCCAGTTTAAGCAAACAAGGCAATTCGTAGTTTTTAATTAGCTAGAGACAAATGAAAGTGATCTATAAAAACCACAGAAGCAAATCTTAAAACCCAGCAAAAATGGTGTTCATCACCGATTCTGTTACAAGACACCTAGTTTAAAAACTTACCTCTAACTCTTATCTGTCATCTTGGATAACAAGGGGAGGGACTGGGGGAAACCCCAGTGATCATAACGGAGCTAGGAAGATAGGTCGTTTAATGGCGCATGCTGTACTGGGGCTGCCTCCGAGAACTGGCACTGCTCACAGTCCAGGGAAAGGCAGTGATTCCGAATTTGGAATCCAGGAATTCTGACACTTCAGAGCTGCATGAGTTTTCGCTACTTAATTTCTTAAGTTTCAGCTTCCTTATCTATAAAGTAGGAGTAATAATAGTGTCCACCTCATAGGGTTGTTATGGGTATTAAACAAAAATACACGTAAAGCATTTGGTTCAACGCCGACAAATACTAAGCATTCAATAAACGTTAGTTGTTTTTATAATGGACCTTGCATTCTGAATATCACAGTCCTTTATGGAATTCCAGAAGGAAACAATATGATCCCGACCCTCCATGGAGCTCCTAGTCTAAGATGGAGATGCGGCCAATATTTTCACTCATGGCAAGAGTTTAATGGATATCTGTTGGATAAGGAATTGGAAAACCCACTGGTCCAGATGGAAGAGATAGCTCTTCCTTTCAGCGAATACTCAGTCTCAGGGAATTTCTATTTCTTAGGGAATATGTGAGAAATAAGACATATATTATATAAACAAATATGGAGTACATTTAATCACAGTTCACTCATATAATTCTTTCCGCCAATATTTGTTACTCTTTTCTATGTGAAGAAATTATGTTAGAAAATGTAACAAGATATACTTCCTGCCTTCGAAGGGATTAAAGTCTAGTAGATAAGATTTATACACAGAGCTAAATACATCAATGTGAGGACATTACTGATTAACTGGGGTAAGGCAATTTTCCAATTTTTCACCTCATTCCCATGTCCGAGTCCTCCCTCCCCTCTTTGGTCACCAGCTATCTCTTATGATGTGTCTGTAGCAATGTTTATTTCTGAGGTCATAAAAAATTCATGTGACCTGTGTCTGAAAAAAAATGGGATAGGTACATAGCTTCCTACCTCCCTAGATAAATCCATGGGTTTAATCTCCTTTTAGGCCAATGAATTTCCCAGAGACTACACATTCATATTGACCTCCTAACCCTAACCATTCATCGATTTCTTTTCTATGTGATAGAAACCTTTCACTTCATTAGTTATCTTATTAATACATACCTATGGAGAAGTTGGGAAAAGTCTTCTGCTTGTACTTTTTCTCCACCATCACCTCAAAGTCAGTGTGTTATATTTCTGGAGGGAGAAAATGGTGTGAAGAAAAAAAAAGTGAAGCCAGACACACATGGGTCCAAATCCAGTCTATCCCTTACCATAGTAATGGAATTTTTAGCTGGCTATGAGGTTGCCTGGAGTAGAACAAGCCCTCCTTGTCTAGGTAAATAAATTCTGGTCAAAGAGATGTAGGTGGAAGCAGTGGTATGCTGGTAAATGTGCAGCTGGCTGTACACACACACACTGATCGCACAGTGGTGAGATCATGACTCCTGCAGCCTTGACTTTCTGGCCTCAAGCGATCCTCCCACCTTAGCCTGCTCGGTAGCTGGGACTACAGGTGAGTGCCACCATGCCCGGCTAATTTTTACAAAAATTGTGTAGAGACAAGGTCTTGCTTTGTTGCCCAGGCTTGTCTTAAACTCCTGGGGTCAAGCAATTCTCTCTTCTCGACCTCTCAAACTGCTAGGATTATAGGCATGAGCCACCATGTACTGCCCAGAAGGGTTTGATTAATTTTTGCTGAACTCTTACATCTGTATGCAACCTATGCAATTCCACCATGGCTTGACAAATGGAGTTGCATTCCAATTCACTAAGTCTTTCCCTAATAGTTGTATTGTTATTAAACCTGAGATGTGATCTACTATTAAACTATTTTTCACCCTTGTACAAATTATATTCATTAAATGGAAATCTCAGCTTCAGCACTATATATCAGAACTTCACTTATTTATCAGTGAGGGAAGTGATTTCTCTGCTGAATTGAATAACAATTTCTAAATACTGGAATAATATTTCCTTAATGTTTTATTCTATTCATAATGTAATCGTTACAGACACACCATGCTTTTAAGTTGAATCTACATTTCTAACATTTTTCTCTATCATGTTCTTAAGTTTCGACCATCAATAAAGTAGTAAATCAAACCCTGACCTGCAGCAGTTGCTGATTTCTATGGTGCAAATATTCCCATCATGTCTATGTTCAAACTGCCAGGAGGTCACTGAACACAGAGTTGGGAAGAAATATGCAGTGTTTCTACCATATGAATGCAATAGATCTTTTGTATCTTTATGGTTATTTGGAATACTTCTCTGAATTGCCTATTCATATTTTCTTATCATTTTTCAATTAGGTTGTTTCTTTTTCTCTCACTTGTAAGAACTCTTTGTATATTATCAGTCATATGTATCATTTGTCAAAAGAATGTAAACTCCATGAATGCAGGGATGTTGTTTGCTTTATTTAGCACTGAAATCCCACAGCACCTATCACATAAAAGTTATTCAAGCAAATATTTGTTAACTGAATAAATGTGTTGCAAATATTTCCCCAGACAATCACTTGTCTTTTTACTTTTATGCTTATGTTTTTTGCTATACAAAAATGTTAAATTGTATGTTGTCAAATATGTCTGCCTTTTTCATTTATTGCATCTGAGTTTTCTGTCCTATTTAAAAATGTTTCTCTCATCTCAAGGTTGATTATTCTCCTAAATTTTCTAAAAATTTTATTTACTTTTTTGCTACATTCAAATCTGGAATCCATCTGGAATTTATTTTGGTATACGACATGGATTTCTTCCAGATGGCTGGCCCATTGTGCCACTTCTGTAAATAAATTACTTTTCTCCACTAAACTAAAATTCTACCTTTATGGTACATTAAGTTTCCATGTATACTGGACTCTATTTATGGTTCTTTACTTTGTTCTCTTATATATTTGCTTACTTCTGGACCTTTGTGGTACTCTTTTGATGCACTGACTTTATGGTAATTGTAATATAATAACATGCTGCAAATTGTAGTATTTGCCATATATTATTCTGAGGAATTTACATTAAATCCTCACACAAACTGTATGAGGTAGGTACTATAAATATCCCCATTTTACTGATAATGAAAGTAAGGGACAGAGAGGTTAACAAACATGCCCAGCATCATACCACCACTAACAAGCAAAGCCTTAGTTTAATCCATGCATTGTAGTTCCAGAGTCCATGTTCTTAACCGTTATGCCAAAGTGCTTCCCTGTACAGCATGTGACCCTTTACTTATCTTTTTATTTTTTTTTTTTAATTTTAATTTTAATTTTTTCGAGGCAGGGTCTGGCTCTGTCACCCAGGCTGGAATGCACTGGCATGAACACAGCTCATTGCAGCTTTGACTTCCTGGGCTTAAGCAATCCTCCCACTTCAGCCTCTCATGTAGCTGGGACCACAGGTGCATGCCACCATGCCTGGATAATTTTTATCTTATTTTTACTTATTTTGTAATTTTGAAAATGGATGGGCTCTCGCTGTGTTGACCAGGCTGGTCTTGAACTCCTGGCCTCAAGTGATCCTCCCATCTCCGCCTCCCAAAGCACGGGATTACAGGTGTGAGCCATCATGCCTGCCCTAAATTTTTTTGTAGAGATAAGGTGTCACTTTGTTGCTCAGCCTGGTCTTGAACTCCTGGGCTCAAGCGATCCTCCTGTCTTGGCCTCCCAACGTGTTGGAATTACAGGCCTGAGTCACTGTGCCCAGCCTTGTCTTTATAAAAAATACATATTTTTTACCTGTTCTTGGTACTTATTCTTACATGTTCCTTAAAATAATTTTGTCAGTTCAAAAATTAAAAAAACTCTATTGGAATTCTGATTAGAATTGCATTAACTTTATGTATTAATTTTGAGAGGCACATATTTTTATAAATTAGGTTTTCCATTTAGGTACATGATAAACTTTTCTGTATGTTCAAGTCTTATTTTATGTATTCTTCATTAAGATTTTATAGTGTCTATTATACAGGTCCTATACCTAATAACATTTTATCAAAATATTTTTTAAGTTTTGTCACTGTGAATGAAATTTTCCCCCACTGTGAAAAGTATAGAAGAAAACTTATCAATTTTTTGTTCATGTGTGTGTAATGTGTGTATGTGTATACATAGTGCTCACTCATCAAATTCTCTCATTAATTTTATAGTGTTTTACATTTTATCACTTAAGTTTTCTAGGTTCACAATTACATCCCTTGCAGTCGAAATAATACTGTTCTCTGCCTATCTTTTCCTTCCTTCCTTCTCTCCTTCCTTCCAACTTTTCATGTGAGAATATAATCCCAGGTTGCCATATCATTCAGTCTTTTAAAAGGAACTAGATAGGCTCTTAGGAGGATCTGGAAAAAAAAATAATAAAAGGAATTACAAACTTGATTTTAATATTAGATCTTCTAATTTAAATATTGTTTTGAATTTTGAAAAGTACTTTTCAGGTCAAACAACAAAAGGCTAGAAGATGCCAGTTTTTTTTTAAATTTTATTTTTATTGAGATATTGTCCTTTATTTTAACATATTTGCAGTAACTATATATTTTTTTACACTCTATGCTATTAGCTATGACCTTCAAAATATTGAGTTTTAATGGTGATAGCATTACTATTTGGTTTTGCTTTTAATAGCAATGGCTTAGTAAATTCACTTTTTAGCATGATTATTGCTATTAATTTTTGGTAATAGGGCTTATCATAATTAAGTAGTTTTCCTTAAGTCTTTATTAGAAATAGATGTTGATATTTTTCTCTTTTACTTGTTAATAACATTAATTATATTGATACATTTGCTACACTTAACTCAGTCTTGAATTCTTGGAATAAACCTAACACACCATGGTGTATTATATTTTTTGATATACTAATAAATTTAATTTTTCATATTTCATTTAGATTTTAAAAATCTTCCTCATAAGTAAGATTGGTCTATTATGGTCATTTGGGGGAGGAGTTCTATTTGTATGAGGTTTAAGTATTAAAGTTATGTTAGCTTCATAAAATAATGACTTTTACATATTTTTAATTTGTCACCACTAGACCAGCCCTACAAGAAATGCTAAAAGAAGTTCTAAATATTGAAACAAAAGTTTGATATGCATCAGTATGAAAACCCCTTGAAAGCATAAAACTCACAGGGCTTATAAAACAGTAATACAATGAAGAAAATAAAGCAACCAGGTAACAGCATGATGACTGGAACAGTACTTAACATATCAATATGAATGTTGAATGTAAATGTTTCTACATGCCCCATTTAAAAGATACAGATTGGCAGAATGAATTAAAAAAACACACAAACCAAATATCTGCTGTCTTCAAGAGACCCACCCAACGTGTAAAGATTCTTACAGGCTCAAGGTAAATGGAAAAAATATTCCATGCAAATGGAAACCAAAGGCAAGCAGGAATAGCTATTCTTATATCAGATAAAACAGACTTTAAAGCAATAATAGTAAAACAAAAAAGAGAGAACGATAAGGTCTTTATATAATGATAAAGGGATCAATACAACAAGAAAATATAACAATCCTAAATATATATGCACCTAAGTCTGGAGATCCTAGATTCATATAACAATTACTACTAGACCTAAGAAGAGAGATAGACAGAAACACAATAGTAGTGGGAGACTTCAACACTCCACTGACAGCACTAGACAGTCATTGAGGGAGAAAGTCAACAAAGAAACACTGGGTTTAAACTGGATTACAGAAGAAATAAACTTAACAGACTTTTACAAAACATTCTACTGACAAACTGCAGAATATACATTTTTCTCATTAGCACATAGAACATTTTCCAAGATGGACCATATGATAGGCCACAAAACAAGTCTCAATAAATTTTAAAACAGAAATCATATCAAGTATCTTCTCAGACCACAATGGAATTAAACTAGAAATCAATTCCAAGGAAAACCCTACAAACTTTACAAATACATGGAAATTAAACAATTTGCTCCTGCATGATCTTTGGTTAAACAATGAAATCAAGATGGAGATTAAAATAATTTTCAAAATGAACAACAGTGAGACAAATTATCAGAACCTCTGGGATATAGCAAAAGCAGTGCTAAGAGGAAAGTTTATTGCACTAAATGCCTGTGCCAAAAAGACAAAGATCACAGATTGACAAACATAACATCACACATCAAGGAACTAGAGAAACAAGAACAAACCAAACCCAGAGCTAGCAAAAGAAAAGAAATAACAAAGATCAGAGTAGAACTAAATGAAATTGAAACAAAAAAATATATAAAGGATCAATGAAACAAAGAGTTGGTTCTCTGAAAATAAAAACAAAATGGATAGACCACTGGCTAGATTAACCAAATAAAGAACAGAGAAGATTCAAATACACTCAATCAGAAATTAAAATGGAGACATTACAACTGACACCACAGAAATACAAAGATCATTTGAGACTACTGTGAACACCTCTATGCACACCGACTAGAAAATCTAGAGGAAATGGATAAATTCTTGGAAACATACAACTCTCCAAGCTTGAATCTGGTATGAGATCATTTAAATAGCACTGGAATAACTGATTATTTAAAAGTTAGCTATAACTTAATTGCAAGACTGTTAGAACCTACTGACTTAAAAAACATAGACCCTTAATTACCTTTAAAACTTTAAAAAAGCATAATTGGTTTATATGAATTTCCTGTTTCTTCTTGGGACAATTTATATTTTTATAACCAGTGTGTTGAACAAAAACTCCTGAGTGAAATTTTGCTTTTCAACTGTCCCTTTAATCCTGCCCAGTGGGGTAGTCTTGGATAGGTCTAACTTAGGCAGGTCTTAGAAAACAGAAAGTTCAAAATCACCCAGAGTCACAAAAACAATCCCAATTGTTTAATTACACTAGTTCAAAACACTAATTAACACTTAGTCCTCTTTAAAAGGCATGACTTTTCCCCTGCTTTTCCATCTGGGGTAGGCAGTAAGTAGGAGAATGTGCTCAGCTTTCTTTGGTTGCTGTAGTTGCTGCTGCCACTTTGTTCTTTTGTTCTTTTTTTTTTTTCAGGGGGAAAATATATAACTTTATTTTAACATAATAATTAAATTCCTCCACAGAATAGGGACACTATGGGATTTGTTTTTCCATTTAATAAATACAAATGAATAAAAATTGTTTTGTACAGAGAATGCTTCTTCTCTCTCTCCATGTCTCATAGAAGCCTGCAGGCAATTACCTGCCCCTCTGGGGCCTATGATCACAGCCCCTGTATATTCACACAAACCACTTTTCTTTACCCTGTGGGCTACATCTCATTTGCCTGCAAATATTACTTAGGTACAATAACTCTCCTTTCCACATCTTCCAAATACAAGTTCTTGTACTGCATTTCAAATTTTCAGGGCTGGGCACGGTGGCTCACACCTGTAATCCCAGCACTTTGGGAGGCTGAGGCGGGCAGATCACCTGAGGTCATGAGTTCAAGACCAGCCTGGCCAACATGGTGAAACTCTGTCTCTACTAAAACTACAAAACTTAACGGAGTATGGTG
The DNA here is from genome assembly GCF_000001405.40 of Homo sapiens. Lineage (NCBI taxonomy): Eukaryota > Metazoa > Chordata > Mammalia > Primates > Hominidae > Homo > Homo sapiens. The sequence goes on from NC_000002.12 coordinate 48,003,105, forward strand.
GTGCTCGCCTGTAATCCCAGCTACTCAGGAGGCTGAGGCAGGAGAATCGCTTGAACCTGGGAGGTGGAGGTTGCAGTGAGCCAAGATCACGCCACTGTACTCCAGCCTGGTGACATAGTGAGACTCTGTCTCAAAACAAACAAAGAAACAAACAAACAAAATAAAACAAAAAACCCACAAATTTTCAGTGATTACCTTCTCAGAAGGAAAGAATCCAGCATCCACAGAAGCCCAACATGGATTTCCTTCAACCAGTAACTGTCAACCATGACATTATGTGTGAGGTCTCAGTTAAACAGACTACAGTCCACTGGATCTATTCTGAAAGAGAAGAAAAGGATCATGTAAAATCTACTGTATGCTTCATAAACCATCCCTTATTTGAAAAATAGAAATTCCTATTTAAATTTAACCTGTTTGAAATAGGCCAAATATTTGATTCTGCATGCAATAGATCTGTTGCTGCTTAGAATGTGACTTCCTGACCCTGTGCTGCTCAACTGGCCATGTTAGAGAACATTAGAATCACATCAAAATCATAAGTCACAAAAAAGTGGTCTGTCTCCAGCCTGGGGCCAGGGGACCCCACATGCCTACCTCCACAAGCCCATTCACGTTTGGGGACAAGGCACTCCTCTGTGCTCTGAGCTAAGTAATGGCAGAGTCCCTCTGTGAGTTTTGAAGAATGATTTTGTGCCAATAGTTAAACTTCCAGTGCAACAACAAAAAATGTACAAAATGCTAGAGCTTCTAGTTTTTAGATTGGAAATGAAAAACTCCTGTAGATCCAGAAGAAACTTTTACTGAAACCTTAAAGATTTCACTTGCACCTGCTGTAGTAAAGCACTAGTAACTAAGACACAAATGTAAAATTTTGATAAATGTGATCAGGAAAATACTACCAGTCTTTGTGACCAGCAATAAATTTCTTTTCTATATGCCCCATTTCTTATTAATCCACATTAAATAAAAAGGCAATTCCTGAAAGTATTTCTAAGTGTGATGGTTTGTAATACAAAACAAATGAAAAAGATGTAACTAGATTATAAGAAAAACATTTGCTTGTAAAATATGAAATAAGAAAGGGGCCCAGCACAGTGGCTCACACCTGTAATCCCAGCACTTTGGGAGGCCGAGGCAGGCAGATCACCTGAGGTCAGGAGTTCAAAACCAGCCTGGTCAACATGGTGAAACCCCATCTCTACTAAAAATACAAAAAAAAAAAAAAAAAAAAAAATTAGCCAGGTGTGGTGGCAGGCGCCTGTAATCCCAGCTACTCAGGAGGCTGAGGCAGGAGAATCACTTGAACCTGATGGTTCAAGGTGGAAGTTGCAGTGAGCCTAAATGGCACCATTGCACTCCAGCCTCGGTGACAGAGTGAGACTCCGTCTCCAAAAACAAAACAAAAAAACAACAAAACAAAACAAATAAACAAACAAAACAAAGTAATAAAAAGGAAGCGATGGATTCCTCATGCGTGCACAGAGGGAACTAGGAGGGACCTACAAAGAGCACCCCAGCCCTTTCCCTGTGATGTAGCTACAAGGTCTCATTTCTTCGGAGGGAACATGGTTGGTATTCCATTATCTTCTGGAAGCCTGGCAGGTACAACCCCTCAACACTCCAGGCAGGAAGAGAATTCACAAGAAGTCATGAACTGCTGGGTTTGCTGGTGCTTCAGCTGGGAGAGGTAGTGCTAATAGCTTTGACAGTCTACCTGAACCACCTTGTGAGGAATGCTGTAAAATTGCAGTAAGCTGTCAGTATTTTACATAAGCTGCTTTGTTCTTGCTCTTGTTCTTGTTGTCTTCTTCCTCTCTCTCCTCCTGCTCTTCTTCCTCTTCTTCTTAACATTTTTTATTGTAAAATAAAACACAAATATGGAAATTTGCATAAAATAAACATATTAATTAATGAATTACTTGTAAGACAAACACCCTTGAAACAATCACCCAAGTCAGGAAGTAGGACTTTGTCGGCCATCCCAGAAGCCTCATCCATGTGTCTCATTCCTGTCACACCTCTCTCTCCCTGCAACCACCATCCTGACTTTCAGAGTAATCACTTTCTTGTATTTTTCATAGTTTCATCACCTATGGTGCATCCCTAGACATGATTGATAGATAAGTCTTGTCTATTTAACATTTTTTTGCATGCTTTAAAAGTAATTTTTAAACTGTAGTTCCTCCTCCATGTCTTTCTTTTTCTTACAATTTGTCTTTTAAACACCCAAGATGTTTCATTTGTAGCATTTCCCAAGGTCTGGATGTTGCTGACTGCAAAGTCATGTGCAGGTCAACATATTCCTCTGGTCACTGTATTTTCTGAAAATTGGCAACTGTATTCATGTATTTGTGGTTTCTATATCAACATTCCAGGTGGTGGCATTTTCTTTCACCAAGTGACACACAATTGCAGGGTTTTTTTCTGTTGTGGTATTAGCAGTGTCAATGACCAATGCTTGTGTCTATTAATTCAGTGTGGGTTTGAAAATGGTGATATTCTAATTCTACCATTTTGTTATTTTGTTTTCATTGTCACCTGCAATACTTTATGAAAAAATGCTTCCCATAACTACTTTTTGGTTATCCAGTGGTAAAAATGTATATAGGTAAGGCAGAATAAATGCTTGATTCTTTCTCTTTTATTTACTAGCTTTCAAGATAATGAATTAGTTTCCTATAATTCTCTGAAGGTTATCAATTTTTGGGTTCTTCAAATTTTGGGGAATTTTTTGGGTTATCAAATTTGGGGGGAAAATGGGTTTTTCCCATTTTTTAAAAGTTGTGGTAAAATACACATAACATACAATGTACCATTAGTGACATTTAGTACATTCACAATGTTGTGCAACCATCACCGCTGTATAGTTCGGAACATTCGTTTATCGTCCCAAGAGGGACCTCCTGTGAACAAAAGTTTTGTGCAAAGGAATTTGGAAGAAAGAGACTTTATTCCAATGAACCGTTTGCAAACCAGGGAGACACAGCCTTCAGTGTAAAGCAAAGGTGCATTCCAGAGAACAAAGAGAGGGTTTGGGTATTATGGCAAAAGTTCCTTCCCAGGTTCTCACTCAGATTCCCTTATTTAATTGAAAGATTCAAACTTGCTTCATTCTGATTGGTTGATGAGCTGAGTTCTGATTGGTAGATAAAGCTGAACCCTGGTTGGCTGAGGCAGGTGAGTTCTGATTGGTTGATTTAGGTAAGCTCTGAAAGTCCTGAAATATAAAAGATATGAGACTAAGTGGAACTCAAGAGTACTTGTGTAACTTTTGGTCAGCAAATGGCCACTTGGCTCTGTTTTAAATATAGGCCCAGTTAGTCACTCAGGATCCATCTTGAAGGATTGGCTTTTTCAGGTTCACCTTTGTTCAAAACCCCTGATCTTTAAGCAGGCATTTCCCTTTCCTCCTGGCCCCTAGATAGTGGCAACCACTCATCTGCTTTCTGTCTATATGCATTTACATACTCTGGATATTTTATACAAATCACATAATATATGGCCTTTAGTGTCTGGCTTGATCAATTAGTTTTTTAAAAATATTATAAATTTGTGAATTTAGACATATTTAATGGATTTCAATCAATTACAGTTATTCTCTTTTGAAGCTCCAATTTTCTTATGGTTGGTCAGCATAAGTCTCTTCAAGGTGGCTTCTGGGTCCTTTCCATGTGATCATACTATTCCTTGGCAAATGGCATTACAGGATATTCTAGGCTTATCTTGCATATTTGTTGCTGCAGACTCGTAATCAGCCATTTCTCTAAGAAACAGGTTTCTTCTAGTGAGTACATTTTGGGTACCAGATTAGCTCACTGCTATAGGATTCGTCATTGTTTTCAGTTATTGTTTTCAGTGGACAAAGTTAGATGGTATCTATGTCTAAATCTATATTTTCTAAGATACAATACTCCATGAGTTTATAGTGATATTTCCAATTCAAATTCAGGTCTACAGGTTTTTACTTACCCTCTTTGATGTTATAATTGTATCTATTGATTTCCACACTAAGAATCCTGCTTCTCAAGGTCACACGGGATAATAGAACATCCCATGATTACTGATTTGTTTTATCCCATGTATCACACATACAATCTCAGTACAACAATATTTAGTGAGAACAATTAAAATGTTTTGTTTTACATTGTGTAATCCCTATTCCCCCTCATTTTTTTTTTACAATTGTACTATATCTACATTGCTTAAGCATATAAGCATTACATACTATACCTGCTTCCTTATAACTCTCATTTAGTCTTAATTCCATAGATAATTATATATTGTATATTTAATGTTTACCAAAAGTCCTAATGTTGATATCTCTCCAGTCATTTTATTTGTCTAAAGTTCATTCTCTAGTAGATTTTGGGGAAGGGCTCATGGGTACAATATTCCCTGAATTGTTGCTTGTCAAAAATATTTTATCTATGTCTTTTGTACTTGAAAGTCTGTTTTTCTGAATATAAAATACTTGGCTTAAATTTTCTGTTTTTGAGTATCTTAAATATGTTACATCACTTTTTTCTGCTGTTGAAAGTTTTGATGTTAATCTGATTTTCCTTACCTAATAGGCCACTTGCTGTTTTTGCCCAAATAACCAAGGGATGTTTTCTTTCTCTTTCCTTTCTTTTCTTTTTCTTTTCTTTCTTTCCTTCCTTCCTTCCTGCCTGCCTGCCTGCCTTTCTTTCCTTTCCTTCCTTTCTTTCTCTCTTTCTTTCTTTCCTTCCTTTCTTTCTTTCTTTTTCTTCTTTCTTTCCTTCCTTTCTTTCTCTCTCTCCCTTCCCTCCTTCCTTCCTTTCTTTTTCTTTTCTTTCTTTCCTTCCTTTCCTTTCTTTTTTCTTTTCTTTCCTTTCTTCTTTCTTTCCTTCCTTTCTTTCTCTCTCTTTTTCTTCTTTCTTTCCTTCCTTCCTTCCTCCTTTCCTTTCCTCTTTTTCTTTTTTTCTTTCTTCTCTCTTTCTTTCTTTCTTTCCTTCCTTCCTTCCCTCTTTCTTTGTCATTCTAGAATATATCTTGGTGTTGGTTGTTCTGGGTTGATATTCTCAGGAACAGATGAGTCCTGTAGTTTCAAATCTTTCTGCGCTTCAGGAAAGTTTTTTCGATTAGATTTTTTAATAGTTGTTCTGCTCCCTTGCTTTGGTTTTCTCCCCCAGGATTTTTATTTTCTGTACGTAGAATCTTCTTTGCCTATCTTTCTCTTTCTTTTTTTTCTTTTTGAGACAGGTTCTCACTTTGCATCCAGGCTGAAGTGCAGTGGCATGATCACTCTCACTGCAGCCTTGACCTCCTCAGCTCAAGCAATCCTCCCACCTCAGTCTCCCAAGAAGCTGGCTGGACTACAGGCACACACCACCATGCCCAGCTAATTAGATATATATATTTTTTTTCTGTAGAGAAGGTGTCTCATTGTGTTGCCCAGGCTGGTTTTAAACTCTTGAGCTCGAAGCGATCCTCCTGCCTTGGCCTCCCAAAGTGCTGGGATTATAGGCATGAGCCACTGCTCCCAGCCTCTTGTCTATCTTCAATATGTGTTACTTTCTCTCAAATCCTTTTTAAAGTTTCTTCATTTATCATTCATCTTTAAAAATTAGAAAAAGTTCCTTTTCTTTACCTTCTATTTCCTTGGAAACCTAATGTATTGTTTTTATTAGTTCTAGGTTAGTGTTTACTTTTGAAATTTTTCTTCTTTCATTTCTAATTATTTCCTGAGATCTGTTACCTCCTGTATGATTCTTTTCTATGTTTTATTTATGTTGTTTCTTCAAATATTGTATTCTTTTCTTTATGTCCTTTAGCTCATTTTGAAATAGTTTCAACAGTTTTGATCTGTTCTGTGAGCATAACTGAGTGCTTTCATTGTGGATAGCAGTGGATCTTGAAGTGTGGTTCAAGACCCTTTCAGATGCTCTGTGAGGTAAAAACTATTTTCATAACTTTACTAAGATGTTATTTCTTTCTTTCACTGTGTTGACATTTGCAATGATAGCTCAAAGCAAGGAGAGAGAAAATTGCTGTGTTTTATCACGAATAAAGATTGTGGCATCAAAATGTACTACTAGTCATTTTACATACAGTTTTTTTTGAAAGCCAGTTTCACTTAAGAATGTCCTTGATGAAACAGTAAAAGTTAACAATTTTATTAAATTTCGATCGTTTAGTACACATCTTTTTAATGTTCTGTGTGACAAAATGGGAAGTACACATAAAACACTTGCTTCATACTAACACGTGAGGTTGTTTCAGAAAAAGTATTGTAACTGCTTAAATTGTTAGCTGAACTAGCCACTTTTAAAAAAAATGGAATACCACCTTTACTTGAAAGAATGACTATCAGATAAACTCTGGTTACTCAGAGTTGGGGCATTTGGTAGACATAGTTTGAAAATGAACTAATTGAGCCTGAGACTTCAAGGGAAACCACTGATAGTATTTGTTGCCAATAATAAATTTTGAGCTTTCAAATAAAAATTAGAATTTTGGAAAATGTGTATTTGGCACTGTGAGCTTAACAGTTAGTTAATACTTAAAGACTTTTCTGGTGAGATTGGTGGTAGCATTTACAGTGTGACTTTTTGCTATTGGAGAATGAAATGTTTCCACATTTGGAAGATCTACATAATTCAGTGAACCAATATTCCCCAAGTAATCAACACATTGTTAAGTAGTCATGCAAAAGGTAAAAAATACATTTAAAGATAAACCAATTAATTTTAATAAAATTAAGTTTGAAAAGTTATTTGACAGAATTTTGTATTCCATGTTGCAACTAACTTCAAGCATCTACCAGTTGTCAAGGTTTGATATGATGTCAAAAAATATTGTAATCAGAGCACTTTGGGACGCCGAGGCGGGCGGATCATGAGGTCAAGAGATCAACAACATGGTGAAACCTCGTCTCTAGTAAAAATACAAAAATTAGCTGGGCGTGGTGGCGCATGCCTGTAGTCCCAGCTACTTGAGAGGCTGAGACAGGAGAATCTCTTGAACCTGAGAGGCGGAGGTGGCAGTGAGCCAAGATCACGCCACTGCACCCCAGCCTGGTGACAGAGCGAGACTCCGTCTCAAAAAAAAAAAAAAAAAAAATCACAATTATCTGAAAAGGCTGTTAAGATACTTCTTCTTTTTCCAAATATATATATCTGTAAAAGTTATATATTTCAGTGAAAACAGCATATCACAACAGGTGGAATGCAGAAACAGATGTAAAAATCCAGCTATTTTCTATTAAGCTCAATATTCAAAAGATTTGCATAAATGGAAAACAATGCTATTCTTCTTAAATTACCTTCTATTATTTTGAAAAATATAGGTTTCTTTCATAAAATATGTTACCAATGTTAACATATGATGGGTAAATTATAATTTTAAATGCAATAATAAATATTTTAAACATCACTCGATTTTAATTTTGAAGAGGGTAATAAATATCAGCAGATATAACCCATATATACAAAAGCTTTCTGGGTTGTCACAATTTTTTAAGAGCATGAAGCAACACTGAGAACAAATGTTTGCAAGCCACTGGATCATGGAGATGCTATCCTATTTCTTATTTTCTTTTATCATATAATATTATAACTGTGTGAAATTTGATCGCAATTCTTCTTTATTTTTTTGGTAAGAAAGGTTTTTATTCTTTAATATAAAACTAATTATTCTGAACTTTTGCAAGAAAGTGTAACTGAGCATAACTTCTGTTGTTTTCATGTAGCATTAAAAATGATGGCAGCATGTTTTCTGAAATTTTAATAGAAAAATATTGATTTCTTCTATTTTCAAATATATAGCCATAGAGTTCAAATTAATATTCACTCACAATATATTCTCATAGTATCTATTTTCTTGTGTTTCTCTCTTCTATATTTTTTCCCTTAATTAGGTTTGAGGAACATTTACCTATTAAGCTTGGTGACTTTATTTATACTTCCATAATTTTAGAAACATTTCAATAATTTTAACATTTGTCTTTATTAATTCATTTCTTTTACTTTCTTTTGGTTTCTTCATTGTTATTTTACTACCTTCTTAAAAGTGGAACTCTTTTACTTTTGGTACTCAGGCTATAAATTTTCCTTGGAGTAAAATTTTAGCTGTTCCCCATTGGTTTTCTTGTAAAATACTCTCCTTTTCATGATTTTCTATAAAATTTGTAATTTCAGTTTTAATTTCCTCTTTGGTCAAGAAAATTTCATATAAGAATTAATGGGATATGAAACAAAAGCCATACAGATAAGCAATTATACCACAAAGTGAATTTGACCCCCCACATTTTAGATTATATCAAAGCAGTACAGTAATTCACTAAGAGGAAGGGATACATTTTGAATAGAATTAGTGAATACATTCTTGGATTGTTTGATAATTCAATTAATGAAGATCATAAAATCACATAACATAATGGAAAAGGATTTGTGTTACTTAGTGATTTGACATAAAATATTGGACAAAAAATAATTATGTAAAATCTATGTAAGTCTTACAATGAGAGCAATGATGACAAACTAGCTAATGAAGGTCATCAATTCAAAGAGAACTTAAAGTTAGTCACTGAACAAGGAAAATTGAAATGACCTGAAATCTTAGTTCATATATGAAAGAAACTTGATAGAGAGTTCCCCAAATTTAACAAAAATCCTACAAAGTTACATGACAATAGCAATATCACACTGTAATGTTGCAGGTAACTTTTCTAAACCATCATTAATAAAAAGCAAATTTTAATCAACCATGCTAGAAGAAAAACTAAAGTATCTATTTTTACTATGAAAAAAATATAAAATAATTGCCATATAAAGATACAATCAAAGAATCTGTGGCAAAAATATTATAGAGGTATATCAATATTAATTGCCTATGTCAGGCAGTTAATAAAAATATTATTTTCTTTTACTATTTTAGTTTTCTGTATTTTCTAATGTTTGCAGAATGCATTAGCTTTATAAAATTTTAGTTTACTATCATTTCTCTTTTCATTCAAAATAAATATTCATGTTTATATCTAGTTTTGTATTTGGAATTTTACATGATGTTTCTTAAAGAATACCCCTTCTTTTCCCTTCCACACATTTATATGCTTTAGGCCTCATGAAGCTTGTCTGCCCAGACTTGGACTAATCCCAGTTTCTCTGCTTCTCATTCATAAACATACTACTTATACTAGCTTTTTTCTTGAGGGATAATGATGGTTGATTTCCATGTATTACTTGCGCTGGGTTTTCCAGAGGATGTGAAGCTGAAGATAATACCAATTTAGTTTTCTTACTATGCTCCCAAGCACTGTCTAAAAAAGATGAAATGCAAAATGGCTTTTGAACCACTTGGCAGCCATTTGGAAAACTAAAATGAAATTGGATCACTACCTTGCTCTTTGTATCTAATACATTCCAGGTGGATCAAAGATATAAACAAAAAAAAATGAACTTACAAAATGCTAGCAAAAACATAGCAGAATTTCTATATAATAACAATGTGGCAAAAGGCTTTTTATGTTTGATACAAATCCCAGAGGCCATAAAAAAGATTGATAAATTTTAATGCAAAAAAATGAAAAAATTTTACTTGTCAAGAAATAATAAAGTTAAAAGACTAATAAGTTGAAAAAATGACTATAACGCATATCCCATAGGGTTTATTTCCTTAATATAAGAATAACTCCAGGCCGGATGCAGTGGCTCACGCCTGTAATTCCAGCACTTTGGGAGGCCAAGGCGGGCAGATCACCTGGGGTCAGGAGTTTGAGACCAGCCTGACCAACATGGAGAAACCCTGACTCAACTGAAAATACAAAATTAGCCGGACATGGTGGCACATGCCTGTAATCACAGCTACTTGGGAGGCCAAGGCAGGAGAATCGCTTGAACTCGGGAGGCAGAGGTTGTGGTGAGCTGAGTTCATGCCATTGCACTCCAGCCTGGGCAACAAGAGCGAAATTCCGTGTCAAAAAAAAAAAAAAGAATTCCAACACATTGATAAGAAAAAGGACAAGCAGCCTAATAGAAAAATAGGCAAAAGAGATTAACAGATAGTTTACAGAAATGGAAATAAAGATAAATTGTAAACATAGGAAAACTTGTTCAATCACCCTTGTTATAAGAGAAATGCAAACTGGAACTGACAGTCAGATTGAAGAAGCTCTCAAAGTTTGTAACACATTGTATAGGTGAGGATATTGGGAAGTAAGTACACTATTGGTATAAGTGTAAACTGATAAACTTCTGGAAAGGGCAGATTAAATTTGACACAACAACTTCATTTCTCAGAATTAATATTATAGGTACATTTGTAAATTGTTGCAAGTGGAAGGGCATTCACTGTAGCATTGTTTATAATAGCAAAATGTCAAAACAACCTCAATCTCTATCAAAAGGGGACTTGTTAAATGCATTATGGTATATCTACCAATGAAACATTTTGCAGTGATAAAAAAATAGAGTAACTCTATATATGCAGACATGAAATCTGGTATGGTTTGAATGTGTCTCCCCAAAAGCAGGTGTTGGAAACTTAATCCCTAATGCAACAGTGTTAGGAGGTAGGACATAATAGGAGGTGTTTAGGCCATGAGGGCTCTAACCTCATCAATGAATTGATGGCAATTATAAAAGGGCTTGAGGCTTTGAGTTTGATCTCTGGCTATCTCTTTTTCATGAGTGCCCTCTTGCCTTTCTATCTTCTGCCATGCGGTGTGCTCTCTTGCCCTTCCATTTTCCACCAGGAAGGCTCTAGCCAGATGTGGACCCTTTAACCTTGGACTTCCCAGCCTCTAGAACTCTGAGTAATACACTTCTTTTCTTTATAAATTACCCAGACTGTGGTGTCTTGTTATAGCAAGACAAAATGAATGAAGACACCATCCTAAAGACACATTGTTAAAAATGCAATATTCAGGGTAGGACACTGACATTTAAATGGATAAATTCAAGGCTTAAACCTAGTGGTTGCCTCCAGCAGAGAACTAGGGAGTTGGGGGATGGGGGACAGGTAATGAGGTGGGTAGGTGGGTGGGAAGACTTACTTTTCACTACATATCTTTCCGTACTTTTGAATATTCTTTCATGTACCTATATTACTTATCAAAATGATACAATTATTTATTAAAAATAAGAGCTACCCAGTAACTAGGCTAGTTCCTGGCCTAGACAATATATCCTGTGGGCATCTGAGCACTGTTGGTAGTTCTTTCCCTGAAAATACATATTTAGTACATGGAGAAAAAGCAAGGTAGCCCCAGGCTGAAATATAACATTATCCTCTGTAAAGAAGATCGTCACTCCAACAGTGATCTGTGAATGATTGCTTAGGAGTTTCTTAGCTGTTGAAATACCAGTCATGGTCTAAGCTCAGGAGAACATAGAGAGCTTAGCATGTCTAAAGTGGAAGTCTATTCAGCTGTCCAATGTGGAGGAAGACTGAGCTGATAGATGGGATCTGGGCAGTGTGTGATCTAGAAAAGGGAGTCAAGAATAGAATTTGACAGTATTCATCTAGTACTGACTGAGGGAGAGGATGCTCTCTGTAGTGTACAGTTATGTCTTTTAGTTTTCCTGTAAAATTAGTAACTGCCATTTCAGGGATCTTTGAGTAGTGGCTAAGAACATGGCCTTTAGAGACAAACAGACCTGGATTCAAATCCCAGTTTTTTTCTATCAGCTAGATGATTTTAGGCAAATGCTAATTCTCTGAGCTCCAGTTTATGTATTATTAAAATGTGGATAATAACCTCTACCTCAAATACTCTTGTGGATTAAAAAAAAAAACAACATAGAAAAAGTCTAACACAGTGTCCAGCATATAGTTGGTGCTCACTAAATAATAACTATTATTTTTATTTACAGATGGCTTTTATCTTCTCTACCACTTAAGTGCCTAAAGATCAATTAATAATTGGAATGAATTAAATTGAATCAAACATTTAACATCTTGCTATTAGCAAGATAAACATAGCCTTCAGACAGGGTCTCCCAGATGAAGAGGGAAACTTAGACCTTTTTCTTTCTTTCTTTTGTTCCCTTATTTATTTATTTGGAGGCTTTTAGTATAAAAAATAAATGAAAAATTTCAAAACTGTGTTCCAAAAAATCGTGGTGTCTTTTAAATATTGTTTACATGAAACATAATAAAATATATTTGTGTTATTCACATGAAAATAGTATTTGAAATATGAACTGTATAGTGCACCACAGGTAGGACACAACATAGATGAAAGTTTCTTTTAGTCACTGTGCGCCTCTGGAACTGGATGAATGGTCTCCTTCGATGATAAAGTCAAATGTCTAAAGTTGAAGTTCTTCATGGAGATGAGAACCAGCCAGATGGCCATCTTGAATCCCCAGGCCCTGTTCTATGGAGCAAAGCAAAATAGAAAGGCAAACTCCTCTAATGGGCTACAAAACTTAGCATACACATTTTTCTCTTCCACTTGCTCAGCATTTCTAAGTTGCTAATGACAAAAGCCAGCATTTGTGTCTCATGTCTTCCTCTCGGCTGGTGTGACACAGTCTTTAATCTGGGCAGGCTGCCCCTTGGGGGCCAGGATAATGCCCTTGTAATGCAGGGAGCACTCAATCCACTCACATTTCCCTGTATCATGGTGAGTTGCTTCATCCCAGTTAAAAATCAAGAAATGATACAGTTAAAAGACTCTTCAAGAACCAAGAAATAGCTCCTAAGTGGGGTCTTCAGTTGGATGCCAAAGAGAAATGGCTCATTTTCTCCTTGGTTGAGTGAATTTTTGCTGCTGACCTGTAAATTCTAAACTATTTGAAAGTTACTGGCTGGGAAATTAATGGAAACTGAGCTGGAAATTTTTTCTTTCTTACCCTTATGTGTGATGCCTTATTTAAAATAATTCAGACTCAAAGTGAATTTCTAGCAAATGGTGCTAGGCTGCTATTAAATTTATTGATGGTGAATACATCATCCTTGCTTTTTATGTATGATGTCGCTGATGTGGTGATTTTTTTTAAGCCTCATGGTAAGACTTTTTAAAAATTCACCTTTTCCATGTGCCCCATAGTGCTAAGTGAGTTCAGGTTAAGACGCCATTTAGCAAATTAATTTACCATGTTGATATTTTATGGTAAAGCTTTGGAAAACCATTAAAGAAACCACATTTACTTTTTATATATTGGGATGTTTTTTATGTGCTAAGATTTTATATAAATTTGTTATTTATCTTGATGAAAGCCAGATAAATAAATGCTCCTATTGTGCCTAATAACTCAACTCTTTGCTTTCACAAGGCCAGAGCAAGGCTGAAAGGAAATTCATCTCAAAGCTATTAAGAAAAGCCAGATAGAAGGAGAGCATAAAAATGAAATGAACGATGGTGAAAGGGCCAGACCCTCTTCCAGCCTGCTCTACATCATCCCAGCTACCCAGATGGAACAAAGATTTAGAGTTCCAAACAGAATTCAAGAATAGAAAGAAACAATGCGGGATGGTCTGAGAAAGGGATCAATCCATCCTGTGTTCATAGGAGACACAGGGAGAAAAAGAAATCATTCGGTGAAAAGTCTCAGCAGCCCAAAGCAGAAATAATATGACCACCCGCAAACTGCCACCATGGCCCCCATTTGAATACACCTCAAAAGCAGCCCTTGCTTCTATTACTCTCTTTATTCCCCATATGTGTGAGGAGATGAAACAAAGGAATGAAGAAACTACCTGGGTGCCTCCTCCTTCATACTTAGGGGAGGGTTTGGTCCCAACGTTCAAGTTTACTGAAGCCCCTGGTGGCCAGAATGCAAAGAACATGATAGGTGATACGGACTTTGAGAATTTTCTCTAATAACCTACGGTAGGTGAGCTTTCTTTTTTCTTTTTCTTTTTCTTTCTTTCTTTTTTTTTTTGAGACAGAGTCTCATTCTGTCACCCAGGTTGGAGTGCAGTGGAACAATCTCAGCTCACCCTAGCCTCCACCTCCCGGGTTCAAGCAATTCTCCTGCCCCAGCCTTCCAAGTAGCTGGAACTACAGGCAGGCACCATCACGCCATGCTAATTTTTGTATTTTTAGTAGAGACGAGGTTTTCCAATGTCGGCCAGCCTGGTCTCAAGCTCCTGACCTCAAGTGATCCACCCGCTTTGGCCTCCCAAAATGCTGGGATTACAGGTGTGAGCCACCGCATCCGGCCAACCTTTCTTTTTAAAGTCCCTGCAACTGCACAGTTCAGAGCACAATCTCACTCTCCCGTATCATGTGATTGAGTCTGCATATCTTATCTTTCCATCAAGTTGGACGTCATTCCAAATTCCTGAAGAATCCAGTTTTTAGTTCCCACCTACCTAATGCTGTTCAGTCAGCTGTCATGTTCTTCTCATTTTTCTTGGTCCAAATCCTGTCTACCCCTCAAAGAGTAGCTAAAGCTATTTCCACTTTGAGAAACCTTTTGTAACAGCATAGGTCATTCATCGTGGCCACCTTTTTCCTATGTTTGGAGAATGACAGCTCTAAGGCACGTCTACTTTTCCCTACTACCATAATCATGCTGGATACCCATGTCCTCGGCTTCCTTTGCAGTTAGGGTGTGGTCATGTGACCTAGACTCTCCCAGTGAAATGCCCACACCCTAAACTAGCTGTGAGAAGAAGCTGGGAAATTGTAGACTCCTTTCTGGTGGCCAGTGGGGCCAGCAGCAGTGGCAGACCACCTGGCTCCCAGAGGCAGTAAATGGCTGTGTTTCCTGCAGCTGAATTCTGCTTTGGTGGTGGTGTCTTGGTAAGCAGCACAGTCTGTGCTCAGCAGTAGTGGCTGTGATATCTTTGCTGTTCCAGTTGCCTGCATAATTTGGAGCATTGTTTCTGCCTGCACGATCTAAGACTGGTTCTCCAGCTTCTCAGAGATTCTGTAATACACCTTCTAGTGTTTTGAAAACAGTTTTATTGTAATATCATTCACATACCAGATAACTCACCTATTTAAAATATGCAATTCACTGTTTTTAAGTAAATTCATAGAATTGTGCAACGATCACCACAGTGTAATTTTTAGGACATTTTTGTCCTATAACTGCCCCCCTCACACAAAAAAAACCATACTCATTAGCCACCAGTCACTTTCCATTCCTCCCTCAACTCCCAGCCTCTTAGGCAATGGCTAATCTACTTACATCTCTGTAGATTTGCCTATTCTGGGCATTTCATACAAATAGAATCATACAGTATGTATTTGTGTGTGTGTGTGTGTGTGTGTGTGTGTGTGTGTGTGTGACTGGCTTCTTTCACTGAGCATGTTTTCAAGGTTCATCCATGTTGTAGCATGTATCAGAATTTTGTTCCTTTTTATGATTGAATAATGTTCCATTGCATGGATATACCATATTTTCTTTATCCATTCACCAGGTGACGGACATTTGGGTTGTTTCTACTTTCTGACTGCTATGAATAATGCCTCTATGAATATTTATAGGTGTTTGTACAGATATTTTGATTTCTCTTGGGTATATACCTAGGAGTGGAATTGCTGGGTTATATGGTAATTATGCTTAACCTTTTGGGGAACTGCAAAACTTTCAAAAAGTGGCTGCACCACTTTGCATTACCACCAGTAAGGTGTGAGGGTTCCAATTTGTCCATATCCTTGCCAACACTTGTTATTATCTGTCTTTTTTATTATGCCATCCTAGTAGGTATGAAGCAATATCTCATTGTGGTTTTGTCCACTATTTTTTTTTTTTAGACAGAATCTCACTTTGTCACCCAGACTGGAGTGCAGTAGCACAATCTTGGCTCACTGCAGCCTTGACCTCCCAGGCTCAGGTGATCCTCCCATTTCAGCCTCCCTAGTAGCTGGGACTACACGCACATTCCACCATGCCTGGCTAATTTTGTGTATTTTTAATAGAGTTGGGGTCTTGCCATGTTGCCCAGGCTGGTCTTGAACTCCTGGGCTCATGTGATCCTCCCACCTTAGCCTCCCAAAGTGCTGGGATTACAGGCAAGAGCCTCCATACCTGGCCTGTCCACTAATTTTTAAATAAATTCCTTCTGCTTTAATTGAATTTCCTACAACTAGAATCCTCACTGATCCATTCTTTATTCAGTCCACTGAATTTATCCAAGTGTGGATAAATCCCTGGATGTAAGATGCATTTCTCCTTTCCTGGGTTGTAACCTACTGGGGATCAGAGAGCTGATCACCTACTTCTGTGTGTTTCCCATAGTGCCTAACCTGTAGCTGAGCAATTACAAGACTTTAAATGCACACTTGTTCATTGGGGGATTGTTGATTGGTTAATCCAAACAGTTCCTTACTTACCTCAAAATTCTGGAAACTTGTCTTTTATTCTCTCAGTAAGCAGACTCAATCATGGAGATATGTAGCAGGTACTAAGGACATGGATTTTGGAGACTGGTCAAATTTGATTCTAATTCTATCTCTACTTATTACTAGCTGTGGAACCCAGAACTAATTAATTAACCCCTCTGAGCTTTGGCTTTCCTATTTACAAATAGAGATGACAACAGGTATCTCAGATAAGTGTTATGGGGATTAAACTATATCCTGTATGTAAAATAATAGAACAATGATGCATGAAAATTGCTCAATAAATGTTAGTTTCCTCTGCACCCCCACATCTCTCCCAATCCTGTCCCTAGTTATCTGGCTGAGAGATGCACCCTAGCTAAATTTGCTGTTTTACATTGAGTACACAAGGACACAAAGGAGGAAGTGATAGACATTGGGGCCTACTTGAGGGTGGAGGGTGGGAGGAGGGTGAGGATCAAAAAACTACCTGCTGGATACTATGCTCATTATCTGGGTGACAAAATAATCTGCACACCAAACCCCTGCAACACATAAATTCCCTGTGTAACAAACCTGCACGTATACTTCCAAAACCTAAAATACAAGTTGGAAAAACAATTTGCTGTTTTACAGAATTATCAGGAGGATAGAGCAATGCTGCTCCTTACATGACTTAATATTCTTGCAAATGAGTATTATGTCAAGGGGTTACAACCATCTGGGGGAGAGAGGGAAAGACCTTACCCAAACCCAGTTTAGAGAGCAGAAAGCTGTTGATTTTAGAGAGCGCAAAGGTAAAGTTGCCACTGGAAAGGAAGGAACAGGCTGCAAGGGAGGCCTGAGCTCTGCTGTTTACATGTCCTGTTTCCCCAGAGGACTCTTTTTTTGGGTTATGACCACATAGGCATAGAAACTTTTCGAAGCAAAGTTGATGTTTGTTTCAGATGACCTATTTCTAGGGGGCATTGTGGGATCTGACTTGAAGAAGCCATGTGTATACCACAGGCTGAAGGATTAATTGTGGGGGGTGTCTTGCACGAATGTTGGTGTGTTTTGTGAAGACTGTTGTCTGTCACAGCTGTTTTTATCCATAGTACATTCAGAGAAAGTTTCCATCCTGGGGGGCTTAAAATAAAGCATCTAATTGAGTGAAACTTTTCCTGTAATGATTGTGAGAGGGTTGAGCTACATCTTTGTGATAAACTAATGGGAGTTGAATCTGGCTTTTGAATGAAGCTTACTTGGAGGACAATATAACTTGATATTTTGTGTTAAAATTTTCTTTATCTTTTACCAAGTAATTTAAATTCCATCAGCAGAGGTCAATATCCTGCTACAGGTTCCTCAGTGAGAGCTCAATAAATAAATCTAGAGGCGTTAACAGACAAATTTTTTTTATTAATGTGTAAATTATTGCATGGAAGGCCTTTGTGAGAGTGGGTTTTAGTAGTGAGCAGAGGGAAGTGATCATGGCGGGGAATCAGATTCCTAAACACGACACAGTGAATGAGAAAACAGCAGGCAGGATGGAGAGGCTGCAGATACAGAAGTTAATTTAACGTCTTGGTTTCCCAGAGACGGCTCTATCTGGCTTCATTCAGTCATTCAACATTTAGTGAGCACCTATTATAGACCAGGTTCTGTGCCAGGAACTTCAGTGACAAAGCAGGGCCTTTATTGTGAAAATCTTTTTGTTGTGTACGGACCTGAACCTAATCTTCCTTCCGTAGATTAGATCCTGGAACTCAGGAACCTGAATTCTAGCTTAACCCACTCGAACTGTAGCCAGCCTTTAGATCTGTGAGCATGAGAATAAGGGACTGTTGTCGTAAGCCTCTGGTTTTTGGGGTAGTTTGTTACATAGCATCATTGTGGCAATAGCTGATTAATACATTATAATAGATTTGGATTGTCTTCTGAAAGCATCAAGGAGCCACTAAAGAATATTAATCAAGGGAGAAGTAGATAACTTTTACCTTTCAGAATGATCTCTCTGGCTGCAATGATCTCCTGGGTAGCCACTGCTCCTCCATCTTGGGTGCCAGCATGAGATACATGGAGCAGCACTCAAGCCCAGAGTAGCTGCCAGTCCAAAGACAATGAGAGCCAAGTAGAGCATATCCTAACCAACCTGTAGCTTGCAACCTAAAGAATGGATTGAAGATGGCAAGACTAGACAGAGAGAGACCATCAAGGAGACTGTTGCAATCATGTAGGCTTGAACTTGGGAAGTGACAGTGGGAGAGAGGGGACTATTTAGGAGATAGAATTCATTGGCTATGGTGATGATCAGATGTGAGAGTTGCAGGAGAGAAAGGTCAAGGATAACTTGGTTGGTCAATAGGGCAGACAATAGTGCCCTTCACTGAGATATAACACTCAGGGGAACATATTGTTTTCCAGGGGGAGATGGCAGGAGAGGCAAACAGCAGATTCACTTTAGAGCATATTGAATTTGTGTGTTCATGAGATGTCCAAGTTATGTCTAGAAGACATTTAGATATTTAGTTGGCGTTATCAGCAAACAACAGCAAGAGGACCCCAGCAAATAGATGAACCTTCCCAAGGAGATTATGTAGTCTGAGAGTAAAAGAAGTCCAAGGACAGAACTCCAGAGAGCATGGACATTTAAAACATGGATCAAAGAAAAGGAGACTGAGAAGATGTTGCAGAAAGGAGGAGACAGTAGAATCATGCAAATTGAGAGAGTAAAGAGTTGCACAAAGGCGGGAGTGGTAATGAACAATTTTATTTATGTGTTTATTTATTTATTTTTAGATAGAATCTCTCTCTGTTGCCCAGGCTGGAGTTCAGTGGCATGATCTCAGCTCCTGTAACCTCTGCCTCCTGGGTTCAAGTGATTCTCCTGCCTCAGCCTCCCAAGCAGCTGAGACTACAGGCACGCGCCACCACACCCAGCTAATTTTTGTATTTTTAGTAGAGATGGGATTCGCCGTGTTGGCCAGGCTGGTCTCAAACTCCTTACCTCAAGTGATCTGCCCGCCTCAGCCTCCCAAAGTGCTGGGATCACAGGTGTGAGCCACCAGGCCCAGCTATGGGCAAATTTTGCAGAGAGACAGAGAGTGTATTAGTACATGAGCTAAAGTGATTTAATAACTGGTACTGGAGTGAAAAAGAATTGGGTTTGAGTCCTGGCTCAGCAGTTTATGGCTATGTAATCCTTATCTTACTTTTCAAAGGCTATTTAGTCATCTATAAGTTGGGAACAATCTCAGTATCTATCTCATATGGCTGCTGAAAGGACAAACGAGATTGTGGATATATGAGTACTTACCTAGGACAGTTTCTGATGGATAATGAGCCCTCATTAAATTCTAAATATTATTGTTATTGTTAGTCATTACTTAGCAAAAGCAGATCATTGGTGACCAAGATGAGGGCAGTTTCAATGACATGGTAGGGCAGAAGCGAGGACACAGTGGGTCAGGGAGTGAATAGGAGCTGAGGAATTAAAGAAACTCTTGCAGAAAATTCTATTGCCTGACATGAAGAAGAGAAAATATATAGGATAGTAACTTGAAGAGAAGCACAACTGAAGACAATTTTGCTTTGTTTTGTTTGTTTCTTTTACAAGAAATAAAGTTGGCGTGCTTATAAGCTGTGGAGAGAGTTTCAAGAAAGGAAAGAGAAAGACAATTGGCAAAGTAGGGTCTTATAGGAAAAAACAAATAGAACCCCAGGAATGAGTGGTGAATTAAGCCTTCAATTAGTGAAGACAAAAACAAAAACCACCCAGGCTTTCCACTGGAAAGGGAAATAAAGAAAAGTTTTTTAAAAGGTAAGTACAATGAAATGTTAAATTTTTTTTTTTGTTTTTGTCTTCTTGTTTTGTTTTGCTTTTTTTGAGACAGAGTCTTGCTGGAGTGCAGCGGCATGATCTCAGCTCACTGCAACCTCCGCCTCCCAGGTTCAAGCAATTCTCATGCCTCAGCCTCCTGAGTAGCTGGGACTACAGACATGTGCTACCACACCGGGCTAATTTTTGTATTTTTGGTAGAGATAAAGTTTTGCCATGTTGGCCAGGCTGGTCTTAAACTCCTCCTTGAACCTGCCTCAGCCCTCTCAAAGTGCTGGGGTTACAGGTGTGAGCCACCAGGACTGGCCCTGAAATTTTTATTTTCCAAATCCCAAAAAAGCTGGAGACGGTCAACTGGCCAGGCAGGGCTGCACCTCCAGGGAGAAGCCTTAGGAAGTGGGCTGCACTTCCCAGAAGGCTGTTCACGGATGTGAAGGTCATCTCAGGAGCAGGGGTTTTGGATGACTCCTGAGATAGGAGGCTGGGTATAAGGACACTGCCTTGGTGAGAAGCAGTGTGTGTTCCATGTGATACCATCCCACAACTCCTCAAGCCTTCAGTGAAGTTATGAAATTCACAAAATCGCTATTGTAATAGAATTTCCTGCAGAAAATGATGAGAGGAGTTAAGGTGAGCCTCCTAGCTGCCAGGGATTCTGGAGACAAAACACATGCAGAAGGAATAGACAAGCCCAAGGCAAGTAAGTGTTATATTTGCATAAACCTTAAGGAGGGTCTTTAGACTCATACTGGGAGGGAAGTTGAGAGTTTGGGTTAGGTCAAGTTACTTAAGTCTCTGCTGGGCAGAGGGACACCCAAAGTAACATCTCAGTCATATAAGTTTGTTGGGGAGGGTTGAACAATTTTGTCGAGGTTGTACCTATCTTACTACACACTCCCCTCACCACACACTATATATATATAAAAATATATACATACATAATTATTTTGTATTTTCCAGCTAAGTGAAAGGCAAAGGCATTCAGGGTTTTTAGGCAGGGTCTTTATTTCAAGTCAGGTTAACCTGGCCAAGTTTTTTTTTCTTCTTTTCCAGTCCCTACTGTATATTTAATTTCACAACTGACAAACCCATATTAAACTTTAAATCATGAAATTTTAAAAAACTCAATTGATGAAAGCTCATTTTCATCCAAGTTTCAGGACCATGTCATTTGTGTAAAGTGAGGTGCACCTGTGCCAATAATTTACAGTAAGCTTTTATTTAAAGACATGCATATCACATAATTAAAAAAACCAACAGCAATAACAACAACCTTCTCATCTCCCAGTGTAGCAGAGACCAGCAAGTATGATTGTCTCCACCTTGCAGGTGAGAAGCTGAAGCACAGTGAGACTGAATGACTTCTTCAAGTGTCCTTTGTATTCCAGAGCATCCCAGCTACTGAATACATGGTAAATCATGTAAACTCCCAAACAAGAGCAGTGAACAAATAAGCTATCATCTGTTAATATTTATGGAGCCCTTGTGTCATGCTCATCCTATGGTGATGCTATAAATTATTAAAATAAAGATGTGCAATGCACATTCCTGGACCTAAAAATCCTATAATCTGGTTAGGGAGACCAAACTTCAACACTTAAAAGTTTACAAAGAATTTTAGAAATAAATAATAACCTTTGGAGACAATGACAGAAAAAATCCTGAGGCATTTGTGATGTGAGTAGAAAGTAGAATAAAAAATAAATTGGAGGTCAGAAGAAAGGAGAGGCCAGAACGGGCTGGAGTTGACAGAGAAGACATCATGTGGGGGAGGGAATTTAACTGGACCTTGGAGAATGGAGAGTGGTTGTAGGGTCATCTTATCATTATTGTCTTGCTTATACAAGAGCAGATGTATAAACATGGAACCTCGTGAGTTTCCATTTGAGAGGACACTTTCAGACCAAATTCTGAAAACAATTCAGACTTCTGAATTAGCGTCAGTAAGTGTTAAGGGGAGGAGGAGATGG
The DNA here is from genome assembly GCF_000001405.40 of Homo sapiens. Classification (NCBI taxonomy): domain Eukaryota; kingdom Metazoa; phylum Chordata; class Mammalia; order Primates; family Hominidae; genus Homo; species Homo sapiens. The sequence continues at coordinate 48,025,138 of NC_000002.12, forward strand.
GAAGAAATGCACTGAAAGCTAACTTTCCTAAGATCCCATTTTCCCCCCTGGCAAGAACCAGCTCTGGGGATTAGGGGAGTTTACTTAGGATTATCACAACCCTGGATCTCACACATGTTCCCTTGTGCCTCAGATCTCTGGACTTGTGACATGAATGAATCCTCCAGCTGCCCTAGTTCTTGATGCTCTATTATAGTTTGCTCTTCCATGAGGTAAAAGTAAGAGAACTCTTTCCTAAACCTGTGCATTTTCCAAAATGTTCACTTCAGAGTTTCCTGAGACAGCCTCCTGGGATTGGCAAACACTGTGGCCTGCATAGAATCACGGCAGGGCAGGGTGTTGCTACCACTCATTTCTCAACTGGAAATCTGGTGGGCAAGAGCTATAAGAATAGATAGCTTAGAGACTCTACCCATCTGAAGACTGGATGGTCAGTTGGTGGGTGTAAAAAGTTGTTGAGTCCTCTGGACTCACTGGGTCCATTCTGGGCAGTGAACTTACTTACATCGGAACAACTTTTCAAGAATAGGTCCCTGGCATCCGTAACCAGAACTCAGCAGGCTCCGAACTTGTCCATTCTCTCGCAGGCTTTCCCAAATACACACCCTTGCCCTTTGTTATTCCTGAACACAAATGCCTTATTCCCTTATTATCTCATACAGTGAGGTTAGGTGACCCATAGAGAAGAACTTATTTGTAAGTATGTAGCCAACCTTGTTAGTAAGAAATAAAAATGCTGGTGTCAGAAATTAAGAGAATCTACAGAGGTGGAAGTATTTACATTTCATGAGCAATCTCATTACTTTAGAGTACGGATTTTAACAACTGTCAAGGAGGATGGCCAAGTGTCGAAGTCTCTTGTACATGGAGACAGGTTATACCTGGTCTTCCTACAGAGCATGGGTCAGGCCTTCATCCCTGGGTTATGAATGTCAAAAGAGTCAGCTAAGAGAACCCAAAATCCTTATTCTGTGCTACCGATGCAGGCTCAATTTCTCACAATATTCTTATGATATAGAAGCCCTGAGCCAAGCTTATAAACTAAATATTTGCATGGAATCAGAGAATCCTGTTGAAACCCCAGCAAAGAAAGCTATGGAAAATCTCCATGGAGTCATCTTCACAATCTAGGACACAAAGCAAAATAGACTTCAAGTGTGTTTTAAAATGTTCAAAGAAAGAGAGGAAGGAATAGAACTTGTAAGGGAAGAATAGAACATTATTTTTATTTTTATTTATTTATTTATTTATTGAGACACAGTCTAGCTCTGTCACCCAGGCTGGAGTTCAGTGGTGCCATCTCAGCTCACTGCAACCTCTGCCTCCCAAGTTCAAGCAAATCTCGTGCCTCGGCCTCCTCAGTAGTTGGGACTACAGGCACCCACCACCACTGCCCGGCTTATTTTTTGTATTTTTAGTAGAGACAGGGTTTCACCATGCTGCCCAGGTGGTCTTGAACTCCTGAGCTCAGGCAATCTGCCTGCCTTGGCCTCCCAGAGTGCTGGGATTACAGGCGTGAGCCACTGTGCCCAGCCAGGACATTATTTTTTTTTAAAGGAGGAATTTGAAAAAGAATCATGCCAGACTGTATCTTCCAAAGTTTCTTGCCGATAGTGGCCACAACAATGCTTTCCTATCTTACATGCTTTTCTTATAATGTGTACTTATATTTTTTCTATTAAGAGGTAGGGTCCCCTCCCTTGAGGGACATGCTTATGACTCTGTTGTGATTAATAGAATGTGGTATAAGTGATGCTGTGTGATTTCTGAGGCTAGATAGAAATGTGAGTCCATTTTTGCTTGCTTACTGGATCACTTGTGCTGGAGCTCTAAACTACTGTGTAAGGAGTCCACCTGCTTGGAGATTGTCACATGTGAGGAAGCCAAAATTAGCCCATGCAAAGAGACCACACATAGAGAGGTGCTGTAACTGCAGAGAGGAAAAGAGCTATCTGGCCACTCCCCAACTTCTCCAGTCCTCTGCTCTTCCCGCTGTAGGCATAGTCTGACTGCAATTACTTAAGAGACCCTAAGGCAAAACCTCTAGCTGAGCCCTTTTTGAATTCCTAACCCAAAAAATCATGAGCAAAATAAAATGATTGTTTTAGGCTGCTAAATTTTGAGGTAATTTGTTATGCAGTAATAAATAATTGGAACATATAGAAATTCTAGAAGTTAAAAATTTGAGGAAACCAATGAATAGGTTAAATAATAACTTAGATTAGTTGAAGAGAAATGACAGAATTAGATATATTCTAATCGCACAGACTGGAGAGAGAAAAGATAGAAAAAGTTAAAAGGAAATTAAGAGACATGGAGTTTGAAATAAAAGGTTACATTATACTTCTAGTAGGGATTGCAGAGAAAGACAATAGAGAAAGGAGGACAGAAAGTTTTGAAGAGACAATGGCTGAAAATTTTCCTGAATCGAAAACATGATTCCTCAGGCAGAAATTGCACAAATAATTGAGTAGAATAAGTAAAAATAAATCGAGATCTAGACATGGTATAGTAGACATATAAAAAGTCATGTGAAAAGAGAAAATCTTAAAGCTTTATGATGGAAAACACAGATTATCTATTCAGTTAAGCAATACGAAATATAGATCAATTGTAATTTAAAAATGATTTAGTAGGACTTGTACTTATGCGTATGAAGGATTAACTGCTATGGGAATTGCCCTCCCTATGTAAATAGCTAGAAAACCAGATAAAATGTATTAACCCAAATGTTCACTAATTTGTGAACAAATAAACCGATTGTGATTTATCCACACAGTGGAATAATAGTCTGCAATAAAAAGGCACTAAATAACATGAACGAACCTCAAAAGCATTATGCTAAACGAAAGGAACAAGATACAAAAGAGCATATGCTGTATGAGTCCACGTATGTGAAATTCCAGAAAATTCAATCTAATCTTTAGTGACTAAAAGAAGATTAGTGGTTGCCAGGAGTCAGAGGGGAGAAGAGGGACTAGAATATAAAGGGTCAGGAGGGAATATTTTTGGATGATGGAAATATTTTATACCTTGATTATGATGATGGTTATTTTACTGTACATTTATCAAAACTCACTGAATTTTGGCTGGGCATGGTGGCTCATGCCTGTTGTAATCCCAGCACTTTGGGAGGCCGAGGTGGGTGGATCACTTGAGGCCAGAAGTTGGAGACCACCTTGGCCAACTTGGTGAAACCCTGTCTCTACTAAAATTAGTCGGGCATGATGGTGCACATCTGTAATTGCAGCTACTCAGGAGGCTGAAGCACATTAATTGCTTGAACCCAGGAGGCAGGGGCTGCAGTGAGCCAAGATCCCAGCACTGCACACCAGCCTGGGTGACAGAACGAGACTCTGTCTCAAAAAAAAAAAGGTAGATTTTATTGTTTGTAAATTTACCTCAATAAAACATGGTCAAATACTAGAAATTTTATATGGTTCAACTGGCTAGAAACACAGAATGACAGCAGACTTTTCATCTGTAACAATAGATGCTGAGAGACCATAAATAATATTTTCAAAGCCCTAAGAAAAAAAATAGTATCCACGTACGAGTCTTTAGCTAGTTAAATGAGGAGTTTTCCAACATTAGTGATTTTGCATCAAAATCATCTGGAGGGTTTATAAAAATGCAGATTGCAGAGGCAATCCCTGGAATTTCTGCTTCAGTAGGTCTTGGGTGGGCTGAGAATATACCTGTCTAATAAGTTCCCATGTATTTCAGATTCAGCTATGAAAGGAACTATACTTGAGAACCACCAAGATAAACCATCACGTGAGGGGGCTAAAAAAGAAAAACTTCAGCCTTACAACAGCTAAGAGAGTTTAGCACCTACACACCCTCTCTGAAAGAACTAGTAAGAGCTTCTTCAGTATAAAAAAGACCAAATCAGAGCCAGTGAAAGGGAGGTAAGAAGCCCTTCTTTAAATATTACCGACACATCTCTCCCACCAAATTGCCAAAACAGCATTCTCTGGAGGAAAGAGAGTCTCTTTTATTCCATCCCGTAGAAGGTTCCCTCCCACTTGCCAAGAATACGTTGAATCACTTCTTATGGCAATAAAAAAGCAGAAAGGAAGGGAAGATTTGTTCTCTTACCCTTAATAGACTGAGAATTATCTTCTTGCTATAAATGTAAGAAGCAGTTAGCCATCAGTAGGAGAGACCAATCAGGGTATACGTTATAGAAGCCAGACCTTTTATGTAGTGGCAAAACAAGTGTGGGGTGGCGGGAGTGATCCCTGGGTGCAGGCCATAAAAGGTGCATTTTCTCTAGGGAATCCAAAAACAATAATAGAGTCAAGCTAAAGTAGATATACTTACTATTATCACTACATGTCATCAATTCTAAATAACGTCAGTGATAAAATACCCTTCCCCAGTAAAATATTTTGTTTGGTCTAAGTTCTAAACAATTGCTGAAGTTATCTGTTAAATTTTAATAATTTATGCAAACTTCAAATTAACACATTTTTATTACTTATCCTTTATCAATATTATATTAAACATGATAGCTAATATGGAGAGTTGCCAGTTATACAGTTGGCTCCAAATATATTCAGACTTAGGTACGTGCTTTTGTTTTAAGAGTAAGTTAGTAATGGTTCAAAATCATGTGAACTTGCTTTGTGTCTCCAACTCAAGAGATATTACACATTCCTACATTTAAGTAGTAGATTAGAAATAAATGGTCATACCAAAGTGATTATAAAAACAAAGAAACAAACTTGAGTTACTAAAATTGCATCTTTCTATGTAACCATTTAGACTTCTAAATTATTTTGGAAATTTAAATCAGTGGAACAAGATATAAAATTTGGGGTGATATATTTTGTTTAATAAGTGCAAATTTTAGTTTACTCATTTTTTTTACCAACTAATGTCTTTAAAATGAAAATTTCTGCCTTTTGAGTTTTTCTGTTGTTTTAAACTGTGTCATTATTCATTATTGTAAAACACCAATATGTAAGTATAAATTTTTCCAAATCTTTGACTCCAAAAATGTGTTATAATCAAAAAGAGTTAATCTATTACTGATTTCCTTTTATGCATTACAATATTTATATGCAGTATTTACTTTTTTACTGGGATGTATGTGCATACATACATACATATATCCATACACATTTAAATAAAATAAAACCCCCGTTATCTGTGTTTTTTTTCTAGCCATCATGATTATTTGTTCAATTTCATGATTACTACTGAAAGCAATTTTGTCATATAGAGGAGATGTTAAAAATGACCTGCTCTGGTGTGGGCAGATAGGAGTAGGTGTATGTGCCTTCCAGTAATGATCTCCTGGACACTGGGCCCAACTCTTTCAACAAAAAGGACAGAAAAATGGAAATAAATTTAATTTTGTGATTTTAACTCACTGCATTAAGTGAGAAAGCATCCCTTTAACTCCAGGGAATATGGGGTGGTGGCAGTGATGGGTTGGAAATGGGGAGCTGATATTGTAGCAATGGTGGTGATGTACTGGCCGCTGCACAGGGAGGCTATGCACAGAGAACAGCAACAGGAAACTCGCAAAAACTGAACGAACACCATTTTTACAATGGGGAATTGACTAGATGAGGGCATACACCACCTATAATCTCTGGAAGAGAAGAGACAGGGAGGTTTGGAGGGAAATCAAAGCCAAATGTTATTTCACTTGTCCTTCAAGCCTATAAATGTCACTAAAGCAGATGAGGCTTCAGTAAACAAAAGGTTATCTTGGCTTGAAAGTAGTCTTCTCTGAGTATAGTCCTATGACAAGAATCAATTATATTTTGAGTAGCAGTAGCATGAAAGATATATCGTATTTAAGAGTATATATGTGTTGACCTATTAAGAAATTACGCAGGCCGAGTGCAGTGGCTTACACCTGTAATCCCAGCACTTTGGGAGGCCGAAGTGGGTGGATCACTTGAGGTTGGGAGTTTGAGACCAGCCTGGCCAACGCGGTGAAACCTTGTCTCTACTAAAAATACAAAAATTAGCCGGGTGTGGTAGCGGGCACCTATAATCCCAGCTACTCGAGAGGCTGAGGCAGGAGAATTGCCCGAACCTGGGAGGCGGAGGTTGTGGTGAGCCGAGATCGTGCCACTGTACTCCATACAGCCTGGGAGACAGAGCAAGACTCCAGAAAAAAAAAAAAAGAAAGAAAGAAAGAGAGAAAGAAAGAGAAATTATGCAAAGGAAACTGCCAAAGGCAGCTCTCAACTTAATTTAAAAGTTGGTGAAGTTCAGCTTCTGTATCTGGCCTCATTCTGATGCTTTTAACCTCTGTTGTGCGTCCACTTTCTTTTCACAAGGCACCCAGGGTCATCCTGTTCTCCCTGAAGGATCGTCCGTCAAAATATTTTTTACACTAAGGTCTAAAAGACTAAAAACAGCCAAATATGATCTCATCTGGTGTATTCATTTTTTAAAAAATAAGCTTTTTATTTTGCAATAATTGTACTTTCACACACAGTTGTAAGAAATAAAACAGAGATCGGGTGCACCCTCTACTCAATTTCTTGCAAAACTAGAGAACAATATTACAACCAGGTTATTGAAATTGATTATCAAGATACAGAACATTTCCATCAACACAAATATCCCTCATGCTTGTCCTTTGAGAGCTTCACCCCCTTCCCTCCTGCCCCATCCCTTCCTTAACTCCTGGCAACCACAGATCTGTTCTCCATTTCTGTAATTTTTTCATGTCAGGAATGTTATATGAATAGAATTATATGGTATGTAGCCTGTGGGGATTGGCTTTTTTCACTCAGTATAATTCTCTGAAGATTCATCCAGGTTGTGTGTGTCAGTAGTTTACTCCTTTTTATTGCTGAGTAGTATCCATGGTATGGATATATCACATTTGGTTGGACTTTTTTTTAAAATTTATTTTACTTTAAGTTCTGGGTACATGTGCAGAACATGCAGTTTTGTTACATAGGTATACATGTGCCATGGTGGTTTGCTGCACCTATCAACCCGTTATCTAGGTTTTAAGCCCCACATGCATTAGGTATTTGTCCTAATGCTCTCCCTTCCCTTGTCCCCTACCCCCGACAGGCCCCCATGTGTAATTCTCCCCTCCCTGTGTCCATGTGTTCTCACTGTTTAACTCTCACTTATGAGTGAGAACATGAGTGTTTGGTTTTCTGTTCCTGTGTTAGTTTGCTGAGAATGATGGTTTCCAGCTTCATCCATGTCCCTGCAAAGGACATGAACTTATTCTTTTTTACAGCTGCACAGTATTCCATGGCATATATGTGCCACATTTTCTTTATCCAGTCTATCATTGATGGGCATTTGGGTGGGTTCCAAGTCTTTGCTATTGTAAATAGTGCTGCAATAAACATACGTGTGCATGTGTCTTTATAGTAGAATGATTTATAATCCTTTGGGTATATACCCAGTAATGAGATTGCTGGGTCAAATAATATTTCTGGTTCTAGATCCTTGAGAAATTGCCACACTGACTCCCACAATGGTTGAACTAATTTACACTCCCACCAACAGTGTAAAAGCATTCTGATTTCTCCACAGCCTCACCAGCATCTGTTGTTGTTGAACTATTTACTTGTTGAAAGACATTTGTGTTCTTCCAGTTTTTGAGCATTATGAATACAGTTGTTAGAAACTTTCATGTGCCAGTTTTTATGTAGACATACATTTTCATTTTACCGGAACAAATGAGTAAGAGTTCAGTTTTTTGGTCATGTGACATTTGGGTGTTTTGGTTTTTTTTTTAAGAAACTGCCAAATTATTTTCCAGAGTGGCTGTATCATTGTGCTTTCTCACCAGCAATGTACGGGTAATCCAGTTTCTCCACATTTTTAGCAGAATTTAGTGTTGTCACTTTTTTGTTCCAGTCATTCTGATAGATGTGCAATGGTATTTCATTGTGGTTTTAAAATGCACTTAATGGCTAATGTAGTAGAGCATCTTTTCATGCATTTATGTGCCATCTGTATATCCTCTTCTGTGAAATGTCCATTCAAGTCTTCTCTTCTTTTTTTTTTTTTTTTTTTTTTTCTTTTTTTGAGACAGAGTCTCGCTCTGTCACCCAGGCTGGAGTCCAGTGGTGTGATTTCGGCTCACTGCAACCTCTACCTCCCAGGTTCAAGCGATTATCCTCCTGTCTCAGCCTCCCAAGTAGCTGGAATTACAGGCACCCACCACAATGTCCAGCTAAATTTTGTATTTTTGGTAGAGACGGGGTTTCACCATTGGCCAGGCTGGTCTCAAACTCCTGAGTTGAGATGATCCACCTGCCTTGGCCTCCCAAAGTACTGAGATTACAGGCGTGAGCCACCGCACCCGGCCTCTCCTGCTCGTTTTGTGATCGGATTGTTGGTTTATTTACTGTTCAGTTTTGAGAGTTTTATTTTTATTTTTATTTTTTTGAGACAGATTTTCCTTCTGTCGCCCAGGCTGGAGTGCAATGGTGCGATCTTGGCTCACTGCAACCTCTGCTTCCAGGGTTCAAGCAATTCTTGTGCCTCAGCCTCCTGAGTAGCTGGGATTACAGGCATGTGCCATGATGCCTGGAAAATTTTTGTATTGTTTTGAGAGTTCTTTGTAGTTCTAGATATTAGTCTCTTGTCAGGTATGTGGTTTGCAAATATATTCTCCCAGCATGAGGCCTGCCTTTTCATCCTCATAACCGTCTTTCACAGAGCATATGTGTTAAAATTTTTATGAATTTCAATTTATCACCTTTTCTTTTTATGGATTGTGCTGGTGGGGGCTCTAAGATAGGGCCAAGGTTTTGTTTTTTTCTGAGGTGTTTGGCTGCAGCACAGCAGTTATTGTCTAAAAGTTTTCTGTCTTCCTAGTCCTTAGCTAGGTTTTTCTCCACACGTCTTAGGTCTGTGCTCATTGGCATTTCCATGTTGCCATTGTCTTTAGTACCCAATCTGGGACATATAAGGCAAAAAGAAAACTGAGGGAACTCACCCCCATGTCACTCCTTGGGTCTTGAGCTCCCTAGTCTCTACCTTCTTCTCTCTACCACTCAGAGTTCTTTTGTTTTTTTATACATTATCTAGAGTTTTAGTTGTACTTAATGGGAAGAATAGGGAAAAGTGTATCTACTCCATCTTCCCCAAAGAAAAAATTCTGCATTTAATTTTTATTAGGAATTTAGAAATAAAGTCAGATATAGGAATTTGGGATGTCAGATTTTTAAAAATAATAAGGCCAGTCTTAGTAAACTCTAAGAACACAGTTCCTTTGAAGTCAAAGTCAGGTTCATGGAGATGGATGTACACACAGAGGATTCACAGATCTAACTTAACACATTAAGACAAGCCACAGATAAGTAGGGAAATGTGTATGTTAATACAGGTCAAGAATAGTTGCTTTTAAGGCAGGCTGAACCAAGTCAAAATAGAGGAAGTAACTATAGGAGTGTCATGAGCAGAGCTCTTTCTTTGCATCAATCTGGGAAGGCTATCTAGAGGAAATAATGTTTCAAGAGTTGCTTTACAGTATGGGAAAAGGATTTGCCAACTGGATGATTAAAAAATCTGCAAGATGTGATATTTTCTAGTGCATTTCAAATTTCAGATATTTTGGGTTTTTGTCTCTTAAAGTTTCACTTATTTTTTTTTTCCGTTTTCCACTACTCTTCATTTTATGCATGTTTTCAACTACCTGATTAAATGAATGGAACATATTTATCACAGTGTTTCTCTGTGGAAAAAGCACTGAGTAGAAAATGGGTTGTGGAGGAGCTTTGAGATAAGTTGAAGAAGGTGATTGGGATGTAAAAGGTGAGAGAAAAAAGGTAAAATTAGACTCAGAAGTTTTCAGATGAAAATCCATGTGCGTGCACACCTATACATACATTTTTTTGCAGAACGATTTGAGAACATATTATAGACAGCGCCCTTTATCCCTAAATATTTCAGCCTGTCTTTTCTCAGCAAAATGTATAATTACTATCCAATAATCAAATTCAGGAATTTAACACTGATAACAGTACTATTATCTAATATTCAGTATATATTCAAAAGTTGAACATTCAAATTTTGCAAATTTCTCCAATAATGTCCTTTATAGTAATTTCCTTTTCCCTCTAATTTACCATCCAATCTATGATTGTGTATTGCATTTAATTATCAGGTTTCTCTAGTCTTTAATCTGTAACAGCTTCTTAACCTTTCTTTGTCTTTTACGACATTAATATTTTTGAAGACTATGAGCAAGTTGTTTTGTACAGTGTCTTTCAGTTGAGGTTTGATTCCAGATGATTACATTCAAGTAATATATCTTTGGCATGAATACTACATAAGTGATGTGTGTCCTTTTTAGTATCAGGAAATGCATAATGTCAATTTATCTCATTATTGGTGATAACTTTGATTACTTGGTTAAGATAATGTCCCCCAGAGGTTTCTCAGCTGTAAAGTTATCATTTCTCTCTTTATAATTAATGAGTACTCATTTCTGGCATGCTTTTCTCTCTTGTGTAAATCCAAATTTCCACCTCTTACCATTTTCCATCTGCCTGAAAATTTTTGTTTATCATTTTTTATAGGAAAGATCTGCTGTAAATAAATTGTCTCAACTTTGTGTAAAAATGTCTTTATTGGCTGGGTGCAGTGGCTCATGCCTGTAATCCCAGCACTCTGGGAGGCTGAGGCAGGTGGATCACTTGAGGTCAAAAGTTCAAGACCAGCCTGGCCAACATGGGGGAAACCCTGTCTCTACTAAAAATACAAAAATTAGCCAGTCATGGTGGCGCACACCTCTAATTCCAGCTATGTGAGAGGCTGAAGCACGAGAGTCGCTTGAACCTGGGAAGCAGGGGTTGCAGTGAGCCAAGATTACATGACTGCACTGCAGCCTGGGTGATGGAGTGAGATTCTGTCTCAAAAAAATAAAAATAAAAATAAATAAAAATTAAAAAAATAAAAATATCTTTACCTTCATTTTTGAAATACAGCTTTGTTGGAGAAATAATTCACTTTGGGAGGCTGAGGCAGGTGGATCACTTGAGGTCAAAAGTTCAAGACCAGCCTGGCCAACATGGCAAAATCCTGTCTCTACTAAAAATACAAACATTAGCCAGCTATGGTGGTGCACACCTCTAATTCCAGCTACTTGGGAGGCTGAAGCATGAGAATTGGTTGAACCTGGAAGTGGAGGTTACAGTGAGCCGAGATTGCATGACTGCACTGCAGCCTAGGTGATGGAGTGAGACTCTGTCTCAAAAAAATAAAAATAAAAATAAATTTTAAAACTAAAAATGTCTTTACCTTCATTTTTGAAATGCAGTTTTGTTGGAGAAAGAATTCTAGGTTTTTAGTTTTCTTCTTTCAGTAAAGATGCTTCTCCATTGTCTTCTGGATTGCATAGTTTCTGATGAGAAATATGTTGTAATTCTTAGTGTGTATCATGCCTTTCCTTTTATTCCCTTTTTTTGAGATGGAGTCTTACTCTGCCACTCAGGCTGGAGTGCAGTAGTGCAATCTCGGCTCACTGCAACCTCCAGTTCTTGGGTTCTTGGGATTACAGGTGTGTGGCACCACGCCTGGCAAATTTTTGTATTTTTAGTAGAGACAGGGTTTTGCTGTCTTGGCCAGGCTGGTCTCAAACTTCTGACCTAAAGTGATCTGCCCACCTCTGCCTCCCAAAGTGCTGGAATTATAGGCATGAGCCACTGTTCCTGGCCATATCATGCCTTTTCTTAATTCATTTGAAATTTTCTCTTTATTTCTAGTTTTCAGAAATTTGATTATAATGTTCTTTGGCATGGTTTTCTTCAGGTTTATACTGCTTCTGGAGGTGGTGGCTTAGATTATTTTAGATTTTTCTGCCTTCTAACATAAGTAATGAAAGCCACGAATTTCTCTCTAAGCATTGCTTTGCCTTCATACCATAAATTTTGATATGCTGTGTTTAATTTTCATCCAAACCAAGATGTTTTTGAAGTTCCCTTGTGATTTCTTCAATCACCCATGGGTTATTTAGAAGTATGCTGTTTATTTTCTAACAATTTGAGATTTTCACAATTTCTTTCTGTTGACTTCTAATTGAATTCTGTTGTGATCAAAGAACATACTTCAAATAATTTCAGTCTTTTTAAATTTATTGAAACTTGTTTTATGGCCTAACATATTGTCTATCCTGGAGAATGTTCTATAGGCACTTGAAAAAAAATGTGTATTCTGCTGTTGTTGGGGTTGTGTTCTACAAATGTCCGTTAGGTAAATTGGTAGATAGTGTTGTTCAAGTATTCTATATTCTTACTTGTTTACTGTTTAGCTCTATCAATTACTGAGAAGGGAGTATTGAAGTCTCTAACTGTAACTGCTGAACTATTTTTTCTTTCAATTCTGTTAGTTTTTGCTTCAAGTATTTTAGAGCTCTATTATTAGGTGCATTTATACTTTTATAATTCTTGTATCTTCTTACTGATGTATTTTATCCTAATACAATAACCTTTCTAGTAATATTTCTTGTCTGAGTGTTTGTTTTGTCTGATATTAATTTGACCACTTAAGTTTCTTGTGTTTACTGTAAGTATGATATGCCTTTCATCATCTGTATTAGCTGGGTTCTCCAGAAAACAGGATATGTATACACATACATATACCTAGATATATGTGCTATACAATACATCTTAATTATCACAATCTACTTCAGATTAATACTGATTTAATTTCAGGAAAATATAACAACTATGCTCAAATATAACTCAATTTTCACCTCTTTTCTTTGTGCTAGTATTGTCATACATTTTAATTTATATGTGTTATAAACCCAGTAATAGTGTTATAATTATTGTTTTATACAGTCTTGTATTTTCAAAGAAATTTAGAAAGAGAAAATATATTTATGTATATTTTATATTTTATATATTTATATATATTTATTGTAGATCATATTTCTTTATCTTTTTAATTTGTGCACATGTTTACTATTGCTGTGCTCTTTGCCCTGTGGATTTAATTTACCACCTGGTATCATTTTCTTTTAGCCTGAAGGACTTCCTTTGGTATTTCTTGTATGAAAGGTCAGTTAGCAACACATTCCCTGAGTTTTTGATAATCTGGAAATATCCTTATTTTTAGTTTTGATGGATAGAGAATTCTTGATTAAAAAGTTTTTCTTTCAGCATTTTGAATATGTCAGTCTACTGCCTTCTGTCCTCCATTATGTCTGACGAGAAGTCAACTATTAATCATACCTTTTTTCCCATGTAAAAGATGAGTCATTTTGCTATTACTTATTTCAAGATTTGTTTTCTTTGGTTTCAACTTTTTTTTTTTTTTTTTTTTTTTTTTGAGACGGAGTCTCGCTCTGTAGCCCAGGCTGGAGTGCAGTGGTGCGGTCTCGGCTCACTGCAAGCTCCGCCTCCCGGGTTCACGGCATTCTCCTGTCTCAGCCTCCCGAGTACCTGGGACTACAGGCACGTGCCACCATGCCCGGCTAATTTTTTGTATTTTTTTTTTTAGTAGAAACGGGGTTTCACTGTGTTAGCCAGGATGGTCTCGATCTCCTGACCTCGTGATCCACCCGCCTCGGCCTCCCAAAGTGCTGGGATTACAGGCGTGAGCCACCGTGCCCGGCGGTTTCAACTTTTTTTACTATGATGTTTCTAGTGGTGGATCTTTTTTATTTTATTGTACGTGGGGTTTGTTGAACTTCTTGGATTTGAAGATTAATATTTATAATCAATCCTGGAGAATTCAGAGTATTGTTAGTTATTTCTTTAAAAGTTTTTTCTGAATATTTCTCTCTCTCCTTACCTTCTGGTGCTCCTATCACAGGTACATGGCTATGCTTGATGCTATCCCACAGGTCTTTGAGACTGGTAATTTTTCATCAATTTTTTTTTTCTTTTTATTCTTCAGATTAAAAAATTTCTGTTAATCTGTCTTCAAGTTGCTCATCGGCTAATTCAATTTTGTTGTTGAGCCCATTTAGGGAATTTTTCATTTTAATTATTGTACTTCTCAACTCTAGAATTTCCATTTGATTCCTTTTTTAATAGATACTATTCTTTTATTGAGAGTTATTTTTAGACATTTTCATATTTTCTTTTAATTCTTTAAATATGTTTTCTTTAATTACTTGAATATATTTACAAAGTCTTCTTAGAAGGCTTTACTCAATACAGTATCTGGGCCTATAAAGTTAGTTTCTACTGATTGATTATTTTTCCCCTGAATGTGGGCCACATTTTCTCATTCCCTTGTCTTGTCTTTTTCTTTTTTCTTTCCTTTCCTTTTCTTTCTTTCTTTTCTTCTTCTTTCTTTTTTCTTCTCTTTTCTTTTTCTCTTTCTTTCCTCTTTCTCTTTCTTTCTCTTTCTTTCTTCTTTCATCTTCTTCCTCTTTCTTCCTTTCTTCTTTCTTTCTCCCTTCCTTTCTTCCTTTTTTTCCTCCTTTCTTCCTTTCCTCCCCTCCTCCCTTCCTCCCTTTTTCCCTTTCTCTCTTTCCTTTTTTTTGAGACTGGATCTTGCTCTGTCACCCAGGCTGAAGTGCAGTGGCATGATCAGGGCTCACTGCAGCCTTAACCTCCCAGGCTCAATTGATCCTCCCGCCTCCACCTCCCGAGTAGCTGGGACTACAGGTGCATGCCACCATACCCAGGTCATTTTTGTATTTTCTGTAGAGACGGGGTTTCACCATATTGTCCAGGCTGGGCTCAAGTGATCCAGCCACCTTGGCCTCCCAAAGTGTTGGGATTATAGGTGTGAGCCACCAAGCCCAGTCTTCTTGCATTCTTCTAATTCTTGTCAATGCTATACTGTAGCAACTCTGCATTCTGATTTTTTCCCCTGATTAAAAAGAAATTTGTTTGAACTTAAATGGTGGAATCTTTTTTCCCTGTGGGTTTCAGGCCACTGCTGATGTCTCTGCTCAGATTTTTTATTCTGATTTTTATTCTTTATCGAGGCTAACTAGAGTTCATCACTGTATCAGCATAGCTTAGTGGTCAGCCAATGATTTGAGCAGAGATTTTGCTTAAACACCTTGAGTCCACAGGCATTCACTTACCCTTCTGCTGGCCTATCTATCTGTAGATTGAGGAGTGGGTACATTCAAAGTTCAGCTAGTTCTCAAGTGTGCCTTGACTTTTTTCTTTCCACTGGGGCTCGCTTGGGTTTTCCCTGTGTATGTGTATTGTTTTCTAGTCAGTCAGGGATGGGTGGAGGGCTAATCTAGATCATCTGTGGCTATGGCATTTCTAGGATCTCCTTGTCTACCTTTTCTCACTGATTGACCCAACTGTGATCAGAAACTCAGGCTAACAGGGTTGTGAGTTTTACCTCTTCATTTCCTACCAAACTTGCTTTTTTTTTTTTTTTTTTTTTTGACTGACAATGCTGCCATGCTTCCAATGCCTTTTGCTTCCTGTCCCAAGTCTAGTCTGCCCTCTCTGGCAGCAAAGCTTCTGATTTTTACAATCTGCCTCACCTTTTTAAGGTTATCATTCTCAGCAACTAAACTGGGAATGGGAGAATGGGAGTGGACCCAGGCAGGAAGACCACAGATTCCTGAGGTTCTGATCTGAGGTCCCAGCAATTAAAAAAAAAATCAATAAATGCCTCATAATTTATTTCCCTTTGGTCATTTTTCAGGGTCCTGAAATAGTTGTTTTTGACAATTTTGTCCAGATTATACTTGTTTTGTGAAAAGAGGACTTACCTACCTCTTAATTCTGCTATAGCCAGAAGCCCTGTCTACATGTTTGACAATTTTTTAATTGGATGCCAGACATTGTGTATTTACCTTGTTTGTTGCTGGATTTTGTTTTATCTCTGTAACTACGATGGATTTTGTTCTGGTGCACAGCTGTTACTTGGCTTCATTTGGCTTATTTTGAGGCTTACCTTTAAGCTTTGTTAAGGCAGATCTAGAGCAGCCTTTAGGCGAGAGCTAATTTAACGTTACTGTTAAGGTGTTGCCCTTTCAAGAACTCTACTCAAGTCCTCATGTACTATGAGTTCTTTTTTTTTTTTTTCTTTCAACTTTTAAGTTCCACGGTATATATGCAGGATGTGCAGGTTTGTTACATAGTAGGTAAACATGTGCCATGGTGGTTTGCTCCACAGATCAACCGTCACCTAGGTATTAAGCACAGCATCCATTAGCTATTCTTCCCGATGCTCTCCCTCCACTCACCCCTCCAACAGGCCCCTCCATCTGTTCATGTGTTCTCATCGTTCAGCTCCCACTTACGAGTGAGAACATGCAGTGTTTGGTTTTCTGTTCCTGCGTTAGTTTGCTGAGGATAACAACTTCCAGCTCTACCCATGTCCCTGTAAAGGCCATGATCGCATTCCTTTTTATATCTGCAGAGCATTCCATGCTGTTTATGTACCACATTTTCTCCATCTAGTCTTCATCAGTAGGCACTGGGGTGATTCCACGTCTTTGCTATTGTTAATAGTGCTGCAGTGAAGATATGCATGCATGTATGTTTATAATAGAATGATTTATATTCCTTTGGGTATATATACTCAGTAATGGGATTACTTCTAGATCTTTGAGGAATCGCCACAGTGTCTTCCACAATGGTTGAACTAATTTACATTCCCACCAACAGAGTAAAAGCATTCCTTTTTCTCCTCACCCTCGCCAGCATCTGTTGTTTCTTGACTTTTTAATAATTGCCATTCTGACTGGGTAAGATGGTATCTCATTGTGGTTTGGGGTTGCATTTCTCTAATGATCAGTGATGTTGAGCTTTTTTTCAGTTTTGTTGGCTGCATGAATGTCTTCTTTTGAGAAGTGTCTGTTCATGTCCTTTGCCTATTTTTAATGTGGTTGTTTTCTTGTAAATTTGTTTAGGTCCCTTGCAGACTCTGGATATCAGACCTTTGTCAGTTGGATAGATTGCAAAAATTTTCTCCCATTCTATGGGGTGTTTGTTTGCTCTAGTGATAGTTTCTTTTGCTGCTGAGTTCTTTTTACTCTGAGTAGTAGGAGCATGAACTATTTTAAGATCTATGAATTGTTCTGCCTACTCCTTTCAGTTGGTTCTTTCTCTGGCTTAGGGTAGATTCTCTACACATGTTATAGATCAATACTCAGCGAGAGACTTGATGAGATTTCTCTGCAGACTTTCGGAGTGCACTCTCTCCCTATGCTGCTCACATCTTCTCCAATACTCTACTCCACAAATTCTAGCCATCTTAATCTTGCCTAGCTAGATCTCTATCTGTGAAATTCATGGAGATCTGTTTGGTTTACCCCTCCCAGTAATATGAACTAGAAACTGCCTGCAATTGTAGGGCTCACCTTGTTTGTTTCCCTTCTTCCAGGGACTACAGTCTTGTACTACCTGTCTGAAATAGTTATTTTATATATTTTGTTCATTTTTTCTCATCTCTTAGGGAAGGAGAGTAGATCTTATCTCTGTTACTCCATTTTGGCTGAAAATAAAAGCTAAAGATTTTAATTAGGGAAGAGAAGTCAGTTTCTTCATGATTTGAGATTACTGTGGTTGCTTTGTAGATAATGAATTATATGGAAGTAAGATTTGTCAGTTAGGAGGTTTTAAGTAGTAGTCCAGGGCAGAGATGAATGGTTGCCTGGTCTAAAGAAGTTGTGATTAATGAAAAGCAAAAAAAAAAAAAAAAAAAAAAAAAAAGGAAAAAGAAGATAGATTGAAATGTGTCTTGGACATAAAATGGATAAGACCTGCTGATTATTTGGATGTAGTAGGCGATGAAGGAAAGTGAGCAGAAAAGGATGACCCTGACTAGCCTGAAGCCCAGCCAATTTTTATTTCCTTTAGCCTCTTTTAAACCTGTAACTTGACTTCTTATTCTGCCTTTACCATTCTGTTCTTTGAGCCCAATTTCCTTCCTTATTTCTTGCTTCCTTCTCTGACAACAGAAAATGCTGAATGGTCAATCCTGTAAATATGGAAGAGAATGTATTAGTTATGTATTTGATGGGCATTGAAGCCCCAGTAGAGACAACTGATTCAGTGGCCCATGTCAAATGGCCCCAAAGAGTAGATGAGGACTCAATAGAACCAAATCAGGTAGGACGTATAGGATCCACTATTATAATCTAATCAGCAAGATTTCAGGCAAGCAAAGATTTAAAATAGGTCCCACTTTAAGGAGTGTTCCAAAAAAGGGAAGGGTTCTTCCACTGATTGAGGCTTTAGCTGAGGAAAGCTCAGAGCCATGTGGTTGGCCCTATCCTGGGGCTGACAGTCATAGCAAGCATAACTTCCCTAGATATGAGGGGTTTTCTTGTTTATCCCAGTAGTCTGTGGCATTTGTGCTCAAAACAAGAGTCACTTCCCCTAAGAAGCGTGGCCTTTAATTACAGGCTTTGTATTGGGAGATCCCAGAGCATGGAGTACAAGAGGCCGGAGAGATATCTTAAACTTTGTGTCAATGCAGTGAACAAAAACCAGTCACCCTTGAGGACTGGGCGTGAGTCTGGAGATGGAAAT
Source organism: Homo sapiens (assembly GCF_000001405.40). Taxonomy (NCBI): domain Eukaryota; kingdom Metazoa; phylum Chordata; class Mammalia; order Primates; family Hominidae; genus Homo; species Homo sapiens. Next base: position 48,043,560 of record NC_000002.12, read on the forward strand.
CAGGCTGTTCCTGGGAGTCTCTGGAATTCCTCTGCAGGTCTTAGTGCCACATAGTTTAACATGGCATTATTTTGTGCATTATTCTGTAACTGCTTTGTTATGTCTCAGTTTTTAAATCCTCAGTTAGTTTCTGAGGGCTGCCACAACAAAGTACCACAAACTGGGTGGCTTAACATAAATTTACTGTCTCACAGTTCTGGAGGCTGGAAGTTCAAAATCAAGGTGTCAACAGGGCTATGTTTTTCTTCCATCAGCAAGAAAGACTACTCAGGGACCGGCATATTTACTTTATTGGACCAGTTATGTCAAGTCTAAAGCTACATTTTCCTATGAAACCTATGGGGAAGAATTCTGCTTTGACTCATTTAGCTTCTGTGTTTGCTGGAATCCTTGGCATTCCTTGGCTGATACGTACGTCATTCCAAAGTCTTCCTCTGTTGTCACATAGCTATCTTCTTCCTCTTTGTCTCTGCACCTTTTCTCCTCTTCTTATAAGGACACCAGTTGGTTATATTGGATTAGGGACTCACCCTACTCCAGTATGACTTGTTCTTAACTAACACATCTTCAGTAACCCTATTGTTAAATAAGGTCACATTCCGAGGCACTGGGAGTTAGGACTTTTTTTTTTTTTTTTTTTTTTTTTTTTTTTTTTTTTTGAGACGAAGTCTCGCTCTGTCGCCCAGGCTGGCGTGCAGTGGCGCGATCTCGGCTCGCTGCAAGCTCCGCCTCCCGGGTTCACGCCATTCTCCTGCCTCAGCCTCCCGAGTAGGTGGGCTACAGGCGCCAGCCACCACGCCCAGCTAATTTTTTTTTTGTATTTTTAGTAGAGATAGGGTTTCACCGTGTTAGCCAGGATGGTCTCGATCTCCTGACCTCGTGATCCGCCCGCCTTGGCCTCCCAAAGTGCTGGGATTACAGGGGTGAGCCACCGCGCCCGGCCGGGAGTTAGGACTTTCACATTTCTTTCTGGGAGACACAATTCAACCTATAAGGTTGAGGACCGTGTCTCGGACTTTCTTCACATCAAGGAAACTTAGAGCACTGCTAGGCAGTTTTCTGCTTTGGGTAGAACTGAAGGAAAATTAAGGACTATGATTTCTTTTAAATAAACAGATTTCGGCTGGGCACAGTGGCTCACACCTATAATCCTAGCACTTTGGAAGGTCGAGCCGGGAGGATCTCTTGAGCCCTGGAGTATGAGGTTACAGTAAACTATGATCAACTCCACTGCACTCCAGTCTGGACAACAGAGTGAGACCCTGTGTCTAAAAAATTAAAATAAATTAAAATAAAATGAAACAAATTTTATATAAGGATATAATATGTTTAATTGTAACAGAATAGTACTTTGATATTAACTGATATAAGTTCCCTATGATTCTTTTTATTTATCTTACAGCCCTTCCCTCATTCTTGAGATATAGATTGTCTTAGGAAAGGTTGTTGCAGAAAAATCGGAGAACAAAAGAGTGAAATTTTACCTTTTGAGTTTTAAAAGCTTAGGTCCAGAAAGAAGGCAAAAACATTAAGAATAATACTTGATTAATCAAAGATAGTTCTTTCTCCCTCCTTTCTATCTGAGATTAGATAAAGTGTCCAGAACTGGGGGAGGAATAAGAGGAGCATCTGAGAGAAAGCAGGACCAGTTTTTTGTTCCTCAGCAGGGGTCATATGGCTTGCCCCCAGGTCAATTCCTGAGGAGTATGAAGGAAGCAAGATCTTCCCCAGATGGGAATAGGGATTTAGGAGAAGAGGAAGATTATATCTTGCTTTCAGGGAAGTTTTAATACTTGTAGAATTTTCCTGTCCAGGTAGGATAGAAGCAGAGTTGAGTGTTTCCTCTATCTCTGAGAGGGGCACAGAAGTACTCAAGGTAGAGCCAGCCTGGAGAGACCTAGTGGTCAGGAGCAAGAGGCTGAGAAGGGCTCTGGGACCAAGGCCCAGCTAAATGATGGACATCTCAACACATGCAGTTACAGAGAGATGACGGTGCCTCCCTTCCTATGCCATAAACTCATGTAATCCCAAAGATAGGTCCCTGGATTGACTCACTAGGTTTCTACTACTATATGGAATGAGGCTCATAAAGTAAATTATGTTTGGTTATTAAAAAATAAAGTTAATTTCTTTCAATCCTTAATTTGTGACCTGAGATTTATTTCAACTCCATAAAGAAAATGATCATTCTACACTTGCAAGCTGCCTCATATTTCTAGGTGGCCAGTGGGAACTGAAACTGTTCTCTGGGCAGCCAAGTGTAACATCAGCATTTTCCCAGACTACAGAAGTTATTTCTGTACCATGTTACCCATGTTACCCATTATTCTGAAGCAATCGATGTGTTAAAATGGTAGAATAGTCTTTGAAAGGCTCAGTTATCACACTAGCTGGGTGGCAACACCTTGTGGGACTGGGTCAAGGTCCTTCAGGTTGTGGTTAATGTTCTAAATCAATATCCATTCTATAGTGCTATTTCTACCATGGCAAGCTTTACAAGTCTAGGAAGCAAAAGGTGGAAATGGAAGTTGTTGTTCTCATGATCATCCCTAGTGATCCACTAGCACAATTTTTTTTTCATCCCCAAAATTTTAGGCTCTACTGCTCTAGAAGTCTTAGTTCCAAAGGAAGAAATGCTTCCACCAGGGACACAATGATTCCATTGAACACTCAGTTGAGAAGACTGCCACTTGGCCACTTTGAGCTCCTAATGCCACTGAATGAATGGCATATCAAGAAAGGGGTTACTATACTGGCTGTGTTGACTGATCTTGACTATCAAGGGAAAATTAAATTGTTACCATGGAATGAATGGCTATGTCTAGAATGCAGGAGACCCTCTAGGGAAACTTTTAGTATACTCATATTTTGTGATTATTAAGTCAGTGTAAAACTACAACAACCTCCAATTCAAGCAGAACTGTTAATGGTCAGACCTTTTAGGAATAAATTTGGAAACAGATAAGGAACTGTGACTAGTTACAGGGCTTGATAAGGAAATATGAATGCTTAGTAGAAGAAGGCAGTTATAAATACCAGCTATGACCACATGAACATTGCAGAAAAGAGGACTACGATTGTTGTGAATACTTACTTCGATGTGCATATTATGTATATATTAACCAAATATTTTTGTTTTCTTCCTTCCTTCTCATCTCCTTATCTAATATAATATATGCTAAGTTAACTTTTTTCTCAATACTTAAGTTACAAGATATCAAAAAGTGACATGTGAATCAATTAGGAGAAGAATAAAAGATCACCCAAATCAAAAAGAGGACTTTTTATTCTCTTTACATAAAAGAATTAACGCAGGGCTCAACAAACTATGGCTCATGAGCTGGTCATCTATTTTTATAAAAAAGTTTTTCTTGGAACACAGTCATATTCATTCACTTATGCATTTTCTATGGCTGCTTTCATGATACAATGCTAGCATTGAATAGTTGCAACAGAAACTATGTGACCTATAAAACCTAAAATATTTGCTATCTGGCTCTTTAAGAAAAAGTCTCTGACCCCTGAGTGACCATATTTTTGGTTGCATGGCGATAATTGTATTATGTTAGGCAGAAGCATGACTTTATTATTTCCTTTATTTGGAGGTTAACTATGGAGATATGTATGCCTGCAAACTTGGCAAAGAACAGACTGAAGTGGCTTTGTAACGTGTTGCCTTGACTAGGCTGAACTACATTTCCCAGAATTCCCTTTCTTGAATGTTTCCAGTTAGGCTGTATTACAAGAGAGATTCCCCTGGGGGATTTGGAGACTGTAAATGAAGCAACAGCCATTTTGAAACACACATACCTTGTCTGTTTCCTTGTTGGTGTGGGCAGTGGCCAGGACTGGAACTGCTCCATCTTCCCCTGGATCCTCCTTCAGCTTCTCTGACTCTTGGGCCAGGAGTGTGTGTGTGTGTATCTGTGTGTGTGTGTGTGTGTGTGTGTGTGTGTGTGTGTGCGCCTAATTTCATGACAAAGGGCCCTGGCTTCTGCATGACCAAGGTCAGAGGCAACAAGTACAAACACAGGTTTTTGCCTGTCTTATTGGCTCAAGCTTGTGCTTATGGGTTCCAGCTTGTTCTTGCTCTCCCTATTTTACATCTTGACTGCCTGCCCTGAGGACTTCCAGCTCCAGCATCAGATGCAATGACAATACCCTTACAGAGACTAGTATTCAACCAGCAACCACAACTGCATAAGGTAAAATCTCTATAACACATTTATATATTTCTTAAGGGGTCAATATCTTTGATTAAACCCTGACTGATACATGCAATAAACATTTATAAAAAGGCATTTAAATGTTCTAATTAGATCAATTTTTTTTGCTATCCTTTTGTTGTTAATTTCTAAGTTTTTTGCATTTTTTCAATAAATATACTTGTATGAATGCTGCTTTTTGTTTATGAACATTTTCTTTATGGCCTAATACATGGTTAGTTGTAACTCTTTCCACATGTTTCTGAACAATGTGTAATCTCTGTTGAGTGCAAATTTCTATATAACTTGTTACCATGTTATTAACTCTTGCTATGCTTAATTTTGTGTTTTCGATATCTTTTATAGAGAAGTGTGTTAACTTTTAACATGATAGTCATTCTGTCGATTTCTCCTTGTAAAATGCTAGAATCTTTTCTCTTCATATTTTTTTGAAACTATATTGTTAGGTGCATGGAAGTTCATGACTAATATAGTTTCTTGGTGGATTGTACATTTTATCAATATGAAATACCATTTTTACCCCTTTTAATGTTTTTATACTGCATTAATATTTGCCATTTCTATTATATAATAATTGAGATAATATATAATGTGCTTGGTCTCTCATGTCTGACAATAGGAAGCAGGCAATAAATAGAGGCTGCTATTATTATTGTCATCCTTGTAATAAATATTATTCTATGTCCCACAGTGTGCAGATTGGTTTCTTTGGGAGACAAAGAGGGAAATAAAGGACTAAAGGAATTCAGATTAAGAAAGAGAGCAACTGCCTCTCAGGCACTGCATAATGATGCTTAGAGTTTCTTCTCCTCTAAACAAGGTGATGGAAACTCCAGGGAAGAGAGGCCCCAGGCTTGGACAGATCACCAGAAAGCCTGCCAAAAGAGTCTTCCTAGGCAGCCAAGAGAATACAGCAGAAACAGATTTTCTTGTTGGATCTTGGCCTTTTTGCTTTTGAGGCCCAGCTGAAACTAGGAAGGGTAAAAGCAAAACAAGGTCAGACCTAATAGTAAATGTGCTCCTGTGGTTGGAAGGTTAGAATTATCTCTTCAGAGATTCCCTTGAATTTACATATATTTATTCTAATTCTGATAATAACCCTCTGACGTAGGACTGATGCACTTCATTTCCAGATGAGGAAACTGGTGTTCACAGAGGCGAGAGATGTGGTCAAAGTCTCAGAGCCAGTAAATGCAGAGCCAGGGTTTGAGTGCAGCTATAGCTCCAGAATCCATTCTTTCCACTCTGTCATGCTGCTCCTCAGAGCAGCTCTCAGTGAGTCATCTTGGTGAGGGGCAATGAATTTGGGGTCAGGCGCAACCTTCAGCAAGAGCTGAGATAAAAGTGCAAAATAGAGAGTAAGCCACAAAAGAAATAGAAGTGTTTGGAAATGTTGGAGAAAGGCTCAGGCCCATGTTGAAGCTACTCCCTGAACTCTGTGCCATTTTCCAAATGGACAGAACTGTGATGAGAGACACAGCGATAATTCCTCTGAATGATGTTTCTCAGGTCTGAAGAGATGGAATGCACTGGGGATTCTCTCAGCCTTGCCATTTGAGAATGGAGAGTCAGGGAGAAAGCGAAGGGCTGGAATTAGAAATTCAAATGCAATCTGATGAAACCACTTTTGACTCCACAGTTAGTAACTCCAAGCTGGCTCATTCCTTTAAATCTTGAGCCCGTCTCAAATGTAGTATACGTTAAGCACCAGAAATTACTGATCTCTCTTTCCATATGGCCAGTGCATCTCCCCACCTCTGGAATGGAAGAAGCAATAAATGCTGAATAAGACATTTCTTCAGGAAAGACCAAGAGCAAACACATTCTAAAGATGAGGAACTTTGTGAAAAATGTAGACCCAGTGCAGGAAAGAAACAGGTTGCTTGGAAGTATCTGCTAGGGATTTTTTTTTTTTTTAAACTAGGTAAGTTTGCCCCAGGCACATTCATTCAAATAATAAAATGAGAATGGTGTTTGCAAGAATTTAAAAAGGTCCTTAAACTCCTTTCTAGTCAGAATAGATTATTACAAAATGTTCAAGATAGCTCTTCAGAATTTCATTTGATGACCTTGACATGAATTTAAAGCAAATCTCTGCCTTAAAAGTTGTATTGGTAGAGTAATTAAAAGTATGTGATGTTCTTTGCAGAGAGGTGTTCATTTGATGAGAAACTAGAGAAAAGCTTTTTCCTAACAATGTTATTGCAGCTCTTTGCAAGAACTTTAGTAAATTCTGGCTTCTGTCCTAGGTTAAGTTAATTAGCAGTAAGTAATTAGTAGTATAGGTAAAGATAATTAGTGTATATAAGATAATGATTGAAGTTAAATCAACCAGGGATGGGGATGGAAAGGTGCGGGGGGGATGGCACAGGCCAAGTTCTGGAATTAATTGCCAGAGGCAAAGTGAGTGAGGCTCCTGAATAGGCTCTGGGCCATATGGTAATCAGAAGGATCTGCTCTAAAGAGATCTTTGATGTTGGTTTATTCTTCATGGGATTCCTGGGATTGAAAGACAAGGGCAGCCTTCTAAAGCCCTACTTGATTTGCAATTTTTTTATAAAATAGGTCTGGTGAATAATACCTAATTTTCATTACTCCCAAATTAAGTTACAGCATTTCACCCAATTTCTACCTGGATGAATTCAGTCCATGAAAAGGGTCAAACTCTGTAAAATATTTGAAGAGAGTTATTCTGAGCCAAGTATGAGTAACTATGGCTGGTGACACAGCCCTCAGGAGATCCTGAGAACACGTGCTCAAGTTGGTAGGGGTGCAGCTTGGCTTTATACATTTTAGGGAGACATGAGATATCAATCAAATACATTTAAGATATACATTGGTTCAGTCCAGAAAGGCAGCACAACTCCAAACTTCCAGGTTATAGGTAGATTTAAAACTTTTCTGATTGGCAATTGGTTGAGTTATTATCCATAGAGAGGAATTGTCTAGGTTATGATAAGAGGTTGTGGAGATCAAACTTTTATCATGCAGATGAAGCCTCCAGATAGCAGGTTTCAGAGAGAATAAATTGTAAATATTTCTTATCAGACTTAAGGTCTGCCTTGATGTTAATGCTGGAGGGTATAAAAAGGCACGTCAGACCCTCACTTCCCGTCAAGGCCTGAACCAGTCTTTCAGGTTAAATTTTAGAGCACACCAGCAGATGAGGAAGTCCATTCAGATGGCTGGGGGTGGCTTAGAATGTTGTTTTTGGTTTTCAATTCACAATGCAGAACTCTTTCATTGAAGAAGTGGTTACACGAAAGGGGCCCCGATCCGGACCCCAAGAGAGGGTTCTTGGATCTCATGCAAGAAAGAATTCAGGGTGAGTCCATAGAGTAAAGGGAAAGCAAGTTTATTAAGAAAGTAAAGGAATAAAAGAATGGCTACTCTAGACAGAGCCACCCCAAGGGCATCTGGTTGCCCATTTTTATGGTTATTTCTTGATGATATGCTAAACAAGGGGTGGATTATTTATGCCTCCCCTTCTTAGACCATATAGGGCAACTTCCTGATGTTGCCATGGTGTTTGTAAACTGTCATGGCACCGGTGGGAGTGTAGCAGTGAGGACGACCAGAGGACACTCTCATCACCATCTTGGTTTTGGTGGGTTTTAGCTGGCTTCTTTACTGCAGCCTATTTTATCAGCAAGGTCTTTATGATCTGATCTTGTGTTGACCTTCAGTCTCATCCTGTGATTTAGAATGCCTTAACCATCTGGGAATGCAGCCCAGTAGGTTTCAGCCTTAGTTTAGCCAGCTCCTATTTAAGATGGAGTTGTTCTGGTTTACACGCCTCTGACATTTCCCCCATCCCTTTTATAGGAGAACCCTTAATCCTAAGGGTTGCAGAGGGATGAAGATCCATCTTCTGCAACTTCTTCAGGCTGAATAGGGGCAATTATGTTCCTGCCTAACTATTAGAGTCTTTTGTGTTTAGGGTAGAGAGGAGCTCAGTCAGAAAGTGTTGGTATGGCGAGGGCCATTCAAAACTCCGAATTCTGACAAAAGGTGATATCTGGAAGATTAATAAGTGTTCAACTTAAGAAAACATTCAGTAAACTTATCCTGCATCCCTACACAAAGAGTACAACAGCAATATATTTCACAACAGTAAAGCAAAATAAGTAAAATTATTCCAGGCAAACTAAATTAGAAGGCTTTCCATGAACTAGGCAACTGTTGGAACCAAGCTGATATGGGGTTGCTAGAAGATTCCACTGTGTGCCCAGGATTAGAATATTGATCCAGGTTTTTACATCACCCATCTGAGCAGCAGCCAGAGATCACTGGTTGGTTCACAGGAATAAACAATGTTAGCCTAAATTGCAGAAACAATCTTAAAAACAATTGATGATACTAGAATCTAATAACAACTGTACCATAGTTTTTGAAACATAATTTTTCTCTCCAGTTTCCCATATTTACTAAAGACAAATTATGGTAAGACTGATTTGCTTTATTATGCTTTGTCTGATTATTTGTATAAAGTGCAGCAGGAATAATTATTTTTTCACATAGGCTTTTTGTAAATTGGCTTTGATGGAACTGTTTCATAGAAGGAATCTCAGATAAGACTTTTTTAAAGCCAAGGCCAGCCATGGGTTTGTGCCCTCAAATATCTAAGAGTTGAGTAAATTCCTCTCCTCTTGGGGTCCCAAGATAACCTGGGGCTCCTGGACCTGTTCAAAAGTGACATTCTTTACTTACAACAGGTCAGAAACCTTGTACAGGGACTGTTGTAGGCGAGGTATGAGGCTAGTTCCCCAAGGGGCTTTTATTGGCTCTATAAGTCAAATTTGAGTTCTTAAAGGAAAGCATGCCATTCCGGACAGTCTTGGTAAAATAACCAATTTTTCCAACTGTGTCCTGTTGCAAAAGAAAACAGATTCTTATTGCACTTATGCAAATAACTATATTGCCATAAATTTAGAATAGTTAGAAATAGTTTCCAAATTCTGGAGAAATCAGGTAGGAGAAACAAATAGGCTCCAAATTTTGTCCACAGGGGTATACTTTACTCAATTGTTGAAAGCTATAAATAGCTTAAAAGAAAAGTTTTCTTAACTCTGCAAAACAAAACAAAGGATCAGTAACTTTTTTATTTTTTATTTTACTTTAAGTTATAGGGTACATGTGCACAACGTGCAGGTTTGTTACATATGTACACATGTGCCATGTTGGTGTGCTGCACCCATTAACTTGTCATTTATATTAGGTATATCTCCTAATGCTATCCCTCCCCCTCCCCCAATCCCACGACAGACCCCGGTGTGTGATGTTCCCCATCCTGTGTCCAAGTGTTCTCATTGTTCAATTCCCACCTATGAGTGAGAACATGCGGTGTTTGGTTTTCTGTCCTTGCGATAGTTTGCTGAGAATGATGGTTTCCAGCTTCATCCCTGTCCCTACAAAGGACATGAACTCATCCTTTTTTATGGCTGCATAGTATTCCATGGTGTATATGTGCCACATTTTCTTAATCCAGTCTATCATTGATGGACATTTGGGTTGGTTCCAAGTCTTTGCTATTGTGAATAGTGCCACAATAAATGTACACGTGCATGTGTCTTTATAGCAGTGTGATTTAAAATCCTTTGGGTATATACCCAGTAATGGGATGGCTGGGTCAAATGGTATTTCTAGTTCTAGATCCTTGAGGAATTGCCACACTGTCTTCCACAATGGTTGAACTAGTTTACACTCCCACTAACAGTGTAAAAGTGTTCCTATTTCTCCACATCCTCTCCAGCACCTGTTGTTTCCTGACTTTTTAATGATCGCCATTCTAACTTGTGTGAGATGGTATCTCATTGTGGTTTTGATTTGCATTTCTCCGATGACCAGTGATGATGAGCATTTTTTCATGTGTCTGTTGGCTGCAATAAATGTCTTCTTTTGAGAAGTGTCTGTTCATATCCTTTGCCCACTTTTTGATGGAGTTGTTTGATTTTTTCTTGTAAATTTGTTTAAGTTCTTTGTAGATTCTGGATATTAGCCCTTTGTCAGATGGGTAGATTGCAAAAATTTTCTCCCATTCTGTAGGTTGCCTGTTCACTCTGATGGTAGTTTCTTTTGCTGGGCAGAAGCTCTTTAGTTTAATTAGATCCCATTTGTCAATGTTGGCTCTTGTTGCCATTGCTTTTGGTGTTTTAGTCATGAAGTCCTTGCCCATGCCTATGTCCTGAATGGTATTGCCTAGGTTTTCTTCTAGGGTTTTTATGGTGTTAGGTCTAACATTTAAGTCTTTAATCCATCTTGAATTAATTTTTGTATAAGGTGTTAGGAAGGGATCCAGTTTCAGCTTTCTACATATGGCTAGTCAGTTTTCCCAGCACCATTTATTAAATAGGGAATCCTTTCCCCATTTCTTGTTTTTGTCAGGTTTGTCAAAGATCAGATGGTTGTAGATGAGTGGTATTATTTCTGAGGGCTCTGTTCGGTTCCATTGCTCTATATCTCTGTTTTGGTACCAGTACCATGCTGTTTTGGTTACTGTAGCCTTGTAGTACAGTTTGAAGTCAGGTAGCATGATGCCTCCAGCTTTGTTCTTTTGGCTTAGGATTGTCTTGGCAATGTGGGCTCTTTTTTGGTTCCATATGAACTTTAAAGTAGTTTTTTCCAATTGTATGAAGAAAGTCATTGGTAGCTTGATGGGGATGGCATTGAATCTATAAATTACCTTGGGCAGTATGGCCACTTTCTTGATATTGATTCTTCCTATCCATGAGCATGGAATGTTCTTCCATTTGTTTGTGTCCTCTTTTATTTCGTTGAGCAGTGGTTTGTAGTTCTCTTTGAAGAGGTCCTTCACATCCCTTGTAAGTTGGATTCCTAGGTATTTTATTCTCTTTGAAACAATTGTGAATGGGAGTTCACTCATGATATGGCTCTCTGTTTGTCTGTTATTGGTGTATAGGAATGCTTATGATTTTTGCACATTGATTTTGTATCCTGAGACTTTGCTGAAGTTGCTTATCAGCTTAAGGAGATTTTGGGCTGAGATGACGGGGTTTTCTAAATATACAATCACGTCATCTGCAAACAGGGACAATTTGACTTCCTCTTTTCCTAATTGAATACCCTTTATTTGTTTCTCCTGCCTGATTGCCCTGGCCAGAACTTCCAACACTATGTTGAATAGGAGTGGTGAGAGAGGGCATCCCTGTCTTGTGCCAGTTTTCAAAGGGAATGCTTCCAGTTTTTGCCCATTCAGTATGATACTGGCTGTGGGTTTGTCATAAATAGCTCTTATTATTTTGAGATATGTCCCATCAATACCTAATTTATTGAGAGTTTTTAGCATGAAGGGCTGTTGAATTTTGTCGAAGGCCTTTTCTGCATCTATTGAGATAATCATGTGGTTTTTGTATTTGGTTCTGTTTATGTGATGGATTACGTTTGTTGATTTGCGCATGTTGAACCAGCCTTGCATCCCAGGGATGAAGCCCACTTGATCATGGTGGATAAGCTTTTTGATGTGCTGCTGGATTCAGTTTGCCAGTATTTTATTGAGGATTTTTGCATCGATGTTCATCAGGGATATTGGTCTAAAATTCTCTTTTTTTTGTTGTGTCTCTGCCAGGCTTTGGTAGCAGGATGATGCTGGCCTCATAAAATGAGTTAAGGAGGATTCCCTCTTTTTCTATTGATTGGAATAGTTTCAGAAGGAATAGTACGAGCTCCTCCTTGTACCTCTGGTAGAATTCGGCTGTGAATCCGTCCGGTCCTGGCCTTTTTTTGGTTGGTAGGCTATTAATTACTGCCTCAATTTCAGAGCCTGTTATTGGTCTATTCAGAGATTCAACATCTTCCTGGTTTAGTATTGGGAGGGTGTATGTGTCGAGGAATTTATCCATTTCTTCTAGATTTTCTAGTTTATTTGCTTAGAGGTGTTTACAGTATTTTCTGATGGTAGTTTGTATTTCTGTGGGATCAGTGGTGATGTCCCCTTTATCATTTTTTATTGCGTCTATTTGATTCTTCTCTCTTTTCTTCTTTATTAGTCTTGCTAGTGGTCTATGAATTTTGTTGATCTTTTCAAAAAACCAGCTCCTGAATTCATTGATTTTTTGAAGGGTTTTTTGTGTCTCTATCTCCTTCAGTTTTGCTCTGATCTTAGTTATTTCTTGCCTTCTGCTAGCTTTTGAATATGTTTGCTCTTACTTCTCTAGTTCTTTTAATTGTGATGTTAGGGTGTCAATTTTGGGTCTTTCCGGCTTTCTCTTGTGGGCATTTAGTGCTATAAATTTCCCTCTACACACTGCTTTAAATGTGTCCCAGAGATTCTGGTATGTTGTGTCTTTGTTCTCACTGGTTTCAAAGAACATCTTTATTTCTGCCTTCATTTCATTATGTACCCAGTAGTCATTCAGGAGCAGGTTGTTCAGTTTCCATGCAGTTGAGTGGTTTTGAGTGAGTTTCTTAATCCTGAGTTCTAGTTTGATTGCACTGTGGTCTGAGATACAGTTTGTTATAATTTCTGTTCTTTTCCATTTGCTGAGGAGTGCTTTACTTCCAACTATGTGGTCAATTTTGGAATAAGTGTGATGTGGTGCTGAGAAGAATGTATATTCTGTTGATTTGGGGTGGAGAGTTCTGTAGATGTCTATTAGGTCCGCTTGGTGCAGAGCTGAGTTCAAGTCCTGGGTATCCTTGTTAACTTTCTGTCTCATTGATCTGTCTAATATTGACAGTGGGGTATTAAAGTCTCCCATTATTATTGTGTGGGAGTCTAGGTCTCTTTGTAGACTTAGACTAAGGACTTGCTTTATGAATCTGGGTGCTCCTGTATTGGATGCACATATATTTAGGATAGTTAGCTCTTCTTGTTGAATTGATCCCTTTACCATTATGTAATGGCCTTGTCTCTTGATCTTTGTTGTTTTAAAGTCTGTTTTATCAGAGACTAGGATTGCAACCCCTGATTTTTTTTTTTTGTTTTCCATTTGCTTGGTAGATCTTCCTCCATCCCTTTATTTTGAGCCTATGTATGTCTCTGCACATAAGATGGGTCTCCTGAATACAGCACACTGATGGGTCTTGACTCTTTATCCAATTTGCCAGTCTGTGTCTTTTAATTGGAGCATTTGGCCCATTTACATTTAAGGTTAATATTGTTATGTGTGAATTTGATGCTGTCATTATGATGTTAGCTGGTTATTTGCTCATTAGTTGATGCAGTTTCTTCCTAGCATCAATGGTCTTTACAATTTGGCATGTTTTTGCAGTGGCTGGTACCAATTGTTCCTTTCCATGTTTAGCGCTTCCTTCAGGAGCTCTTGTAAGGCAGGCCTGGTGGTGACAAAATCTCTCAGCATTTGCTTGTCTGTAAAGGATTTTATTTCTCCTTCACTTATGAACCTTAGTTTGGCTGGATATGAAATTCTGGGTTGAAAATTCTTTTCTTTAAGAATGTTGAATATTGGCCCCCACTCTCTTCTGGCTTGTAGAGTTTCTGCCAAGAGATCTGCTGTTAGTCTGATGGGCTTCCCTTTGTGGGTAACACGACCTTTCTCTCTGGCTGCCCTTAACATTTTTTCCTTCATTTCAACTTTGGTGAATCTGACAATTATGTGTCTTGGAATTGCTCTTCTCGAGGAGCATCTTTATCGAGGAGTGGCATTCTCTGTATTTCCTGAATTTGAATGTTGGCCTGCCTTGCTAAGTTAGGGAAGTTCCCCTGGATAATATCCTGAAGAGTGTTTTCCAGCTTCGTTCCATTCTCCCCATCACTTTCAGGTACACCAATCAGATGTAGATTTGGTCTTTTCACATAGTCCCATATTTCTTGGAGGCTTTGCTCATTTCTTGTTACTCTTTTTTTTCTAAACTTCTCTTCTTACTTCATTTCATTCATTTGATCTTCAATCACTGATACCCTTTCTCCCACTTGATTGAATCGGCTACTGAAGCTTTTGCATGCGTCATGTAGTTCTTGTGCCATGGTTTTCAGCTCCTTCAGGTCATTTAAGGTCTTCTCTACACTGGTTATTCTAGTTAGCCATTCATCTAATCTTTTTTCAAGGTTTTTAGCTTCTTTGCGATGGGTTTGAACATCCTCCTTTAGCTCGGAAAAGTTTGATCCTCTGAAGCCTTCTCTCAACTCGTCAAAGTCATTCTCCGTCCAGCTTTGTTCTGTTGCTGGCGAGGAGCTGCATTCCTTTGGAGGAGAAGAAGTGCTCTGATTTTTAGAATTTTCAGCTTTTCTACTGTGGTTTCTCCTCATCTTTGTGGTTTTATCTACCTTTGGTCTTTGATGATGGTGATGTACAGATGGGGTTTTGGTGTGGATGTCCTTTCTGTTTGTTAGTTTTCCTTCTAACAGTCAGGACCCTCAGCTGCAGGTCTGTTGGAGTTTGCTGGAGGTCCACTCCAGACCCTGTTTGCCTGGGTATCACCAGTGAAGGCTGCAGAACAGCAAATATTGCAGAACAGCCATTGTTGCTGCCTGATCGTTCCTCTGGAAGCTTTGTCTCAGGGGGCACCCAGCCGTGTGAAGTGTCAGTCAGCCCGTGCTGGGAGATGCCTTCCAGTTAGGCTACTCAGGGGTCAGAGACCCGCCTGAGGACGCAGTCTGTCCCTTCTCAGATCTCAAACTCCGTGCTGGGAGAACCACTACTCTCTTCAAAGCTCAGTTGGAAATGCAGAAATCACCCGTCTTCTGTGTTGCTCATGCTGGGAGCTGTAGACTGGACCTATTCCTATTTGGCCATCTTGGAACCTCCATCACCTATTTTTTTTTTTTTTTTTTTTGAGACGGAGTCTCACTCTGTCACCCAGGCTGGAGTGCAGTGGTACGATCTCGGCTCACTGCAAACTCCACCTCCTGGGTTCACACAATTCTCCTGCCTCTGCCTCCCGAGTAGCTGGGACTACAGGCGCCCGCCACCATGTCAGGCTAATTTTTTGTATTTTTAGTATACTGAGACAGGGTTTTACCATGTTAGCCAGGATGGACTCAATCTCCTGACCTTGTGATCCGCCCTCCTTGGCCTCCCAAAGTGCTGGGATTACAGAAGTGAGCCACCACGCCCAGCCTAAGATCAGCATCGTTTTAAGCAAAAAGTTAAAAAGACTACTTCAATTTTTTTATTGGTTCAGTTAATTTAGTTAACTCCTGTTCTGCTTGATATTTATGAACACTTCAGCTCTCTATGAGAGTCCTGAAAGTTTTTTCCTCTATCTTGATGTCACAGTTTCTAAAGTTATCAGAAAACCTGCATTTAAGTGCACTTGTTGAAGTCCTACAGTTGATTTTAAAACCATCTTCGAAAGAGGACTAAATCAAGACAACAATTGTCTGTGGATGAGAAAATGTCTTAGGACAGCCACAGTCAAAAACACAATTGACAAATTTGGTTGTTTCTGTGGCATACAAAATTTTATGTAACAATTATAATTATTAATAACACTAAATCATATTAGAATTATAGTTTTTTAAATAATTTTGGAACACATACCAGTAACATATTTATACAAATACAGCCCAAAAACCAAACACCATTTCATATTTGACAATGCTTCCTGTAAGACTTTTAAACCAAATACACCAAATTTCACCTTCACATTAGTATATTATTGATGTCAAACCCAATTCTTAATGCAACCTTATAGACAAATGTATTCAATCTTAATCAGTTTGATAAGGTAAGATTTTCATAAACCTTTTATAACGCTTTACACATTTTTGTTAAAGAGCAGATAATAAGCAGGTTTTTGCTTTAAGAAAAACCTGTTGTGCTTTTATTCCAATGTCCAAGTTACTGAATTTACTGAATTGAGTGCAAAAACTGAATAATACCCCTTTAATTTTTAATTTTTTTTTTTTTTTTTTTTTTGTGACGGAGTCTCGCTGTGTCGCCCAGGCTGGAGTGCAGTGGCACAATCTTGGCTCACTGCAACCTCTGCCTCCCGGGTTCAAGCCATTCTCCTGCCTCAGCCTCCCGAGTAGCTGTGACTACAGACGCCTGCCACCACACCCAGCTAATTTTTTATATTTTTAGTAGACAGGGTTTCACTGCGTTAGCCAGGATGGTATTACCCCTTTAATTTTAGCCAATATGTTCACACACAGCATTTCTTTTACAATTAATTTTTCACAAACCTTCCACAATTTGTTCAAACCTTTAGATTTTTTTCCTATCTCACTTAAAAAAATCCTTTAACCCTTTAAACTTAGGCAAGAAATCCACATTCCCATGAGTTCTTATAATTGTGTTTGCCAAAAACACATTCTAGTTTCCTCACACACCTTGCATGTAGAGCTGTTTCTTTGGTAGTCTCATTACAATGTTAACTCTTAGTGACTTTTACTTTTGTTGAAAACCTTGGTAAGCTCAGGATTTTAATTATGTACTAGGTATGGAGCCTAGCATAGGACACACTAGGCAGAAGTGCAGATAAGGGCTGACTGCAGCATAGCTAGGGGCGTGGCTAACTCCACATGTCCTAAGCCTTATCTAGAATCTAATGCTCAAAAGTTAAAGAAGCAGTTTGTGGCCTTAAAGCATTTAGCACATTTAATATCTTACCTGCATAATTTAGACCAAGTATTTACACTTTTGAAGACATTTTTATTTTACCAATAATCTTTAAAACTATCTTTATTTCCCAAAGATTACTTAAGTCACATGAACTAAAAGGCATTACATTTTTAACTTTTCTGACAATTTGGTTTAAGCTTGTATTATTAAACCAATTAATCAAAGTTCTTTTGTGTTACACACACAACACATATAAATACACAGACAGTGGAAGATAAAGAACTCATCCCCTAAGCCAGGAATTGAAGTCTGAACCTCGGTCACCATTGTGATGGTAGAGACCAAGAGAAACGATTGCCACGTGGTTACAAGGTCAAACTCCCAAAGACATGACTGACCAGTTTCCGGGGCCATCTTGAACAGCGGGCTTGCAGGTGTCCTAGGCCCACATTCTATCCTAAGGTACTCCTCTCCATTATAGAACACGGAAAGAAAGACACACAAAGCACACCAGATTCGCTACAGTTTAAGATTAGCCTCACAAGTCCTTTCTTCCACGAATCAAAACTTTACAGGAGATAAACAATGATATTTACCATTCATTCAACAAGTTTAAGAGAGAGAGGAAAGCACTGCCTGAGGCAGGGTGGGGAAGGCAAGGCACTCAGGGAGGCCAGAGAAAGAACCACCCATTGCAGCTGACACTGAAAAGTTCAGGTGGCCACTTGTCGGTCATGAAAGGATCTTTTCCAGCAGTCCCATCAACTCTCAAGTTTCCCCTTTGTGGGGAGGAGAAATCTCCCCATGTCCCATGATCCTGTACATGCCTAATCCTGTCACCCACAGCTGTCAGCAAAGCGTGCAAGGCAGATTAATCCAAAGAGAATAGCAGTGAACATCCCATAGTGCCAAATTCGTTCTTAGCCAAAAGGGACTTTAATGAGAGGGGCCTTTAACCCCTTAAGTCTTAGAAGAGACTCTAACCCTCCTAAGTTGGGCCTCTAACCCAAGGTCAGTCAAGCGTCCTTGCTTTTTATTAAGAGGGTCCTCTAACCCACTCTGTCTTAGGAGAGACTCTAACTCCCCTAAGTTGGGCATCTACCCCAGTCCCATTCTTTACCCAGGTATACGCACCCCACTTACACAAAGTTGTCCAATCAGTGCTGTAGTCTATTTCCTTTGGGTTGGGGGTCACCTCAGTATCACTCCTTCAGGTTTCACCAGAAAGATGTTAACAGACCCCACCACTTGCCCAAAGTTAGCCTGTGGGTCAGGGGTTTCCTCACTATAGTCTTTTCTGTGGTTGCCAGAAAGATGTTAGAGCAAAGGGGTCCTGATCCGGACCCCAAGAGAGGGCTCTTGGATCTCGTGCCAGAAAGAATTCAGGGTGAGTCCATAGAGTAAAGTGAAAGCAAGTTTATTAAGAAAGTAAAGGAATAAAAGAATGGTTACTCCATAGACAGAGCAGCCCTGAGGGTGGCTGGTTGCCCATTTTTAGGTTATTTCTTGATGATATGCTAAACAAGGGGTGGATTATTTATGCCTCCCCTTTTTAGACCATATAGGGCAACTTCCTGATGTTGCCATGGCATTTGTAAACTGTCATGGCGCCAGTGGGAGTGTAGCAGTGAGGACGACCAGAGGACGCTCTTGTCACCATCTTGCTTTTGTTGGGTTTTAGCTGGCTTGTTTACTGCAGCCTGCTTTATCAGCACGGTCTTTATGACCTGTATCTTGTGCCAACCTTCAATTTCATCCTGTGACTTAGAATGCTGGGGAATGCAGCCCAGTAGATTTCAGCCTTATTTTAGCCAGCTCCTATTCAAGTTGGAGTTGTCCTGGTTCACACGCCTCTGACAGAGTGGCTCACTATGCCTTAGGAAGGAGTTTATACCCACATCACAAGAACATACTGTGACTCTTCCTCCTCAGTCTTCTCCAAGGGATCTGAAGCCACTTACTTGATAAGTGTGATTGAGAGAAAGGGAAATATTCAAAACATTTAGGGGCATTTCAACAATGACCATAGACATACACTAATTTTTTGGAGTCCAGAACCACGTTAATATTGACGCTTGTAAGGAAGAGGTATTAAGTGGAATTTTGACCCAATGCCTTCATGATAGGTCATGTGAGAGCCCAAACTCTCATCTCATGGTTATCTCCCCTTACCTAAGACATACAGAATACAGTCAGAACTAGACAACCTCAGCAACTAGAAGAATCCTTACACTGACTCCTTGACTCATAGAGTATGTACTATAATAGGAAGGGTCAAGTATAAGTTCTTGGGGCATCTCCTTATTAGCAAAATACTTACAGAAAAGCAATATTACCTCATGGTACCTATCATACCTGGCAATAGATTGTACAATTATTTGTTTGTATATGGTCTGTTTCCCTCCCTAGAATGCAGTCTCATTGGGAGCAGATATTTTGTTTGTCTGTTTACTGCTCTATCCCCAGCTCCTAGAACAATGACTGGCACATAATAAGTGCTCAATAAGTATTTATTGCATAGACAGATGAATATGTTTCTGAGGGAAATATCAGAAATCAGTGCCATCCTCAAAGATGTGAAAGATACAGATGTGGCAATTCCTACCATATTCCTATTTTATTTTCCATTTTAGCCAGTGAAGAACATGGTTGAGTCTTGGAGTATGAAAGTGGACTGTCATAAATTTAATCAGCTGGTATTTCCCACTGCAACTTTTGTTCCAAATGCAGTGTTCTTACAGGAGCAGATCAATACCACTGACACCTGGAACACAGCTAATAACATGTTAAACGCTTTCATTATTTTCTCCATCCCAACAAATATAAACACTTTAGACAAGGTGCTTTCACTTGGCAGTGATAACAGTACAACACTGGTGTCCTAACTCAGCTATATATAAACCTTTGTCACTGCATCATATTTGCTACACTGGACCTTGACCATCTCATTATCTCTCAGGACATTATTCTGGTTTGCTCTATTGATGAAATCGTGCTTATAAGACTGTGTATTTGTTAACTATTCTTGCATATCAAATTACCCCAAAATTTAGTGGCTTAAAGAAAAAGTAATTATTTACTTCTCATGGCTTTTGTGGGTAAAAAATTAAGACAGGGAAAAGTGGGAAAGGCTTATCTCTGTTCCCTGATAAATGAGGTCTCAGCTGCAAGACACCAAGCCTGGCTTCTGGAATAATGTGAAGGTTTATTCACTCATATGTCTGGCAATTGATGCTCCCTCTTGGCTAGCTGGGTTCCAAGGGCATGTGGAGGAGAGAGAGAGAAAGACAGAAAGAGAGAGAGAGCATCCTTCTTATGACTTAGTCTTGGAAGTCACATAGCATCACTTTGCTTATACTTCATTGGTTGGAGGAATCATAAACTCCTACCCAGAATAAAGGAGTGAAAACCTAGATTACATCTATTAGTGGAAGGAGTGACAATAACATTGTAAGAATAGTATGTGGGATGGGATAAATATAAGGTTTGAGTTATATTTGAAAATACACTGAAGCCTCTATTCATACTTCTTTAGTTGTTGTGTATAAAACAAATTCCCAGTTCTTTCTTCTCTTTTCTTCCCACTGTTCTATATAGGTGTATCTGTGGTGTTTAACTTTAAAATTTAGTCCCTAGATTGTAGAATATCAACATGGGATTGTATTGAACCAAAGAAGAAATTAAATTGCCCCAAAATCCTGCATGCAGTGTCTGATGAAACAGTGGATTGTCTCATTTCGGCAAGGATATGAGAACATTTTTGGTTACTATGAAGAAAAGCTGCATTATATTTAGTGGTGTGTGTGTATGTGTGTAAAAGTATAAAAATAAGGGAGCATGGTGTATGTGAATACTGAATACTCAAAGGGCTGGGTGGTGGTACCTGGTATTTTACAGATAAATTTATTCGCAGTTTAAAATAATCTGAATTCATTTCTGTTGCTTGCAACCATGAAACCCAACTGATATTCCTCCCTTTGTCAGAGAGACTAACAGCCACCACAGGAATAGAAGCAAACTCCATCAGCCAGACCAATAGCTGTGATAGAAGCAGCAAGGGCAGTGGTGACAGAAGTTTTTGCTGCCAACTGAAAACACCAGGAAAATGGCACAGTGGCTATAATAAGGATTAAATGAGCCAACCTTTGAAAAGCACTTAAAGCAGTGACTAGGTAGTGAGAAGCATATTAAGCATTGTTGAACAAAAACAAATTAAGTAGTGCTAGCAAAAAAAGTTAAAGCTAAACAACATACAAGACATTTGGGATTTCTACAAGGAAAGAGAGGGAATCCAGAAGGTAAACTGTCCCAGTTCTTCTATGATGGTGGTTCAGAGACAAAGATGCTTTTGTTACCTTTGAAATGGTTATTTGTGTCTAGGTGGCCTTCTGGCAGACAAAGATTCCTCACTCCCACTCTATTGCCACCATCTTAGTCCAACCTACCATTATCTCCTGCCTGGACTGCTGCAATACTGTACTAATTGGTTTCCCCATTTCCATTCTTAACCTGTCTATAATTTATTTTTCACATTGTAATCAGAATTATGAATGGGAAATATGATCCAAATGAAAATCCTCCATTTTCTTTCCATTGCCAATGCCTGTTAATATCTCAGTGTTTATTCAATGTTCCCCCTAATTTTGTAAAGTTTTCCTCAGGTGACCATGCTAAAAGAGTAGCAAGCTCTCAATATCATACATATATCTAGAGAGTTGACTGTTTCTAGTGAAAAATAACATCAACAAAATTAATGTTAAACCAATTTAATGAAATATACAATAGTTACCATGCAGTATGGCGATGAAATATAATCAGTGCATGAGTATATCAGGGTATCAGAGTGTAATCAGGGAAGCCAACCACCTGAAGTATTATGGAATAAAGGATTTGTTATAGAAACAAGACCCTTTACAATTATGGGGAAATTTCAGGATGTAAAGTCCACAACAAGGAAGTTGGAGGATGAGAGAAAATCACTAATCAACCCTCCTGACACACTGGCATGACTGGACAAGTCAGAGCCTGCTAGGGAATTGGGGAAACCAGGCACATCCAGATACTGAAGTCAGACAATGATGGAGGCCTGGTGGAGAAATCCATGGTGAGCTATTGCCTTTGCATCTGATAGTGGGTGTGGGGTCACTGTCAGTGAGCAGATCCAACAATTGGGAAGAAGAGTTAGACACAGAGTGGAAAAAGTCAGGCTAATTTGGGACACATCAGCACCTCTGCATATCTGTCTCTCACTGCACCTAACCACAACAACCTTTAGAGATTGGTAGTCTTGCTTCATTTCTGCCTTCTAAGTCTTTCATAAATTTTTCTTTTGAATAACTCGAACACAGACGCATACAGGGAAGGAGGTTTTGGGAAAAGGTGTTCTACAACAAATATTTAGAGAAATCACTAATGTGTATTTCTTTTAAACCATTTAACCAAATTGCTAGGTTTTGCCTTCTCACTTTATTGATTCATGGATTCTTTAAGCAAGATTAATTTTTATTTTTTTCTCATTTTACATATTTTTTCTTCATCATCGTCACAGTCACACAAACATGCAAAGACACACACACAATACACACTGACATACAAATATCAGAAACTATGGGATGCTTTTAAGATGTGTTATAGATTGGGATCCCTAGAAACGTCTCCTGAAATGGGGATTCTTGTTCAAGTGATTTATTGCAGGAGCACTCTTGGGAAAGAGGAGTGAGGGTTGCTGGAAAGAGCAGAGGAAGAACATGGTCTCAGCTGGAAATTACCTTAAGTCTAATTCCATGAGAAGCTCTGTAGCATAAACTGCACCAACATTAGTCCCACCTCAAGGCAAAGGCACCAGCTCTTCATACCCCTCTGCCAGTTAGTCATTGACCCAGGTCTGCTGTGGAGGAGGTGGGTGGTTACAGTCCAGTTCTCCAGAGAGAGCAGACAGCTGTGAGTGTTAACAGCCAACACTCAGATGGTAAAGGGGATAGGGTGGGGCCCAGCAGCATTCATTCTACCATGCTTTAGGAAAAGAAATCTTCATATATGGAGTGTGTGGAAATTCAGTCAGCTGGGGCAGAAGGCCCACAGCGGAATCCCGTTTCTACTTCCTCTCTTTCTGCTGTGATCTCAGACATATCTCTGATTCTGCAGCAGTTTGGTCTCCTGGTGCCCACTTCTAGATATCCTTCTGTAGTTCAGTGTTTGGTTATGGATGCTACATTTGCATACCACCATTGGCCTTATAGTTCTTGCCTCCACTCTTCTGTTACTGGCCTTGGGTTGTCTGGGGCTCATATTTGGGTGACCACTTCGAATTCAGGCTCCTTTCTGCCCTGGTACCCCTCCTCTCACCTCAGCATTGTCATGTGCAACATAATCACATCCATAAAAAGATAAAGGGTTTCTACACAATAGCTGTTCTTTCCCCCTGTTCCCCATGATCCCATTATATCTCTTTTTCATTCTGTATTAGTTATTTACTGCTGTGTAACAAATTACTGCTCCCCCCCCCCAAACTTAGCAGCTTAAAACGACAAGCATTAGTTCATAGTTTCTGTGGGTTGGGAATTTGGAAGCACCCTAGCAGGGTGGTTGTGGCCCAGAGTTCTTTCATGGGAGTGCAGTCAAGATGTCAGTTGTGGCTGCAGTCATTTGAAGGCTCAACTGGGCTACAAGATCTCATTCTGAGATGGCTCACTCACGTGGCTTGTTGCTAGAAGGCCTCAGTGTCTGGCTGGCTGTTTTGGTAGGAGGAGGCCCCTGTTTCTCACCATGTGGTCCTCTCTTCATAGAGCTACTTAAATGTTCTCATGACACGGCTGCTGACTTCCCCAGAGTGAGGTGATCCAAGTGAGAGTGACAGGTACAGGAGGCAGAGAAATTCAAGGCCGAAAAAGGCAGGGTCCCTGACGAAGCCCCACCCTTAAGTAGAAAAGCCTGAGACTGTGGCCCAAATCACTTACTTCCCTGTTTTCCCGCTTGAATGTCGCCTTTTCCTAAACCACCCTGGCCCACCATGCTTCCCATCCTGTACCCATAAAAACCCCAAACTCCACTGGCAGAAGAGCAGAGCAGCACAGCAGAGTGGTAGAGAAGAGAAGAAGAGAAGCATCTGAACGACGAAGAGGCAGGGACCAGGGAACTCTCCCATCTCAAGAGCAAAGTGGAAGCTGCTATGTCCTTACGATCTAGTCTCGGAAGTTACAGCGGGTCACTTGTGCCAAAATTACTCCTTAGAATTGAGTCACTAAATCCCGTCCACACTCAAGGAAGGGGCTTAAGCTCCATTTCTCACAGAGAGGAGTATCAAAGAATTTGTGGACACACATTAGAGCAAACGCATACCCCACCACACTAGGGGGCCCTTGAGCAGCTCTTCCCTGGTCTTCACATTTGCCTGGGATGCTTGAGGATTGATATAGGGTATTCTCAACCAAAAGGCTGAGATTTACCTCCTCTAAGGGATGACCACATGACTGCCATTTCAGGACATCTAAGAAGTGGTGGGAGGAGGGGAATACACAGTGATGGAAAAAGGTATAGGGAAAATGGCCTTTGGAGTCAGACAGATTGGGGCTCAAGTCTTTACTTTGACATTTCCAGCCTGGCTTGGACAAACCACTTAATTCAACACAAAACAAAGCATGTGTTAGACACTGCACTGGATACTGAAGATAGAGTGCTGAAAATAATTCACTCTTGGGGTGCTTACAGTCTGGATAAGCAGACGGACATTAAACACGTCATTTTCATAGTGATGAGGATTGTGTGCCATCAAAGCACATCCCAAAGGGAGTTAGCCTTATCTAAAGAATTAGGGAAGATCTCCTTGAGGAAGTGACATTTAAGTTGAGATTCTGAGGATGATTAAGAGTTAGTTGGATGAGAAGAACAGACGATGTAAAGGTCATGGGGTACCAAGACCCTTGAACTTCCAAGAAGTTGAAAGGAAGCCAGAGAAGCAGGAGTGTTGGTGAAAGAGACAGTGGGGTGAGATAAGGCTGGAAAGCTGGGCAGGGACTCATACTGCCCTGAGTCTCAGAGGCCATATTAAAGCTGGGGAGCCATAGCTATAGGGCCATGGCCAACTATTGACTGTTATAGCAGGGGTGTGGCTTGATGAGATTTGTATTTTAAAAAAACTTCTCAGGTTATTCTACAGGGAGTGGGTTAAAGAAGGACACAGTGGATGTGGCGGAACCATTTAGGGAGTACTGCAGGAGTCCTAGTGAGGAGGTGATGGTAGCGGTGGAGGTGAGAGGCCATGAGGAGGGGAACAGCAGACAGGTCTTGACCATTGACTGTGGGCTGGGGACAGAGAAATTAAGGACCAAGAGCCAGATTTTTCAGTGGTAATGGCGAGTGGTGGGTGGGTGGGGGTAGAGAAGGCATTCAGCTTTAGACATATGGTATTTCAGGGACCTTTGAGATATCCAAGCACAAGTGTTGTAAAGGCTTGGATCTCCAGGAGAGGATTGGGCTCAGAAGGTCTTGGTGAGCCTAGACATGCATGCTGCAATTAAAGTTCCTGGATGAATGAGATGGCCTAGGATTCGTGTAGCACAACTCCAGGGCATGTCCTAAGGAACCTCAGTATTAAAGGGGCAGGGAGAAATGGAGCCAGCAAAGGTCCTGAGAAGGAGCAGTGAGGCAGGAGGAGGAAAACCTGGAGAGTATAATGTCACTGAGCCAAGGCAATGATGTTTCTAGGGAAAGCAGTAAATGGAATTACTTTTAATTGGGATAATTATAATCTTCTCTCATAGGACTCTTGGGAAGATTAAGTGAGATAACATATAAAAACCATCTCAGTACTTCATAAAGTATTTTCAATGTGAGGTGTTCTCTTTAGCAGGGGAATGGGAGTGTAGGCGGTA